>NC_000016.10:31323351-31638558 GCF_000001405.40 Homo sapiens
GGAGGCGGATGTTGCAGTGAGCTGAGATCGCCCCATTGCACTCCAGTCTGGGTGACAAGAGCGAAACTCCATTTCAAAAAAAAAAAAAAAAATTCCCCAAACTGATGAAAGACATCAAGATTCTTTACAAAATCAAAGCAGGATAAATATGAAGGACATTATATCATTGTACGTTATAATCAAACTGCTGAAGACCAAAGACAAAGAGAAAAAAATTTAAAGTAGTCAGAAAAATACAATAAATTTTTTAGTGAGTGACAGAATAGCTACCATTTATTGAGCACTTATTGTATAAAAGACACTGTGCTAAATACTTGATAAGCACTATTTCATTTCCTTTTTACCATTGGGAGGGTATCATTATTATCCTCACTTTAAAAATAAAGAATGGAGGCCAGGCGCAGTGGCTCATGCCTTTAATCCTAGCGCTTTGGGAGGCTGAGGCAGGTGGATTACTTTGAGACCAGCCTGGCTAACATGGTGAAACCCCATCTCTACTAAAAATACAAAAATTAGCACGGCGTGGTGGCATGTGCCTATAATCCCAGCTACTTGGGAGGCTGAGGCAGGAGAAACGCTTGAACCTGGGAGGCAGAGGTTGCAGTGAGCTGAGATGGCACCACTGCACTCCAGCCTGGGCAAGAGAGTGAGATTCTGTCTCAAAAAAGAAAATAAAAAATAAAAAGAAAGGAAGGAAGGAAGAAGGGAAGGAAGGAAAGGAAGGAAAGTAGGAAAGGAAGGAAAGGAAGAAAAGGAAGGAAGGAAGAAGGGAAGGAAGGAAAGGAAGGAAAGTAGGAAAGGAAGGAAAGGAAGAAAAGGAAGGAAGGAAAGGAAAGGAAAAAAGGAAGGAAGGAAGGAAAGGGAGGAAGAGAGCGAGGAAAGAAAGAAAGAAAGAAAAAGGAAGGAAGGAAGGAAAGAAGACTCAGAGAAGTCAGATAACATACCCCAAGTCACACAGCTGAGAAGCAGAGGAGCTGGGCCTTGAACTCCCATCTGCCGGGTTCCGAGGCTCAGGCCCCTCACTGCTGTGCCACCCTGTCCCTTCAGGACAGATCCAGAGTGTTGTGACTTATGACCTGGCTCTGGACTCCGGCCGCCCACATTCCCGCGCCGTCTTCAATGAGACAAAGAACAGCACACGCAGACAGACACAGGTCTTGGGGCTGACCCAGACTTGTGAGACCCTGAAACTACAGTTGCCGGTGAGCAGGCTAGTGGCCAGACCCCTGGGTCTTCCAAGCATGGAGTGGGCTTGGGGAGCTGAGGAGGGCAGATCCCCAAATCCCGGCTATCTCTTAGAATTGCATCGAGGACCCAGTGAGCCCCATTGTGCTGCGCCTGAACTTCTCTCTGGTGGGAACGCCATTGTCTGCTTTCGGGAACCTCCGGCCAGTGCTGGCGGAGGATGCTCAGAGACTCTTCACAGCCTTGGTGAGTCCAGAGTTGGGGTCCTGCAGGGGTGTGGAAGAGACCAGAGACCAAGGTGGTTGAAACTCATTTTATTTGATTGCATCTAATTTTACTTCAACATTTGATTTTATTGTTTAATTTCACAATACTTGGTTATTTTCTTTCCTTTCATTTGATCATATTTATTTTTTAAAAGTTTCCCTTTGAGAAGAATTGTGGCAATGACAACATCTGCCAGGATGACCTCAGCATCACCTTCAGTTTCATGAGGTGAGTTTCCTTTCCTCCTCACCTCCTCCAGAGAAGGACCCGTACCATGACCCGCTCTTTTCTCCTCCTGGCCCCCAAGGGAGCCGGGTGTTCCTGGGCTATAAGGTCCGGTGTGGCTGCCCCTCCACTGTTGTCTCTTCATCAAGTGTCTGCGTCTCTGTTCTGCTGGAGCAGGCTTGCCACAGGGAAGCCCAGCGCCCCATCCCCCGGCCTGTCTTCTTCTTCCCACAGCCTGGACTGCCTCGTGGTGGGTGGGCCCCGGGAGTTCAACGTGACAGTGACTGTGAGAAATGATGGTGAGGACTCCTACAGGACACAGGTCACCTTCTTCTTCCCGCTTGACCTGTCCTACCGGAAGGTGTCCACGCTCCAGGTAGCCACATCCTTCTCAGGCTCTATCTGACCTTTGCTTCCCCATCCTCACGGCCGGAGGTGGATATCACCGCCTTTGCCTCCCCTGCCTTCCAGAACCAGCGCTCACAGCGATCCTGGCGCCTGGCCTGTGAGTCTGCCTCCTCCACCGAAGTGTCTGGGGCCTTGAAGAGCACCAGCTGCAGCATAAACCACCCCATCTTCCCGGAAAACTCAGAGGTCAGAACTCCTGGCTCCTCCCCTCCTTTTCTCTTTGATTTCTTTGGGGATTCTTTTCTTCTTCTTCTCTTCTTTAGTAGTGGTTCCTTTTTGTACAAAACAGCTTTATTGAGATATAATTCATATACCATCCAATTCACCTATTTAAAGCATACATTTCAAGCCCGGCACAGTGGCTCATGCTTGTAATCATAGCACTTTAGGAGGTCGAGGCAGGAGGATCGCTTGAGCCCGAGAGTTTGAAACCAGCCTGGGTGACACGGCGAGACCCTGTCTCTACAAAAAATGTAAAAATTAGCTGGGCGTGGTGGTGCACACCTGTAGTCCCAGCTACTCGGGAGGCTAGGGTGGGAGGATCGTCTGGGCCTGGGAGGTTGAGGCTGCAGTGAGCTATGATCACACCACTGCACTCTAGCCTAGGCGACAGAGTGAGACCCTGTCTTGAAAATAAATAAAATGAAATAAAATAAAATAAAGTATACAGTTCAGTGGCTTTGAGTGAATTCATAGGGTCTTGCATCCGTCATCATGATCCATTTTGGAACATCTTCATTACCTCACAAAGAGCTTCTGTTCCCGTTGGCCCTCAGCCCCAGTCCTCCCATATCCCCCAGCCCTATGCAACCACTAATCTACTTTGTCTATAGATTTGCCTATTCTGGACATTTCATATAAATGAAATAATCCCGTATGTGATCCTTTCCCTAGCATAATATTAAGCAAGGACTTAGCAAGGATCATTCATGTCGTAGTATATGTCAGTACCTCATTGCTTTAAAAAAATTGTTTTTAAATTTTTTATATATATTTTTGAGATGGAGTTTCACTTCGTTGCCCAGGCTGGAGTGCAGTGGTGCAATCTTGGCTCACTGCAACCTCTGCCTCCCAGGTTTAAGCAATTCTTGTGCCTCACTCTCCCAAGTAGCTGGGGTTACATGCGCCCGCCACCACACCCAGCTAATTTTTGTATTTTTAGTAGATACAGGGTTTTGCCATGTTGGCCAGGCTGGTCTCGAACTCCTGACCTCAGGTGATCCACCTGCCTCAGCCTCCCAAAGTGCTGGGATTACAGGTGTGAGCCACCGCACCTGGCCTTCATTGCTTTTTATTTGGTGAACAATATCCTGTTGCATGGATGGGCCATATTTCATGTCTCCATTAATCAGATGACGGGCATTTGGGTTATTTTTTCTCTCATATTTCTGTCATTGTCTCTCCTTTCTCTCACTCCAGGTCACCTTTAATATCACGTTTGATGTAGACTCTAAGGCTTCCCTTGGAAACAAACTGCTCCTCAAGGCCAATGTGACCAGGTGCTCTCTGCTACCAGGCTTCTGCAGGCAGTTGCCCGTCTGACGCCCCAGCCCCTGGCCCATGGTGGGCCTTTGCCCTTTGCCCACTGGTTCTCCCTTCAACTCATTTGTTCACTCAGCAAACACTCACTGACCACCCACCACGTGCTGGGCCTTGTGCTGAGTGCTGGTGGGATGGTGGTGGATCAGACGATAGTGGTTCCTGCCCTCTCGGAGATGATAATTTAGTGGCAAAGACAGACAAGAAATCTAGCCATTAATCTTGCATCCATCTCAAATCCAGTATGAGATGCAAGATTAGATGGGGGACGGCCAGTGTTCTTGGGAGTTTGGTGTTCAGAGAAGATTCCTAAAGAAAATATATTTAGGAGCTGGGCGTGCTGGCTCAAGCCTGTAATCCCAGCACTTTGGGAGGCTGAGGCAAAACAATTGCTCGAACCCAGGAGTTCAAAATCAGCCTGGACAACATATCAATACCCTGTTTCTACAAAAAAAAAAAAATACAAAAATTAGCCAGGCATGGTGGTGCATGCCTGTAATCCCAGCTACTCAGGAGGCTGAGGCACAAGAATTGCTTGAGCCTGGAAGATTGAGGCTGCAGTGAGCTGAGATGGTGCCACTGCACTCCAGCCTGGGCAATAGAGTGAGACCCAGTGTCAAAATAATAATAATAATAATAATAATAAAAAATAAAAGGGAAAAAAAGAAAATATATTTAGACAAAGCAAAGGCATGAACTGAGGGCGGGCATGAAGACAGAAGGCAGGAAGCAGATACCAGGGACGGGAAGATCAGGGTGTGTTTAAGAGTGGCCTCAGCATGAAATGCAGGGCTGAAGGAGTTGGTGGTGGTTAGATACAGGCCATGTCCCAAAATGACTGACGGGTGTTGTTTGGGATTTGCAGTTTCGCCTCTGGGAGTGACATAATCATATTTGCATGTTAGAACGATCACTCTTCAGGAGGGCTGGCGATTGGGGTGGGAGCAGGTGTGAATTCAGGGGACCAGTTAGAAGAAGGTGGTTGCAGACATCCAGCTGGAGAGGGATGGGCCTGGGCTAGGCGGGGGCAGGGGTTGGAGAACAGTGGGGTTTCAGATGCAGAGATAACAGAACTTGGTGGCTGATTGGAGGCAGGGAGTGAGGGAGAGGGAGGAGCAAAGACTAACTGTCAGTTCTCAAGAGCCGGCTGGAGCTCTTTCTTTCCCTCCAGTGAGAACAACATGCCCAGAACCAACAAAACCGAATTCCAACTGGAGCTGCCGGTGAAATATGCTGTCTACATGGTGGTCACCAGGTGCTGGCTTCCAGGACTTTAGCTGAGCCTCCACTTCTGGGCTGGACATGGCTGATTGTGCATCTGTGTGCATGAGTCTGTGCATGTGTGTGTGTGTGAGAGTCTGAGGATCTCTGTGCATGTATGTGTGCATGGGTGTGTATTTGGGCATGGGTGTGTGAGTGTGATGATCTATGTGCATGTTTGTGTGCATGGACGTGTATTTGTGCATGTGTGTGTCTGAGGATGTATCTGCATGTGTGTATGTGTGCATGGGCGTGTATTTGTGGATGTGAGTGTGATCTATGTGTGTGTGCGTGCATGGGTGTGTATTTGTGCGTGTGTGTGAGGATCCTTGTGCATGGGTGTGTATTTGTGCATGTGTGTGTGAGGATCTATGTGCATGTGTGTCTGGGCATGGGTGTGTGTGCATATGTGTGTGTCTGAGGATATATGTGCATTGTGTGCATGGGTGTGTATTTGTGCATGTGTGTGTATGAGGATCTGTGTGCCTGGGTGTGTATTTGTGCGTATGTCTGAAGGTCTATGTGCATGCGTGTGCGCATGGGTGTGTATTTGTGCATGTGTGTGTGTGAAGGTCTATGTGCATGTGTGTGCGCATGGGTGTGTATTTGTGCATGTGTGTGAGGGTCTATGTGCATGTATGTGTGCATGAGTGTGTATTCGTGCATGTGTGTGTGTCTGAGGATCTATGTGCATGTATGTGTGCATGGGTGTGTATTTGTGCGTGTGTGTGTCTGAGGGTCTGTGTGCATGTGTGTATGTGCTCATGGGTGTGCATTTGTGCACGTGTGTGTGAGTGGCCCAAATGGGCACGCACTGTGTGTCCAGCACACATTGGTTCCCCCATCCCCCTGCACCCCACCCCATCTCCACCCCCCAGGACTTCATACCCATTACCCATGTGCCTGTTCGCTCCTTACACACTTAGCCTGAGACACCCTCCCAGGGCACCCCTCATGTTTTGTCACCTCCTGTCCCTTTTTTCTCCCTTCAGCCATGGGGTCTCCACTAAATATCTCAACTTCACGGCCTCAGAGAATACCAGTCGGGTCATGCAGCATCAATATCAGGTGGGCAGCTGGGACGTCTGGGTCCTGAGAAGGAGGCTGGGGAGGAAAATCGATGGTAGAAAATGCAGAAACAGGGATGGGAAATGTGCGCAAGGCACCTGTGGTGTGCCAGGCTTGGTTCCACGCTGCTATCACTCAGTATGCACACATACACGCACGTATGTATGTGACATGCACGCACGTAGTTATCTTGTATTACCTTCGTAGCGACTCTGTGGGGCACTGTCATGATCCCCAGTTTACAGATGAAGAAACTGAGGCTCAGAGAGGTTTACAGAACAAGCTCGAGGTCTCCCACCGAGTAAGTGGGAGAGCTAGGACTGGAGACCAGGCCGTGTGGCACTGGAATGCGTATTACATGTACACTCTACTCTCTCAAACAGGAAGGGGCAGGACGCCCGGGCCTATGGCCTGCCCCGTGGGGAGGGGAGGCTGATTCTCCAGGCTGGTGGGGGAGGAAGGCCAGAGCCCTGACCCCGCCCTCCCCGGTGCAGGTCAGCAACCTGGGGCAGAGGAGCCTCCCCATCAGCCTGGTGTTCTTGGTGCCCGTCCGGCTGAACCAGACTGTCATATGGGACCGCCCCCAGGTCACCTTCTCCGAGGTGAGCGGAGCTCGGCCTGACTCCTGCACGGCCCTGCGCGTTCCTCTCACCTCTGTTAATGCTATTGGGTTTTAGAGCCGCTCCGCCCCTCTCCTGGACCCAGGCCATCTCACCTCCCGAGATGAGGCCCTGGCGCCTTCATCTCTGCCCCTTCTCAGTGCGTCTCTTTCCTCAGAACCTCTCGAGTACGTGCCACACCAAGGAGCGCTTGCCCTCTCACTCCGACTTTCTGGCTGAGCTTCGGAAGGCCCCCGTGGTGGTGAGAAGCTAAGTCAGCCCCAGGGCCACACAGAGACCCAGAGCGCTTCCCTGCTGGAACCTGTATGGTCTCTGAGCAAACGGGGAGGGGTGTTCTCTGCCTTCGGCTTCCTTACCCGTCCCCTCCCCTCCTGCGTTCCCCAGAACTGCTCCATCGCTGTCTGCCAGAGAATCCAGTGTGACATCCCGTTCTTTGGCATCCAGGAAGAATTCAATGCTACCCTCAAAGGCAACCTCTCGTTTGACTGGTACATCAAGGTGTGTGGGGTCCTGAGGCTTCGCCGGGCACAGGCGTGGTGCTCAGGGCCCAGGTGCAGTGCCCACCCGCTCTCTTCCACAGACCTCGCATAACCACCTCCTGATCGTGAGCACAGCTGAGATCTTGTTTAACGATTCCGTGTTCACCCTGCTGCCGGGACAGGGGGCGTTTGTGAGGTCCCAGGTACCTGTCTTGGGCGCTGAGGAACTATTGGAGGGAGAGGGGCTGCGCTTGTGGAGATTTCTGGGGGAGGAGAGAGAGACACAAAGAGAGAGGGAGAGAGAGAGACAGAGCGACAGAGAGACAGAGAGATACAGAGACGTAAGGAGAGAGACAGACAGAGACAGAGAGATAGAGGCAGAGGGAGAAACAGACACAGAGACAGACAAAGGAGAGAGAGATAGAGAGTCAGAGAGATAGAGATAGAGACAGAGACAGTGAGAGATGGAGATAGACAGAGAGATAGAGATAAAGAGAGAGATACAGAGCGCGACAGAGACAGAGACAGTGAGCCATGGAGATAGAGAGACAGAGAGAGGCAGAAAGCGATAGAGAGAGATAGAGGACAGAGAAACGGAGGAGGGAGAGGAGGGAGAAGAGGTGGGGGAGGAGGACTGAGGGCTGGGGTTCTGGGGGACATGAGGAGGGGTTCCCCACTTGATTCAGGGGTGCACACGGTGTGAATGGGGAACCCCCAGAAATCCAGAGTCGTCTCCCCTGACGCCCCTCCTTCCTCCCCCAGACGGAGACCAAAGTGGAGCCGTTCGAGGTCCCCAACCCCCTGCCGCTCATCGTGGGCAGCTCTGTCGGGGGACTGCTGCTCCTGGCCCTCATCACCGCCGCGCTGTACAAGGTGCTCCCCGCTGCTCCCCCACCCCCTCCCTTCATCCTCTCGGGCCTCGCGCTGCAGCTCCGTGCCTCGGTTTCCCCGGCGGGGCTGCCAGCTGTGTGACTGGGGCGAGTCTGGGAGCCTCTCTGCGCCTCAGTCTCTTAGGGAGGGTGGCCGGGTTCATGCGCGGGGCGCGCTGAGAACGAGTCGCCCTCCTTGTAGTTTCTGTTTTTCTCCAGGCCCCGACGCGGATGTCACTCCCCTCCCGCCCCGCCCTCCTGGGTCCCTTCTGTCTCTGCCGGCCCTCCCGCCCCCTCCCCCTGGTCTGCGGAGCCGCACGCTCCCTGGCTGCTGTCGCTCTCACTGCCCTCCTCTGCCCCGCAGCTCGGCTTCTTCAAGCGGCAATACAAGGACATGATGAGTGAAGGGGGTCCCCCGGGGGCCGAACCCCAGTAGCGGCTCCTTCCCGACAGAGCTGCCTCTCGGTGGCCAGCAGGACTCTGCCCAGACCACACGTAGCCCCCAGGCTGCTGGACACGTCGGACAGCGAAGTATCCCCGACAGGACGGGCTTGGGCTTCCATTTGTGTGTGTGCAAGTGTGTATGTGCGTGTGTGCAAGTGTCTGTGTGCAAGTGTGTGCACATGTGTGCGTGTGCGTGCATGTGCACTTGCACGCCCATGTGTGAGTGTGTGCAAGTATGTGAGTGTGTCCAAGTGTGTGTGCGTGTGTCCATGTGTGTGCAAGTGTGTGCATGTGTGCGAGTGTGTGCATGTGTGTGCTCAGGGGCGTGTGGCTCACGTGTGTGACTCAGATGTCTCTGGCGTGTGGGTAGGTGACGGCAGCGTAGCCTCTCCGGCAGAAGGGAACTGCCTGGGCTCCCTTGTGCGTGGGTGAAGCCGCTGCTGGGTTTTCCTCCGGGAGAGGGGACGGTCAATCCTGTGGGTGAAGACAGAGGGAAACACAGCAGCTTCTCTCCACTGAAAGAAGTGGGACTTCCCGTCGCCTGCGAGCCTGCGGCCTGCTGGAGCCTGCGCAGCTTGGATGGAGACTCCATGAGAAGCCGTGGGTGGAACCAGGAACCTCCTCCACACCAGCGCTGATGCCCAATAAAGATGCCCACTGAGGAATGATGAAGCTTCCTTTCTGGATTCATTTATTATTTCAATGTGACTTTAATTTTTTGGATGGATAAGCTTGTCTATGGTACAAAAATCACAAGGCATTCAAGTGTACAGTGAAAAGTCTCCCTTTCCAGATATTCAAGTCACCTCCTTAAAGGTAGTCAAGATTGTGTTTTGAGGTTTCCTTCAGACAGATTCCAGGCGATGTGCAAGTGTATGCACGTGTGCACACACACCACACATACACACACACAAGCTTTTTTACACAAATGGTAGCATACTTTATATTGGTCTGTATCTTGCTTTTTTTCACCAATATTTCTCAGACATCGGTTCATATTAAGACATAAATTACTTTTTCATTCTTTTATACCGCTGCATAGTATTCCATTGTGTGAGTGTACCATAATGTATTTAACCAGTCTTCTTTTGATATACTATTTTCATTCTCTTGTTATTGCATCAATGCTGAGTTAATAAATCAAATATATGTCATTTTTGCATATATGTAAGGATAATTTATAGGATATGTTCCTGGAAGTTTGGGTTCTCCCAGAAGCAAACCCAAGAATTTGGGTGAAACAAGCGTATTTAAGAGGTGGCAGGCCAGGCATGGTGGCTCACACCTGAAATCCCAGCATTTTGGGAGGTGAAGGTGTGAAGATTGCTTGAGCTCAGGAGTTCGAGACTAGCCTGGGCAACATAGTGAGAACCTGTGTCCACGAAAAATTAAAAAAATTTAGCCAGGCCTGGTGTTACATGCCTGTAGTCACAGCTACTCCGGAGGCTGATGCAGGAGGATTACTTGAGCCCAGAAGGTCTAGACTGCAGTGAGCCATGATCGCACCACTGCACTCCAGCCTGGGTGACAGAGTGAGATCCTGTCTCAAAAATAAACAAAATAATAAAATAAAGGTCGGGCACAGTGGCTCACGCCTCTGTAATCCCAGAACTTTGGGAGGCCGAGGCTGGTGGATCACCTGATCTCAGGAGTTTGAGACCAGCCTGTCGAACTTGGTGAAACCCCGTCTCTACTAAAAATACAAAAAAATTAGCCATGCATGGTGGCAGGCAACTGTAATCTCAGCTACTTGGGAGGCTGAGGAAGGAGAATTGCTTTAACCTGGGAGGTAGAGGTTGCAGTGAGATATGATTGCATCACTGCACTCCAGCCTGGGCGACAGAGCAGGACTCCATCTTAAAAAAAAAAAAATAAATAAAATAAAATAAAATAAAGAGATGGCTCCAGGAAATACCGAGGAAGGGAAGGCTGCCAATAACAGGTGTATCACCCACAGAGAAGCTGCTGTGAGTTCCTGGAGCTTCACCCCACTGGGCAGTTCTCGGAGGCAGTGCAGAACACGCACCTCAGTATCACCCCACCCAGGGGAGAAGGCTGGAGCGCATAGACACCGATTCCACTTAGCTATTGGATGAGGGCTGCTCTTGGTGGGGAGAGTGTGTTAATTTCCTACCACTTCTGGCCTGCCCTGAGTGTGAGGAGAGTGGGCTCTAGTGGCCAGAGAAAGTGATACCAGTGCTGCTGGCTGGATGTTTGACAGGTGAACACAGCCCCTGACACGGTGCCTTTGGTTCAGGTCAGGGCACCAGGAGCACTTGCTGCCAAGGTGTGTGCAGGTGACATTTTGGTGGCTGCTTCCTCAGAGGGAGGATGCCCAGTGCCTGTCCCTCATACTTTGCAAACACAGTAAACACTAGCCTGGCCTGAACATACATCCTCTCTAATCCTCACACCAGTCCTTGGTATTTACATGAATTTCACTTATGAGGAAACCTAGGCTTAGATAGATCATACCAGTTGCCTGAGGTCATACAGCTGGGAAGGAATGGAGCTAGGAGTTAATCCCAGCTCTGCCTAGGTCTAAAGCTTTTCTCTTTTACTGTCCTGACAGCCTCAGAGGAATGGCCCCAGAACAGGCATGAGGGAGTGTGGGGAGAGGGTGGCTGTTATTTAACTGTTATGATATTGGGTTAAAGCATATGAAATTGATGACATGTTTTTGGACAAAAATGTTTCTTTCTTTTCTTTCTTTCTTTCTCTTTCTCTCTTTTCTTTCTCTCTCTCTTTCTTTCTCCTTCTTTCTTTCTTTCTCCTTCTTTCTTTCTTTCCCTTCCTTCCTTCCTTCCTTTCCTTCCTTCCTTCCTTCCTTCCTTCCTTCCTCCTTCCTTCCTTCCTTCCTTCCTCCTTCCTTCCTTCCTTCCTTCCTTTCTTTTTTCTTTCTTTCTTTCCTTCCTTCCTTCCTTCCTTCCTTCCTTCCTTCCTTCCTTCCTTCCTTCTTTCTTTCTTTCTTTCTTTCTTTCTTTCTTTCTTTCTTTCTTTCTTTCTTTCTTTCTTTCTTTCTTTCTTTCTTTCTTTTTTTTCATGGAGTCTTGTTCTGTCGCCCAGACTGGAGTACAGTAGTGTGATCTCAGCTCACTACAACCTCTCCCTCCCGGGTTCAAGTGATTATCTTGCCTCAGCCTCCTGAGTAGCTGGGATTACAGGCGTGCACCACAATGTCTGGCTAATTTTTTTTTTTTGTATTTTTGGTAGAGATGGGGTTCCACCATGTTGGCCAGGCTGGTCTTGAACTCCTGACCTCAGGTGATCCATCTGCCTTGGCCTCCCGAAATGCTGGGATTACAGGTGTGAGTCACTGTGCCCAGCCAAAAAATGGTAATTTCATGATCTTCATTGAAATACAAGAAAATCATGGCTTAGAGGGACACTTGTTTCACATGTGGCAGGAGGAGAGAGGGCTTACTCCTTAGGGAGGTGAAGGAAGGGTCCCCAAGGGAGGTGACACCTGACTGAAGCAGGGCCAGAAGATCTCCAGGCAGAAGGGAGGGCAGGGGAGGCTGGGAGAGTGGGCAGGGCTTGGGCATGAGTGCTTTGTAAGCCAGAGTGAGTAGTTCCAATTTCACTCAAAGTGAAGTGAGATGCCCTCAAAAGGTGGCTAATGAGACAATGGCCCTTTGTATCTGTGGGGGTGACACAAAACACGGTCACCTTTAGACGGTTCTTTGCTATTTCCTCTCCTGACTTAAATAAAGTCTGTTAAGAATTTCTGTGTTTCCTTATGTTGAAAGATAAAAGTCCTCAATATCTGCAGAAGTCCTGAATTGCTCCGGGAACAGAGAGAGTTCTGTACCTTTAGTCGCCTGTCCTTTCACCCTCCATGTCTGTAGTCGCCTGTCCTTGCAGCCTCCATGCTGGTCCTTGTAGCCTTCGTACCTAGTTGCTTGTCCTGGCAGCCTCCATACCTGTAGTTGCCTGTCCTTGCAGCCTCCGTGCCTGTAGCCGCCAGTCTTTGCAGGGCAGTTAAAGTCCTGTGAACTCAGAGTTCACCTCCGCGTCTTCAAATGAGAAGCTTGTGTTGAATTCAGCCAGATAGGAGCTTTATGATGGGTTAGAAAAGTCAATCATTTCAAGCGACAGATTTCCCTAGCATGACCACAAAGTGACTAATAAACAGGACCATAAATCTGGTGATAAGTGGCCAAGTCCAGGAACGTCTGCTTGCTTTTATTTTTGGGGATTTCTCACTTCAGAATAAATGAATCCCTTCAGTATCCACTCTCCTTTTCCTACTTAGAGTAGAATCTTAATTTGGGCCACCATGGGAGATGGTTACAATTCTGACTCCCAGTGAATGGTGCTTCCCGGCCCTACACCCTTGCAGTGTGACATTGCTGTCCCTGACATCACATGGTGCGGCCTGTCTACCTCTTTGAATCTGGGCTGGTCCCGTGGTTTGCTTTGATTAATAGAATACAGTAGGAGTGTGGTCGTGTGAGTTCTGGAGCCTAGACCTTTAGGAGCACAGCAGATCCTGCCCTGCACCCCTCGGAACACTGAGGTCACCACGCCGTGATCCATATGGCCCACTGGAGAAAGAGTGGACTCATGGAGGAGACAGCGGAGGCCACTGCCACTGTGCATGCATGAGGCTGCTGTGATCCTTCCATCCAGCTGTCCAACACCTGCAGCCACTGGAGAGTCCCACAGAACTGCCTGGATTGTCACCTCATGCAACTGTGAGAAATAATCAATTACTGATGTCTCAGTCCTGCGTGGTGGTTTGTTACGCTGCAATGGATATTGCGTATAGCCCCTTAGTTATAGGGTTCGTCTCCCCACCTCCTGTGCAGCTGGTGTGGCTGCCTGGCGAGGTTCTGGCTGATGGGATGTGAGCAGCAGTGAAGCGAGCAACTTCGGAGCCAGGTCCTTTGAGGGAAGAAGTGTCGTTTCTTTTCACCACCTTCCCGCTGGCTGGAGTGTCAGCATCACGGTGCACAATTTTGGACCCTGAAGATGAGTTTGACATCGAAGAATGCAAGAGTGGAACAGAGGAGGCTGGGTCCCGCCTCTGCGGAGGCACCATGTCAGCCCTGGACTCCATATTCTCATGCCATTACAGGAGAGAGATGAGAACACTGGTCTTGTTGAAAACACTATCACTCAGAGCCTCCGATACAGCAGTTTATCTGTTTTGTTAATTGATATCACCACCTTCCCAAAGATTCTGTTCTCCCAATTGTGGTAAAGGCCGAAGTCGTCTTCTTCTTATTCTTCTTTTTCTTTTTTCAGACAGTGTCTCGCTCTGCTGCCAAAGCTGGAGTGCAGTGGCGTGATCACAGCTCACTGCAACCTTGAGCTCCTGGGCTCAAGTGATCTCCCACATCAGCCTCCCGAGTAGGTGGAACTACAGGCATGTGCCACCATGCCTGGCTGATTGTTTTATGATTTTTTTTTGTAGAGACGGGGTCTTGCTATGTTGCCCAAGCTGGTCTTGAATTCCTGGCCTCAGGTGATCCTTCCTTCTTGGCCTCTCAAAGCACTGGGATGTCAGGTGTGAGCTGCCACTCCCGGCCTCTGAAGGCCTCTTGATGGTGCAGCTACCCCAGCTTCTAGCATTTTAATCCCTTTCCTCTTATCACTACTCATGATAAGGCCAGCACTCAAAATAGAGGGTCCCCAAGATGGTCACAGGTGCAGTTATGTTTTCTCCATGTGTAGGACCTTCCGTGATGAGCCCATGTGGCTTGGTCTCTAGGGATTTACCCTCCATCTCTGAGAGCACTGTGGGGTGGGTCCTCTCCCTTCATTCCTTCCCACCTGGTGGCAGGATGACCTGATAGAGAAATAGGCTGTGACCTGTCCCCCCTGCAGATGCATGAGAAAGCTGCTAGAAAGGTGCTTCCCTCCCTTTCTGGAGTGATTCTCGAGAGATGTGTGCCCAGATGGTGTGGATTTCCCTTTCCCAGGGAAAACACACAGGCTTTGTTTTTGGAGATTCTTAGCTCATAATCACTTCCAATTCAGAAAAGAGATTCCAAACTCACAGCCTTTGGACCAAATCCAGCTGTCAGGTCTTATTTGACCCACATGGTCTTGTTTGTTTGTTTTTGATTAGTTGCTGACATTTTAAAATTGAGAGATTTCTGAGAGGAATCTGTATTTATAGTTTTTCTTGAAAAATTGGAGGCCAGTGGGGGGTGGAGCCAAGATGGCCAAATAGGAAGAGCTCCAGTATACAGCTCCCAGCGTGAGTGATGCAGAAGATGGGTGATTTCTGCATTTCCAACTGAGGTACCGGGTTCATCTCACTGGGGAGTACCGGAGAGTGGGTGCAGGACAGTGGGTGCAAGACAGTGGGTGCAGTGCACTGTGCATGAGCCGAAGCAGGGTGAGGCATTGCCTCGTCCGGGAAGTGCAAGGGGTCAGGGAATTCCCTTTCCTAGTCAAAGAAAGGGGTGACAGACGGCACCTGGAAAATCGGGTCACTCCCACCCTAATACTGCACTTTTCCAATGGACTTATCAAATGGCACACTGGGAGATTATATCCTGCACCTGGCTCAGAGGGTCCTACACCCATGGAGCCTCACTCATTGCTAGCACAGTAGTCTGAGATCAAACTGCAAGGTGCCAGTGAGGCTGGGGGAGGGGCGCCCGCCATTGCTCAGGCTTGAGTAGGTAAACAAAGTGGCTGGGAAGCTCGAACTGGGTGGAGCCCACCACAGCTCAAGGATGCCTGCCTGCCTCTGTAGGCTCCACCTCTGGGGGCAGGGCACAGACAAAAAAAAGACAGCAATAACCTCTGCAGACTTAAATGTCCCTGTCTGACAGCTTTGAAGAGAGTAGTGGTTCTCCCAGCATGCAGCTTGAGATCTGAGAATAGGCAGACTGCCTCCTCAAGTGGGTCCCTGACCCCCGAGTAGCCTAAATGGGAGGCACCCCCCAGTAGGGGTGGACTGACACCTCACACAGCCAGGTACTCCTCTGAGATAAAACTTCCAGAGGAATGATCAGGCAGCAGCATTTGTGGTTCACCGATATCTGCTGTTCTGCAGCCACTGCTGCTGATACCCAGGCAAACAGGGTATCAGCAGTTTACCTCCAGTAAACTCCAACAGACCTGCAGCTGAAGGTCCTGACTGTTAGAAGGAAAACTAACAAACAGAAAGGACATCCACACCAAAAACCCATATGTACGTCACCATCATCAAAGACCAAAGGTAGATAAAACCACAAAGATGGGGAAAAAACAGAGCAGAAAAGCCAGAAACTCTAAAAATCAGAGCGCCTCTCCTCCTCCAAAGGAACACAGCTCCTCAGCAGCAATGGAACAAAGCTGGACGGAGAATCACTTTGATGAGTTGAGAGAGGTAGGCTGCAGAAGATCAAACTACTCTGAGCTAAAGGAGGAAGTTTGAGCCAATGGCAAAGAAGTTAAAAACTTTGAAAAAAAATTAGACAAATGGATAACTAGAATAATCAATGCAGAGAAGTCCTTAAAGGACCTGAT
Source organism: Homo sapiens (assembly GCF_000001405.40). NCBI lineage: Eukaryota > Metazoa > Chordata > Mammalia > Primates > Hominidae > Homo > Homo sapiens. The sequence continues at coordinate 31,339,186 of NC_000016.10, forward strand.
GGAGCTGAAAACCACAGCACGAGAACTACGTGACGAATGCACAAGCCTCAGTAACCGATTCGATCAACTGGAAGAAAGGGTATCAGCGATGGAAGATGAAATGAATGAAATGAAGCGTGAAGAGAAGTTTAGAGAAAAAAGAATAAAAAGAAATGAACAAAGCCTCCAAGAAATATGGGACTATGTGAAAAGACCAAATCTACATCTCATTGGTGTACCTGAAAGTGACAGGGAGAATGGAACCAAGTTGGAAAACACTCTGCAGGATATTATCCAGGAGAACTTCCCCAATCTAGCAAGGCAGGCCAACATTCAAATTCAGGAAATACAGAGAATGCCACAAAGATACTCCTCAAGAAGAGCAACTCCAAGACACATAATTGTCAGGTTCACCAAAGTTGAAATGAAGGAAAATATGTTAAGGGCAGCCAGAGAGAAAGGTCGGGTTACCCACAAAGGGAAACCCATCAGACTAACAGCTGATCTCTTGGCAGAAACTCTACAAGCCAGAAGAGAGTGGGGGCCAATATTCAACATTCTTAAAGGAAAGAATTTTCAACCCAGAATTTCATATCCAGCCAAACTAAGCTTCATAAGTGAAGGAGAAATAAAATACTTTACAGACAAACAAATGCTGAGAGATTTTGTCACCACCAGGCCTGCCCTAAAAGAGCTCCTGAAGGAAGCACTAAACATGGAAAGGAACAACCGGTACCAGCCACTGCAAAAACATGCCAAATTGTGAAGACCATGAAGGCTAGGAAGAAACTGCATCAACTAATGAGCAAAATAACCAGCTAACATCATAATGACAGGATCTAATTCACACATAACAATACTAACCTTAAATGTAAATGGGCTCAATGCTCAATTAAAAGGCACAGACTGGCAAATTGGATAAAGAGTCAAGACCCATCAGTATGCTGTATTCAGGAAACCCATCTCAAGTGCAGAGACACACATAGGCTCAAAATAAAGGGATGGAGGAAGATCTACCAAGCAAATGGAAAACAAAAAAAGGCAGGGGTTGCAATCCTAGTCTCGGGTAAAACAGTCTTTAAACCAACAAAGATCAAAAGAGACAAAGAAGGCCATTACATAATGGTAAAGGGATCAATTCAACAAGAAGAACTAACTATCCTAAATATATATGCACCCAATACAGGAGCACCCAGATTCATAAAGCAAGTCCTTAGTGACCTACAAAGAGACTTAGACTCCCACACAATAATAATGGGAGACTTTAACACCCCACTGTCAACATTAGACAGATCAACGAGACAGAAAGTTAACAAGGATATCCAGGAATTGAACTCAGCTCTGCACCAAGCGGACCTAATAGACATCTACAAAACTCTCCACCCCAAATCAACAGAATATACATTCTTTTCAACACCACACCACACCTATTCCAAAACTGACCACATAGTTGGAAGTAAAGCACTCCTCAGCAAATGTAAAAGAACAGAAATTATAACAAACTGTCTCTCGGACCACAGTGCAATCAAACTAGAACTCAGGGTGAAGAAACTCACTCAAAACCGCTCAACTACATGGAAACTGAACAACCTGCTCCTGAAGGACTACTGGGTACATAACAAAATGAAGGCAGAAATAAAGATGTTCTTTGAAACCAATGAGAACAAAGACACAACATACCAAAATCTCTGGGACACATTCAAAGTAGTGTGTAGAGGGAAATTTATAGCACTAAATGCCCATAAGAGAAAGCAGGAAAGATCTAAAATTGACACCCTAACATGGCAATTAAAAGAACTAGAGAAGCAAGGGCAAACACATTCAAAAGCTAGCAGAAGGCAAGAAATAACTAAGATTAGAGCAGAACTGAAGGAAATAGAGACACAAAAAACCCTTCAAAAAATTAATGAATCCAGGAGCTGGTTTTTTTGAAAAGATCAACAAAATTGATAGAGCCCTAGCAAGACTAATAAAGAAGAAAAGAGAGAAGAATCAAATAGATGCAATACAAAAATGACAAAGGGGATATCACCACCAATCCCACAGAAATACAAACTACCATCAGAGAATACTATAAACACCTCTACGCAAATAAACTAGAAAATCTAGAAGAAGTGGATAAATTCCTCGACACATACACTCTCCCAAGACTAAACCAGGAAGAAGTTGAATCTCTGAATAGACCAATAACAGGCTCTGAAATTGAGGCGATAATTAATAGCTTACCAACCAAAAAAAGTCCAGGACCAGATGGATTCACAGCCGAATTCTACCAGAGGTACAAGGAGGAGATGGTACCATTCCTTCTGAAACTCTTCCAATCAATAGAAAAAGAGGGAATCCTCCCTAACTCATTTTATCAGGCCAGCATCATCCTGAGACCAAAGCCTGGAAGAGACACAACAAAAAAAGAGAATTTTAGACCAATATCCTTGATGAACATTGATGCAAAAATCCTCAATAAAATACTGGCAAACCGAATCCAGCAACACATCAAAAAGCTTATCCACCATGATCAAGTGGGCTTCATCCCTGGGATGCAAGGCTGGTTCAACATACGAAAATCAATAAACGTAATCCAGCATATAAACAGAACCAAAGACAAAAACCACATGATTGTCTCAATAGATGCAGAAAAGGCCTTTGACAAAATTCAACAACCCTTCATGCTAAAAACTCTCCATAAATTAGGTACTGATAGGACATATCTCAAAATAATAAGAGCTATCTATGACAAACCCACAGCCAATATCATACTGAATGGACAAAAACTGGAAGCATTCCCTTTGAAAACTGGCACAAGACAGGAATGCCCTCTCTCACCACTCCTATTCAACATAGTGTTGGAAGTTCTGGCCAGGGCAATCAGGCAGCAGAAGGGAATAAAGGGCATTCGATTAGGAAAAGAGGAAGTCAAATTGTCCCTGTTTGCAGATGACATGATTGTATATCTAGAAAACCCCATCGTCTCAGCCCAAAATGTCCTTAAGCTGATAAGCAACTTCAGCAAAGTCTCAGCATACAAAATCAATGTGCAAAAATCACAAGCATTCTTATACACCAATAACAGACAAACAGAGAGCCAAATCATGAGTGAACTCCCATTTACAATTGCTTCAAAGAGAATAAAATACCTAGGAATCCAACTTACAAAGGATGTGAAGGACCTCTTGAAGGAGAACTACAAACCACTGCTCAATGAAATAAAAGAGGATACAAACAAATGGAAGAACATTCCATGCTCATGGGTAGGAAGAATCAATATCATGAAAATGGCCATACTGGCCAAGGTAATTTATAGATTCAATGCCATCCCCATCAAGCTACCAATGACTTTCTTCACAGAATTGGAAAAAACTACTTTAAAGTTCATATGGAACCAAAAAAGAGCCCACATTGCCAAGTCAATCCTAAGCCAAAAGAACAAAGCTAGAGGCATCACGCTACCCGACTTCAAACTATACCACCAGGCTACAGTAACCAAAACAGCATGGTACTGGTACCAAAACAGAAATATAGACCAATGGAACAGAACAGAGCCCTCAGAAGTAATGCCGCATATCTACAACTATCTGATCTTTGACAAACCTGACAAAAACAAGCAATGGGGAAAGGATTCCCTATTTAATAAATGGTGCTGGGAAAACTGGCTAGCCACATGTAGAAAGCTGAAACTGGATCCCTTCCTTACACCTTATACAAAAATTAATTCAAGATAGTTTAAAGACTTACATGTTAGTCCTAAAACCATAAAAACCCTAGAAGAAAACCTAGGCAATACCATTCAGGACACAGGCATGGGCAAGGACTTCAAGTCTAAAACACCAAAAGCAATGGCAACAAAAGCCAAAATTGACAAATGGGATCTAATTAAACTAAGAAGATTCTGCACAGCAAAAGAAACCACCATCAGAGTGAACAGGCAACCTACTGAATGGGAGAAAATTTTTGCAAGCTACTCATCTGACAAAGGGCTAATATCCAGAATCTACAATGAACTCAAACAAATTTACAAGAAAAAAAGAAACAACTCCATCAAAAAGTGGGCGAAGGATATGAACAGACACTTCTCAAAAGAAGACATTTATGCAGCCAAAAGACACACGAAAAAATGCTCATCATCACTGGCCATCAGACAAATGCAAATCAAAACCACAATGAGATACCATCTCACACCAGTTAGAATGGCGATCCTTAAAAAGTCAGGAAACAACAGGTGCTGGAGAGGATGTGGAGAAATAGGAACACTTTTACATTGTTGGTGGGACTGTAAACTAGTTCAACCATTGTGGAAGTCGGTATGGTGATTCCTCAGGGATCTAGAACTAGAAATACCGTTTGACCCAGCCATGCCATTACTGGGTATATATCCAAAGGATTATAAATCATGCTGCTATAAAGACCCATGCACACGTATGTTTATTGCGGCACTATTCACAATAGCAAAGACTAGGAACCAACCCAAATGTCCAACAATGATAGACTGGATTAAGAAAATGTGGCACATATACACCACGGAATACTATGCAGCCATAAAAAATGATGAGTTCATGTCCTTTGTAGGGACATGGATGAAGCTGGAAACCATCATTCTCAGCAAACTATCGCAAGGACAAAAAACCAAATACCGCATGTTCTCACTCATAGGTGGGAATTGAACAATGAGAACACATGGACACAGGAAGGGGAACATCACACACCGGGGCCTGTTGTGGGGTGGGGGGAGGGGGGAGGGATAGCATTAGGAGATATACCTAATGCTAAATGACGAGTTAATGGGTGCAGCACACCAACATGGCACATGTATACATACGTAACAAACCTGCATGTTGTGCATATGTAACCTAAAACTTAAAGTATAATAATAATAATAATAAAAAAAGAAAAATTGGAGGCCAGTCATGGTGGTGCAGTTCTGTAATCCCAGCATTTGGGAGGCCAAAGGGGGCAGATTGCTTGAGCCCAGGAGTTCAAGACCAGCCTGAGCAACATAGCAAGACCTGTCTCTTAAAAAAAAAAAAAAAAAAAAGGGCCAGGTTCAGTGGCTCACACCTGTAATCCCAGCACTTTGGGAGGCTGAGGCTGGTGGATCGCCTGAGGTCAGGAGTTCGAGACCAGCCTGGCCAACATGTCAAAACCTCATCTCTACTAAAAGTACAAAAAATTAGCTGCGAGTGGTGGCGGGTGTCTGTAATCCCAGCTACTCAGGAGACTGAAGCAGAAGAACCGCTTGAACCCAGGAGGCGAGGGCTGTAGTAAGCCAAGATCACACCATTGTACTCTAGCTTGGGCAACAAGAGTGAAACTCCATCTCAAAATAATAATAATAATTAGCCAGGTGTGCTGGTGCACACCTGCGGTCTCAGCTACTCAGGAGGCTGAGGTGGGAGGATTGCTTGAGCCCAGGAGGTCAGTGCTGCAGTGAGCTATGATGGCACCACTGCACTCCAGCTTGGACAACATAACAATACCCTGCCTCAAAGGAAAAAGAAAAAAAAGAAAGAAAAAGAAAAACTGAAACGTTTGGCAATATGAGGCTGCAACAGAACTGCCCTATTAGGCAGGACACGGCTCTCCAATCACTCTGGTCCCCTGACTCCACATAGCACTCTGGCCTCTGAGCCTGGGCAGTTGTTTTTGAGGTGACCTTTGAGACCCTGGCTTCCTCTGTAGCTCAGCTTCTGCTCCGGCCCACCCCTCCCTCTTGAACCTCACATTTCCGAGGTGAGCCACACTTTGGTTGACCAACACGCTTCTGAAAGTGAAAGGCATTGTGATTAGTAATTACCGGAGAAGCCCGGCTTCAACATGGCCTATCTGGGAAGGTCGGGACCTGTCCGCGTTCCCCTAACTCCCTTTCACCTCTCAACCTTTGCCTATGCTGTATCCTCTGCCCAGAACTCACTTCCTTTTCTTGTTCACCTGACCCCTGCCTCAGCTGAAGTGATCTTCCTCCAGATCCTCTTGATCCCCCAGCTGGGAGAAGTTCTGCCTCTCACTTGCTGCCATGGCAACCTGCATTTCTTTTCCTGGAGACTGTACATTCCCAGGGGACAGGAAGCCCCATCACACCCCTAGACCCTAGGACAATACCCAGAACATGTAACAAACAATTGCTGAGAGAGGGAATGAATGAATGAACAGGCCTGGGTTTCCCCAGCTTCCTATTCTCTGTGCACTCTTGAAGGAGAGACAGCTCTCAGACATCCCTTTCCCTTCATCCTAACACATCTTCAGGACCATATAGTATCCAACTGGGCCACTTCACATTTTTCTTTCTTTCTTTTTTTTTTTTTTTTTTTTGAGACAGGGTCTTTCTCTTTCATCCAGGCTGAGTGCAGTGGTGCGATCATAGCTCACTGCATACTTGATCTCCCAGGCTCAAGGGATCCTCCTGCTTCAGCCTCCTGAGTGGTTGGGACTACAGGCCCACATTACTGTGCTAGCCTAATTATTTATTTATTTTTTTGAGACGGAGTCTTGCTCTGTCATCCAGGCTGGAGTGCAATGGCACGATCTCAGCTCACTGCAACCTCCGCCTCCTGGGTTCAAGCAATTCTCCTTCCTCAGCTTCCTGAGTAGCTGGGATTATAGGCACCCGCTACCACGCCTGGCTAATTTTTGTATTTTTAGTAGAGACGGGGTTTCACCATGTTGGTCAGGCTGGTCTTGAACTCCTGACCTCGTGATTTGCCCACCTCAGCCTCCCAAAGTGCTGGCATTGCAGGTGTGAGCCACCGTGCCCAGCCAGTACTAGCCTAATTTTTAAATTTTTGTAAAGTCAGGGTCTTGCTGTGTTGCCCAGGCTGGTCTTGAGCTCCTGAGCTCAAGTGATCCTCCTGCTTCTGCCTCCCAAAGTGCTGGGATTACAGGCATGAGCCACCGCACCTGGCATACTTCACATTTTCTAGAGTCCAAGAGACTGAATATACAAAGGGATAGTGGTCAGACTAGACATAAAAATAGACATCTGCCCCCCAGCCTGCAGCAACCAGCCCAGGAAGCCTATCAATAACTAACAATCAGCCCCATGTCCAGGACTTAATCAATAACTGATGGCTTCCCTAATTTTTGTCCCTACTTCCAACTTAGGACCAACCAGACAAAGCCAAATATGTCCCCTAGTCAATTGCACAGGATGCCCGCTTCCAGTGAGCCACATACAGCTTCCCAGGCCAGCAGCTTCTACTTGGGGCATCCCTGAAGACTTCCCAGTTTCCACTACAAAGCTTTCCTACTGTACTGCCCATTTTTGAGTCTCTGCCAAAACACCAGTGATGGCCACTGACTCCCTTGCTAGAGCCAGCTTTGAATAAATAGACTTCGCCTGTTCTCATTTGGTTGGTCTTTGTGTCTTTCCGCAATCCTCTGGTCCAGCTACTGTGATAAATAGATCAATAGAGCAATTTCCTTTCTGCTTCCTCTGTGGGCATTCCCATCTTGGCGCAGACTTGAACAATTGCTAAAATCCTTCCCCTTATCTGCCCCCTATGCCCCACTGCCATTAAAGGATAAGATCCCTCTGCAGGCTGGGCTGAGTGAATGTGAACGGAATGCATTGGTTGCCAAGTTCTGCCATATACGCATTTGCCTGTTGAGACCAATCCTGCTACCATGCCAGGGCCAGGAGAGAGAAGCTGAGTGGGATGACCCTGCCTTACTCCTCCTCTTTGGAATTCTCCCTCTCTTAATTCACACAGGCATCTCCAGCCCAGCCCCTCCCAGGCACGGCCCCACTGGTTCAAGTTCTCACAGAGACCCTGGATTTCTGCCCTGTTCTGTTCTCTCACCCCACCTTCCTAGGGATTCTCTCACTCCCTCCTTTTACCCTAAAAAGGGATTAAGATGAAATCATTCTGTGGTCACTAGATGTTGTCTGTGCCTGAGACTGAGCGTGGATCCGTTTCAGAGGCCTGCTGGGTTCCCCTACACATGGAAATAAAGAAAAATCTTGAGTTTCTTCAAGGAGAATTCCAGGCACCTTGCTAATCTGGAGAAGTATATGAGCAGCCCGGTAAGCAAGAAGATAACAGTCACTTCAAACAATAGCCAAGGAAGTGAGAGCCACAAGATGTGTGGTTCCCCAGAAAACCAAGGGTTTTAACGTACATCCCTGAGTTGTTTTTCAGAAACCTGGACCCCCACTGTATTAGTCCGTTCTTGCATTGCTACAAAGAACTTCCTGAGACCGGGTAATTTATAAAGAAAGGAGATTTAATTGGCTAATGGTTCCTCAGGCATTATAAGAAGCATGGATGGGGAGGCCTCAGGAAACTTACAGTCATGGTGGAAGGCGAAGAGGAAGGAGTCATGTCTTACACGGCTGGAGAAGGAAAGAAGACAGACCAGGGCGAGGTGCTACACACTTTTAAACAACCAGATCTTGTGATGACTCACTCACTATCACGAGAACAGCAAGGGAGAAATCCGCACCCATGGTCCAATCACCTCCCACCAGGCCCCTCCTCCAACACTGCAGATTATAATCCAACATGAGATTTGAGTGGGGACACAAATCCAAACCATATCACCCCCAGATGGAAAATGCCATCTGCTGGTATGTAGGCCACTGATAAGGAGGAAGTGAAGACTGAACTCTGATCACTATTCTTTGCTCTAAATTTCTTCCTGAGGGCCCTGGAGAGACAGTCACTCCCATAGGCCAGACCTTAATATTCCTTCCTGCTGACCCCAAGTTTTTAGATGAAGCTTTCCTTCCTTAACCAATTGCAAATCAAAGAATCTTTGAACCCATGTATGACTTGTAAGCCTTGCTTCAAGATATCCTGGCTTTTTAGGCCAAACTAATGTATAACCTCCAGGTATTGGTTTATGATTTTGCCTGTAACTTCTGCTTTCCTGAAATGTACCTCGCCCTTAAAAACTCTTGCTTGGAGGGTTAACATTGGGTTAACACCAATTTCTCAGTTGCTGTGTTGATGCTCAAGGCTCACAAGTGCCCCCAATCTCTGGGGAATGGTCTTGCCTGCAGGGGAGTAGCCCCTTCTTCTGTGTGGCAGTGGGATAAGCTAGAGGAAGTGGGGAAGAATGGCTGGTGGTCAATGACTGACCCACCCGGGGAGAACCAAGGGCCACACTTCAGCCTCAAGGAAGGACCCATTCATGCTCACAGCTTCCGGGGACCAGGCTGGAGTCAGGGTCAGGGGAGAGCTCCTTGTCACTTAGCCTCTTTCCCCACTCTATCCTGCTTTCTTCTCCTTGTCTCTCCAATGATGGGCATTGGACACTGAGCAGATACAACCAGGGGTCAGTTCCTGTCTGTGGGTGTAGGACGGATGGGTGATGGGAGGGTGGATGGGTTTGTGTGTGGACAAGTGGACGGATGGAAGGATGGGGTGGAGGGTGGATGGGCAGATGGGTGGGTGGATGGGTGAACAGGTGGATGGGTGGGTGGAGGGAAGCCTCCACCTTCAAATGGAAGCCTTCAAATGGAAGGTGTGGGTGTTGTCACCAACACTGCAAACCCAAGCCCCCTTCTGTGACCACCTCTTTTCTATAATCTTTCCTCTTCTCTCCCTTCTTCCCCAGTTTCTCAGTGACTTGTCTTCACTTCCCCTTTTCTCCTGTGTGTCTATTTCACTGAATTTAAATACAAATTAAATCCATATTCTTCTCATTCTGGTGAAATCGCTTGCCAGTGTGGGAGTCTGAGCAGGGACAGCCCTCATTTCTCCCGGGGCTTTGCCAGCAGGAGCTCCTTCCTCCCTCTTCCCTTTGCTCATGACCCAGCATTTCCCTGTCTGCCAGGGATGCGTTGCCCACATTCCCCAACTTCTCATTGATTTCCTCTGCTTGACTTGTTTCCTGTTGCCTGTTACTCAAGTTAAATCCTTGTTTTATTCTAAATTTACACCAATTCAAGTTAGTTTACCTCTTAGGCGACTCTTGCTTTGCTCCAGGCGGCTTCTGATTCATGCAATTATTGAGCAGGTCTGCAGGTGAGGGGGCTGAGCATTTGGTCCATTTGCTTCAAACCTGTGCAGTCTCTTCTTCACCCACCCATCTACCCATCCACTTACCACCCCATCATTCCATCCATTCACCTGTTCACCCACCCATCTACCCATTTACCCATCCACGCACCACTGCATCCTTCCGCCTATCCACCTGTTCACCCACCCACCCACCCATCTACCCTTCCACCCATCCACTTGTTCACCCACCCATCTACCGATCCACCCACCACCCCATCCTTCCACCCATCCACCTGTTCACCCACCCACCCACCCACCCACACATTTGCCCATCCACCCTCCACCCCATCCTTTCATCCATCCACCTGTCCACACACAAACCTATCCACCCTCCTGTCACCCATCCATCCTACACCCACAGACAGGAACTGACCCCTGGTTGTATCTGCTCGGTGTCCAATGCCCATTGTTAGAGAGACAAGGAGAAGTGAGATGCAGTATCTCCCTTCAATGAACTCTCATCTAGAGAGTGTCATCTTTTATCCTTCACTGAGAAAGACTGATTATTAACTTCCCCTCCCCCACCCTCAGCTTAGAACCATTGCAGCAAATGCTCTTTCCCAGGCACATAACTGAGCCGCAATCGTGACTGGGACTGGAACTATCAGATCCTTGTGTTGCCTGGATAACATTCTGCCATTCTTTCACTTCATTCATGCACCAAGTATGGACTGTGTGCCTCCCATGTATCAGGCATTGTGTGAAGAACTGGGGATAAAAGGGTTAAAACTGCTGGGCGTGGTGGCTCACACCTGTAATCTCAACACTTTGGGAGGCTGAGGTGGTGGGGGTGATTGCCTAAGGCCAGGAGTTCAAGACCAGCCTGGGCAACATAGCAAGGCCCCCAACTTCACAAAACATTTAAAAATTAGCTAGGCATGGTGGTGCATACCTGTAGTCCCAGCTACTTAAGAGGCTGAATTGGGAGGATCACTTGAGCCCTGGAGGTTGAGGCTGCAGTGAACTCTGATCACACCACTGCACTCCAGCCTGGGTGACAGAGTAAGACTTTGTTTCTGAAAAACAAAACAATAAAAGAAATGTTAGAAGGACACGGCCCCAGTGTGTGGAAGCCAGCAGTCCCTGCCCAGCCCCTGGAGCACCAGGCACTGCCTAATTCATCTCAAGCCTCTCCCTCTGCGATTCATCAAGCAGAGTCACTGTGCTGTCTAGTAAAACTTCTGGGGTGTAATCTCCTTCTGGGGTGTGACTCCTTGAGGGCTGAGACCCTTTCCTGTTTGTCTTGCTTCTCACAGTGGCCAGCCCAGAGCCTATGTCATGTGGGCAGCCCATGCGTGTGGGATGAGTGGTTGAGGGAACAAATATGACACAGGCAGCGTTTAGGGCAGAGAGGAGGAAGTAAAGTCATTAGCCAAATAGTCAAGACTCCAGCACCTTGAGTCCTGTCCTCAGCCCACACTAGCTGGGTGACCTGAGGAGGATGACCCAACTTCTCAGGGCCTCAGTTTTGCATCTGTGAAACAGGGGTGACAGCAGTCCCCGTCGCGGGGCTGCTGTGAGGGTTCAATTAGCTAGTATAAATAAAGTGCAATAGCAAAGACGTAGAATCAACCTGGGTGCCCATCCGTGGTGGATTGGTTAAAGAAAACGTGCTACACACACCACGGAATACTATGCAGCCATGAAAAAGAATGAAATCACGTCCTTTGCTGCAACATGGATGCAGCTGGAGGTCATAGTCCTAAGTGAATTAATGCAGGAACAGAAAACTAAATACTGCACATTCTCATTTGTAAGTGGGAGCTGAACGTTGGGTACACATGTACATAAAGATGGGAACAACAGACACTGGGGTCTCCAGAAGGGGAGAGGGAGGGAAGGGAGCAAGGGCTGCAAAACCACCTATCAGGCACTCTGCTCACTATTTGGGTGACAGGATCAACAGAAGTGCAAACCTCAGCACCCCGCAATATACCTGTGTAATAGACCTGCACATGTACCTGCTGAATCTAAAATTTTAAAAAAGAAGCTGAGTGAGATGGCTCATGCCTGTAATCCCATCACTTTGGGAGGCCAAGGCAGGTGGATCGCCTGAGGCCAGGAGTTCAAGACCAGCCTGAGAAACCCCATCTCTACTAAAAAAATAAATAAAATAAAAAGGAGAGAAGAAAAAAATTGTTTTTACTAAGAAAATAAATAAAGTGCATGGTGCTATAAATGTCATCATGGCAGCTCCTGTGTCGGCCGCCCGATATCACTATCCCATGCCCGCTTCTTCTTTCCACCTCCTGAGCTTCCCAGACAGTGCTCCCAAACTGTCACCACACCGGAACGCCACGCCTTCAGGGTGGGTTTTTGGAGCAGAGCGTCTTCCCGAGTACCTCTGTATTTGTGTATTTTTACACTTTAGAATTAAAATAAATTGTATTTTAAGAAAATGTGGGGGTACAACAGGGATTGTCCTTCAAAGAGAGAAGTGAGAGTGACTGCAGGCAGGGAGAGGAAGGGCAGAAACTTTAGGGTAACTCCACTCGGGCCCCGTGGGTGAAGATGGGGCGGAAACGGACCCAGAAATCCGAGGGTTTCTGCCCACCAGGTTTCTGTTCTCTTCTTTCCACAGAAAACAAAGGACACAGGAGACAGACCCCAAATTTTTCAGTTTCACTTAGGCAAATCAGATCCGAATTAAGGCAGCAGCGTCCGATCTGGTTTCTCCATGTCCACCTCCTCCCCTGTTTGTGCCAGAACCACACCCCCCTGACCTGCTGCCCTGCTGGAACCTTTTTAAACCAGCGCTCCTGGGTTCAGGGACGGAGCAGGGATGGTGAGGATCAGCCCAAGACAGGCTAGCTGCTCTCCAGACTCCCCCAGACCCTCCCTCTGCCCTTGACCTCTTGCCATGGGCTCAGCCTGGGCTCTGAGCACCCCAGGAGGCTAGACGGGGAGCTGGGCTCTGCTGACTCAGGGTCCCACGGGGCTGAGGAGATGGGTGACGGGCAGCACCCTCCTTCCTCACTTACATCATTTCCCCAGCGCCATCCTTTCTCTGGAAACATCATAGTCATGATTCACTGAAGTGGGGCTATGAGTTTTAGACACCCTGAGTTCCAGGCTGCAGTCACACGGCTCTCATTTGTAAAAGGGGTGGGTTGAGTTGAGGACACGTCCTGTCTTCCTCTTTGCTGAGCCTGAGTTGTCTGTTCTAAAAGCGAGTGGTCTCACCATGGCTTTCTTCCAATTCGAGTTCACCTTGGCTGAGCCCGGGGCACCGTGGAAGTCGGTGGGCAGCTTGAGAGGAGACGGGGTCTTTCATATGTCCAGGGTCCTCCTCTCCTGCCTCCTCCGCCAGAGGTGGACCTCAACCCGGGGAAAGGGGGTGTCCTGAAGGCTGGGATTGTGGCCTCCTCGAAGGCGAGGGCTCTCTGGCCCTCACCCTGCCCACAAGACCAGCCCTGCATCCCCAATTGCCAGTTCCTCTTCTATCCTCTCCAGACCCTGCACTACTTCCTCTTTTGGGGGGATTTTCTGTTGCTGTCTCCTTCTTGGCGTTCAACCCTCCATCTTCTCTCTCTGTAGTTTTCTTTGTCTCCCCCTTTCTCCAGGGCCCTCTCCTACCCACGCGGCTTGGAAGTGTGTCCGAGGCTGTCACTCCAGGTGACAGCACTGCCGCCTTCCTCACGCCGGCCCCTCCTCTGCCCATGCCAGCCTGGCCTTCCCGCCGCCCCAGCATGGCCCACTCCTGGGTCTCTGATGGCCTCTGTGACCAGAGCCGGGGACCTCCTCATCTCCTGCCTCACTGGATGTCTGGCAGGCTGTGCCATGGTTCATGTCCCCTGTCCGGCCTGCCCGTCTCTCTCCCAGCCTCCTCCTGCCTCTCTGTGGGGCCTCCTCAGTCTTCAGCATCTCCTGCTCTGCGGCCACCGCTGCTGTTTCCATGGCCTGCATGCTCCTCCCTCATCACACTCTCACCAGGACCTTGCCCAGCACTTCTGCTGATGGGCCCAGAATCCAGGCTGTTCCTGAGGTCCAGACCCACACACCCAGCTACCTCCGACCTCTCTCTCGGAGGCTCCACAGATGCCCTCTTCCCACCAGGACAGCTGTCACAGCACAGCAATGATCACAGCTGCCAGCCCAGGTTTCTACCCACTCTCCCGAGCCCTCCACACTACTCAACTCTCCCAGCAACAACAGGGGGTGTGGACTTTCATGATCACTCCCATTTTGCAGATGAGGAAACTGAGGCACAAAGAGGTTGAAATAGTCCAAGCTCTTAAACACTGCACTCTGGTTTCCTCAAAACTGAGGTTGGCCTAACCCCTATCCTTCCTCCTCCATCACCTTCGTCCTCCCTGCAGCGACCGATCAGCCTCCAGCCCATCCCCACAGCCACCAGCCCACCCCAAAGACCCCCAACATCTCTCTCCTGACAAATCAGTCTCCAGCTGCTTCCCAAAGAAACCATGCCCCGGCCGGGCGCGGTGGCTCACGCCTGTAATCCCAGCACTTTGGGAGGCTGAGGCGGGCGGATCACGAGGTCAGGAGATCGAGACCATCCCGGCTAAAACGGTGAAACCCCGTCTCTACTAAAAATACAAAAAATTAGCCGGGCATAGTGGCGGGCGCCTGTAGTCCCAGCTACTTGGGAGGCTGAGGCAGGAGAATGGCGTGAACCCGGGAGGCGGAGCTTGCAGTGAGCCGAGATCCCGCCACTGCACTCCAGCCTGGGCGACAGAGCGAGACTCCGTCTCAAAAAAAAAAAAAAAAAAAAAAAAAAAGAAACCATGCCCCCATATAACCCACTTTCTAAAATGAAAATGTGAAGATCTCAGTCCCCATGAATTCCCTTCAATGCTGTCCTCCACTCTCAGGACAAAATCAATGTGTCTTCACCAGGTGTGGTGGCTCACACCTGTGATCCCAGCAATTTAGGAGGCTGAGGCAGGAGGATTGATTGAGATCAGGAGTTTGAGACCAGCCTGGCCAACATGGGGAAACTCTGTCTCTACTAAAATTAAAAAATATATATATATAAATATATATATATATTCAGGTGCAGTGGTGCAATCCTATAGTCCTGGCTACTCAGGAGGCTGAGGCAGGAGGATCCCTTGGGCCCAGGAGTTCGAAGCAGCAGTGAACTATGCACCCACTGCACTCCAGCCTGGGTGGCAGAGCAAGACCCTGTTTCTGAAATTAAAAAAAAAAATTGATGTACATTAGGGGGGCTTCCACGGCCTGAGGCCTGCTTCCCCTTGCTTTCCTCCCAGTGGCCCTGACCTTGTCTCTTACAACTTCCCACCCTGACTGTCTGGTTCCCATTGCTGATTTCACACACAGACCCTCCTGTCCCCTGCCTCATCCATGTCTGGCTGCTCTGTCATCTCCCAACTTTGGTTGCTTTCAATGCTCAGCTCAAGCACCACCTCTTTCAGGAAGCCTTCTCAGAAAGCCACACCTTCACAACCCGGGTGAGGCACCCTGTGGTCTCTGTGCTTCCCCCTCACAGCAATGAACTTGCTGTTTATACATCTGCCTCTCCACTGACCCCAGGGCTGGTGCTTTGTGGTTTATATTTTCTTCCCCACCTAGCAGAGGGCTTGCATCTCCAGGCTCAAATTAGGCTTCTTGAATAAATGATGAATAAATGAGTGAATGAATGAATGAACAAATACTCGCTCTGTGCTCCTCCTAGGGACCCGGATGCCCCACTCCTTGGCCCAGACTTTCCAGGTCAGAGTGGAGGGCTCCCACCAGGGTTTCCTTTAGGGTCCTGAGGGGTTGGCATCTGCCCAAACCCCCTCCAGTCTGGCTGAAATTTCAAGGTCAAGGGGTGCCTTCTGGCAGTCAAGGGTGAGCCTGGGAGGGGCAGGGCAGGGATTTGCATCCATCTAAGCAAAGGGCATCAAGCCAAGTCATCTGATGAGAGTGACTCCGGTTGGGGGGTGGGGGCGTGTGGGAGGCCGAGCCTGTCCTCGGATCAGTTGCGTACTCTGCCCGCCCCCTCTGACTCATGCTGACAATCTTCTTCCTTCCCCTGGCCACCTCTCTGCCCACTTGCTTCCTCAGTACCTTGGTCCAGCTCTTCCTGCAACGGCCCAGGAGCTCAGAGCTCCACATCTGACCTTCTAGTCATGACCAGGACCAGGGCAGCACTCCTCCTGTTCACAGGTGAGCCTGGACCCCAATGAAGTAGGGCTGGGGACCCAGGCCCAAGGGAGCCAGGGCCCTGAACTGGGGGCTCAGGCTGGGGGGTTAGGATCTGGGTAGGAAGAGAGACTCAGTCAAGCCTGAGGGGGAGGCAGGCACATAGGGTCTGAGATTTGGAGTTTGTGGAGGGAGAGGATATTGATGAACCAATTTTGGGAGAGTTCCAGAGATGCTGGAAGAGAGGCCAGTTGTCTCTGTACTGCAGAGATTTTTAAAATAGGCAGAATGCGCCAACTTGTGCTCTGTGGACAGGATGCTTTGGTCCGCAAGTTTTCCTGGACTCACTCTCATAGCGCCCGAGGTGCACGTTGGGGAAAGATCCTTTTTAGAGCCTGGGTACTGCTCTGCAGAAATGGAGAACTGCAACTCGATAGTGGATGGTGGGCAAGGGGCATCCCTGGACCCTGGGAAGGAGAGAAGGGGATGAGTTGGGTGTCCAGAAGACCCAGGCACCCCGGGCATCAGGCTCGGAGGGGAGATTGGGACGCTGGGGCCGGGGGTGGAGGGCAGCCAGGCAGAAGGAAGACCCTTCTCCAAAGCTCTCTTCCCACCTCTTTCCCAGCCTTAGCAACTTCTCTAGGTTTCAACTTGGACACAGAGGAGCTGACAGCCTTCCGTGTGGACAGCGCTGGGTTTGGAGACAGCGTGGTCCAGTATGCCAACTCCTGGTGAGGCCCAGGTGGTGCTGGCCTTTGGCTCCATCCATCCTCTCCCTGCTCAGGGCCCCATGCCCCCGGCCCTGCCCTGTTATTTGCAAACTCTCCTCTCTGTCTGGTGTAGCGACTGCCCTGGCTAATGAAGATTTGCCTTGAAGGCAGGCACGGTCTCACAGCTAACATTTACAGAGCAGTAAGTGCAGTGCCAGGCTCATCACAGGTGGATGCTGATTTAGTCCACACGACAGCCTGTGAGTAGGAATCAGTCGTGCAACAAACACTTATTTGTTTTTTCTTTCTTTTTTTCTATACATTTAAAAATATATAGAGACAGGGTCTCACTATGTTGCCTGGGTTGGTCTCAAACTCCTGGGCTCAAGCAATCCTCCCGCCTCAGCCTCCCAAAGTGCTGGGATTCCAGGTGTGAGCCACCACACCCAGACTCAACAAATATTTCTTGTCTCCATACGCCAGAGAATCCAACAGACAGAAATCCCTTCCACATGGACTTTAAATTATTAAAATCCATCTTGCAGATGAGGAAGCTGAGGCTCAGGGAGGGAACGCAAACTTGCCGGAGTGGCAGCTGTGCTGCAGCGTCCACACTCTTACCTAAAGTGTTCTTTGTCTCCTCGCAGGGTGGTGGTTGGAGCCCCCCAAAAGATAACAGCTGCCAACCAAACGGGTGGCCTCTACCAGTGTGGCTACAGCACTGGTGCCTGTGAGCCCATCGGCCTGCAGGGTGAGTCACCGCCCCTCCCGGGACCCAGGGCCGGGCTCCCAGGCTTCCCTGCTCCAGGGGCCCGTGGACTCACCGGAGTGTCACTTTCAGCTTCCACTGTGTCTGAGACCCTCACCCTCAGATATGCTTCCTGGCCCCTTAAGGCCTCCCCGCCCATCGCACTCCCGCAGCTCTGTCAAGACCCGACAGCTTCCTTCACCGTCAGACCTCCTTGTCTCCCAGGTGGAGGTGACCCCTGCCCAGCTCTTCCACAGCCTTCTCTGTACCCCCGAGAGTGACCATGCACATATCTGTCCCCACAGTGCCCCCGGAGGCCGTGAACATGTCCCTGGGCCTGTCCCTGGCGTCTACCACCAGCCCTTCCCAGCTGCTGGTGAGTGGCCCTGGGTCACAGGAGGCTTCTGAGGGAGGGAGGGAGGAGCCGGGGCCGCGGGGGGCTGGGAGTCTCCTGTAGGGTGGAGGTTCCGGAATGTGAGGGTGGGAGGAAGCAGGGGCAGCCCCCCAGCAGCCCGCTGTGTCCCCAGGCCTGCGGCCCCACCGTGCACCACGAGTGCGGGAGGAACATGTACCTCACCGGACTCTGCTTCCTCCTGGGCCCCACCCAGCTCACCCAGAGGCTCCCGGTGTCCAGGCAGGGTGAGTGTCGGGACCACCAAGGCTTTGAGGAGCTCACGCACATCCAATTGGGGGTGCGGTGGGCTAGAGACAGTCTTGCCAGAGTGGATCAGAAAGAAGGGATCTGGAAAAAGAGTTACCACGTGTTGCAGTGGTTCCTGACGCTGCTGCCCGCACATCCTGCCGATCGCCCGCACGCTGCCGGACCTTTCCTGTGACCTTAACCTCTCCAAGCCTCAGTTTCTTCATCTGTTGGATGGGGATAATAACACACCCAGCACTGAAAGCAACACAGGATGATTCATGGCCAGGGGTTAGCACAGCAGCTAGCACCAGGCGACAGCCCCATGAAGGCCAGCTGTTGTTATTTTTAGAGGAGAGGATCTATTTTCATCCAATGGGTCCTGGGATATGACCAATTGGTTTGTGCCGTAGTTTAGGAAAGGTCAGTGAAAGTGCAGTGTGAGCAACGTGTGTGTGTGTACATGTGTGTATATGTATGCATGTGTATACATGTGCACATGCACACATGTACATGCATGTGTGTGCATGTATGTGTGTGTGCGTGTGCACATGCAGGTTGAGACGCAGGGCCTGACTTCCCTGGTGCTGATGGGGAAGAAAGATAAGGAAGCAAAACAGTGGGCTTTGGCAGGCTGAGGCCTCCCCCTGGTTTCACATTTGCTCTCAAGCCTTTGGTGAGACTGACATCTGGCTGCAAATAGGGTGTGCCTTCCAGCACCTCCGTGGGTCCAGACTCCATCCACAGGGGCCTGGGCACCCATCAGAATGCCCAGGACACCTGTCTCTCCGGTGGAGGCCTCTGGGGCAGAGGGGATGCTTGAGAGGTCACATGGAAGGGGGTTTCCTCTCCAGGTGCTGGAAGATCGTCTCTTCTCAGGACAGATGCTAACTTCACACAGGAGGGGAGTGGGGGCCTGTATTTAAGCTGAGAACAGAACAGGCCCAGTGTGTGGCTGTTGCCTGGGATGATTTGTTTAAAATATTAACAATCAAGGCAAGAGGGTTGTTTGAGGCCTGGAGTTTGAGACCAGCCTGGGCAACATAGTGAGACCTCATCTCTACAAAAAATAAATATAAAATACAAAGTAGCTTGGCATGCTGTTACATACCTCTAGTCCTAACTACTGGGGAGGCTGAGGCAGGAGAATCGCTTGAGCCCAGGAGTTGGAGGCTGTAGGGAGCTTTGATCACACCACTGCACTCCAGCCTGGGTGACAGAGTGAGACTCCATCTCAATTAAAAAAAGAAATTTAACAAAACTACCATTCAGCACTGAGCAGTGAGGACAAACACTGGCTAGGGACTGGTGCCAGTTTGTGTCATTGCTGGATGGGGTGACATTGAGGGAGGAAGGAGGGGTGGGTCCAGGGAGGGGCACAGATATCCAGGGTGGTGGAGGGGTAGGCCCTCTGCTTCCTACCGTCTGAATTGGAGAAATCTTCCTGGTTTTTTTTTTTTTCTTTTTTTTTAGAGATAGTCTTACTCTGTCACTGAGGCTGGAGTGCAGTGGTACAATCACAGCTCACTGCAGCCTCCAACTCCTGGGCTCAAGTGATCCTCCCACCTCAGCCTCCAGAGTAGCTGGGACCACAGAGAAGAGCTACCATGCCCAGCTGATTTTTAACAATTTTTAGTAGATGTGAGGTCTAACTATGCTGTCCAGGCTGATCTTGAAATCCTGGGCTCAAGCAATTCTCCTGCCTAGGCCTCCCAAAGTGCTTGGATTATAGGAGTAAGTCACTGCACCCAGTCTGACCTTCACTCTTTTGTTGATGGGGCTGAGCAGCTTCATCACAGCCTTTTTCATTTTTTATTTTTTTGAGATGGAGCCTCACTCTGTTGCCAGGTTGGAGTGCTGTGGTGCGATCTCAGCTCACTGCAACCTCCACCTCCCAGGTTCAAGCAATTCTGCCTCTGCCTCCCAAGTAGTTGGGACCACAGGCGCGTGCCACCACACCCACCTAATTTTTGTATTTTTAGTAGAGACGGGGTTTCACCATGTGGGCCAGGATGGTCTCGATCTCCTGACCTCGTGATCCGCCCCCCTCGGCCTCCCAAAGTACTGGGATTACAGGCGTGAGCCACCACGCCTGGCTCATCACAGCCTCTTTAGGCAACTTTAAGAGAATGAAGGGCCTTGTTCCAGGCAAGGGGTTAGGGAAGCTCTGCCCCTGATGAGGAGAGGACCCAGGGTGTGGAGCCTGACTCCCATCGCCAGACTAGGGGCTTAGGGGAGGAAGGGTTTTGGGAGAGTGAGCTCTTGTGGCCAGGAGGCCACGGTCCTGGACTCCAGGAGTGTCACTTGGAGGACCGGTGCCACCTCCTTCCCCAGAGTGCCCAAGACAGGAGCAGGACATTGTGTTCCTGATCGATGGCTCAGGCAGCATCTCCTCCCGCAACTTTGCCACGATGATGAACTTCGTGAGAGCTGTGATAAGCCAGTTCCAGAGACCCAGCACCCAGGTGTGCCTTTGGGGGAGGGAGGCTGCTGGGGGTGGGTGCTTCGATCCTGGTGAAATGGCCTCAGCCCCAGCCCTGTGTGCTTCTCCCAGTTTTCCCTGATGCAGTTCTCCAACAAATTCCAAACACACTTCACTTTCGAGGAATTCAGGCGCAGCTCAAACCCCCTCAGCCTGTTGGCTTCTGTTCACCAGCTGCAAGGGTTTACATACACGGCCACCGCCATCCAAAATGTCGTGTGAGTCCTGATTTCTTCCAGGCACAGTCCCAAAGCACCCAGGTCTTCCCTTGGGCCTCATCTGTCTCCACGAGAAGGGGACAGGCAGGGACCAAAATCCAGCCCGTGATACCCTTGCCAAGCTGGGGCCTCTGGGTGGGACTGGGGCCTCCCAAAGGAAAAGGCATCTTCTAATTTTCACAAGGGCACCAGGGGCTAGTGTGGTTTGGTTCACAGGCCTCTAAGACCTCTCCTTTCCTGATAGGCACCGATTGTTCCATGCCTCATATGGGGCCCGTAGGGATGCCGCCAAAATTCTCATTGTCATCACTGATGGGAAGAAAGAAGGCGACAGCCTGGATTATAAGGATGTCATCCCCATGGCTGATGCAGCAGGCATCATCCGCTATGCAATTGGGGTAGGGCGTGGGATGGCTTCCCACTTCTCCCACGGCTTCCTCTCAGGGCAACTCCCCTTTCTGTGTATGTTCTTTTCTCTTTGAGACAGGGTCTTGCTCTATCACCCAGGAAGTGGTGCAATCCTAGCTCACTGCAGCCTTGAACTCCTGGGCTCCAGTGATCCTCCCACCCCAGCCTCCCCAGTAGCTGGGACCACAGGTGTGTGCCATCAAGCCTGGCTATTTTCTTTTTGGTTGAGATGGGGTCTTGCTATGTTGCCCAGGCTGGTCTCAAATTCCTGGCCTTAAGCAATTCTGCCACCTTGGTCTCCCAAAGCACAGGGATTACAGGCGTGAACCACCGCCAACAACATCCCTTTCAAGGATAGAAACACCAGCTCTCTCGGCTCTTACTGCCTTAAGGA
This sequence comes from Homo sapiens, assembly GCF_000001405.40. NCBI lineage: Eukaryota > Metazoa > Chordata > Mammalia > Primates > Hominidae > Homo > Homo sapiens. The sequence continues at coordinate 31,360,868 of NC_000016.10, forward strand.
TGAAAACTCTGCCCCAGACTGGAGACCATGATCCTTTCTCCTAAACTCCCTGATGCTGTCCGGGCTTCGTGTTTCTCCTGTGTCCACCGGGTGTGATCATGTTGATCTTGTGGGGTTATTGGAAGATGTTGCACCCAGTGCACACAGGCACATTTGATTTATTATTTTTACTGAGTTGATCTTTTCTGGGGACAGGTTGGATTAGCTTTTCAAAACAGAAATTCTTGGAAAGAATTAAATGACATTGCATCGAAGCCCTCCCAGGAACACATATTTAAAGTGGAGGACTTTGATGCTCTGAAAGATATTCAAAACCAACTGAAGGAGAAGATCTTTGCCATTGAGGGTGAGTCTGAAGGGAGCTCTTCGCTTGGGGAATCCTCAGCCGTTAACACCTTTCCACTTAGAACCCGAGGCTCCGTGAAACAGGTAGACAGCGTCTCGGTTCTCCTGCTTTCCCGGGACCCCGATAGCCATGTCTGTCAGCTTGTCCCCACTGACGTCCCCCAGCACTGTCAGAGCTGCCCCAAAGTGGCCCCAGGGATGGCCCTGCTCCCCACAGAGAGTGATCTCACACCACCACCGGCTCCACTGCAGAACAAAAAGCAGTGCCAGGCCCAACCCAGGAGACCCTTCCACCCACACCGGGCCCTACCCAGCCCACATCCCACCAGCCACTCACTCCCCTGGGCAAGGGGCACACGGACACCTGGCCCCCTCGGGTCTGCTTGTAGACCTGTGGGGGGCCCTGATGAGGACCAGATCGGTGCTGCCATCGCTGTCCACATCCATGGAGCAGAGGGGGGCCCCGAAGTCGGAGCTGATCTGGAGGGCAGAGCCTGGTCCCTGTCACAGGCACCAGCTCTCCCTGTAGCCTCCAGTCTTAGCTTCTCCTAAAGCTGAAGTGTTCTTGGACCTGGCAAAGCCCGTCTCCCTCCCTGGCACTCAAGCGTCATGCCTTCCCCCAGGTACGGAGACCACAAGCAGTAGCTCCTTCGAATTGGAGATGGCACAGGAGGGCTTCAGCGCTGTGTTCACACCTGTGAGTGGGGCCCCTTAGGCCGATGATGTGCCGTGAGGGGAGGGGGAGCAGGGAAGGCCAGGGTGGGTGTCAGGTGGGTAAGAGGCGCAGGCGGAAGGCATATCTCTGGTACATGCTGTCTTCCTGCTCCGGCCTCTGCTCAGCCCTGGAATCCTTTTCTCCCAGGATGGCCCCGTTCTGGGGGCTGTGGGGAGCTTCACCTGGTCTGGAGGTGCCTTCCTGTACCCCCCAAATATGAGCCCTACCTTCATCAACATGTCTCAGGAGAATGTGGACATGAGGGACTCTTACCTGGGTGAGAAACAGCCAGGGGTTGGGGACAGGTGGGAGATGCACTGCCCAGGGTGGGGTCCAGGGTTCTGGGGAAGGGGTATGGGGGCTGTGCTGCCCAGGGTGGGGTCCAGGCTTCTGGGGAGGGAGGATGGGCACTGTGCTGCCCGGGGTGGGTTCCAGGTTCTGGGGAGGGGGGATGGGGGCTGTGCTGCCTGGGGTGGGGGTCCAGGGTTCTGGGGAGAGGGGATGGGCGCTGTGCTGCCTGGGGTGGGTTCCAGGGTTCTGGGGAGAGAGGATGGGGGCTGCATTGCCCAGGGTGGGGTCCAGGGTTCTGGGGAGGGGAGATGGTGCTGTGCTGCCCGGGGTGGGGGTCCAGGGTTCTGGGGAGGGGGAATGGGGGCCTTTGTGCTGAGGCCTGGGCCCCTCAGGTTACTCCACCGAGCTGGCCCTCTGGAAAGGGGTGCAGAGCCTGGTCCTGGGGGCCCCCCGCTACCAGCACACCGGGAAGGCTGTCATCTTCACCCAGGTGTCCAGGCAATGGAGGATGAAGGCCGAAGTCACGGGGACTCAGGTTGGGCGTGACAGGAGCCAGAGGGGAGGATGAGGGTAGGGGAGGTGGCTGGGGCAGAGGAGAGGATGGAGGGGCTTTGAGGGCCTTGGGGGAGGTCCTGGTACCTGGGGAGAGGTGGGACCTGGCCCACAGGGCTGCCTCTGGCAGGGACAGGCAGCATGACCCAGGCTCTGCCCTTCAGATCGGCTCCTACTTCGGGGCCTCCCTCTGCTCCGTGGACGTAGACAGCGACGGCAGCACCGACCTGGTCCTCATCGGGGCCCCCCATTACTACGAGCAGACCCGAGGGGGCCAGGTGTCTGTGTGTCCCTTGCCCAGGGGGGTGAGTGGCTGATGGGCCTGGGGTGGGTGGGGTCTGGTGTGGGTGGAGGGGTTGCCCGGGTTGGGCCTGGCACTGCTTTTTTTCTGCAGTGGAGAAGGTGGTGGTGTGATGCTGTTCTCTACGGGGAGCAGGGCCACCCCTGGGGTCGCTTTGGGGCGGCTCTGACAGTGCTGGGGGATGTGAATGGGGACAAGCTGACAGACGTGGTCATCGGGGCCCCAGGAGAGGAGGAGAACCGGGGTGCTGTCTACCTGTTTCACGGAGTCTTGGGACCCAGCATCAGCCCCTCCCACAGCCAGGTGAGGCCGTGTCCCATTTCTGTCACTAGAGCAGCCTGCTTCTTGCCTCTCCCACTCTGTCATACTGGAAAACTGTCCCTTTTTACCTTTTCCTACCTCCCTTGCCCAGCTCTGAGCACCTTGTAGCAGTGGCGTGGTCTCAGCTCACTGCAACCTCCGCCTCCCAGGTTCAAGCGATTCTCTGCCTCAGCCTCCAGAGTAGCTGGGATTACAGGCATGCACCACCATGTCCGGTTATTTTTTGTATTTTAGTAGAGACAGGCTTTCGCCATGTTGGCTAGGCTGGTCTTGAACTCCTGACCTCAGGTGATCTGCCTGTCTCGGCCTCCCAAAGTGCTGGGATTATAGGCGTGAGCCACCATGCCCAGGCCCCTGCCAGTTTTACAAGGTACACAGGTCAGGCACAGAAAACCCATTTTACAGATGGAATCTGGGACACTAGGAAGACAAGGGCCTTGGTTTGTTGGAGGTTCAGAGTGGGTCCGAGATGGTGAAGGGCACTCCGGCCTCCTGACCTCTAACCCGGTGTGCAGTCTCCCGGCTCCCTGCTGCTCACCACTTAGGTCCAGTCATTTCAACCTTCCCTTCCACTCGCCCCTCTCCTCCCTGGATGCTACATGATTTTATTCCCTTCCTGCCATCAAGGTCCCACCAAATGCCCATCCCTGCAGCCGCCCTCCACCCCAAGGGAGCAGGGTTCCCTGAGAACGAAGGGCTGCTTTTCTTGGCAAAAGTCAAGAAAGCTCTGTTAAAAAATAGGCAAAGGGGCTGCTCCAGGTGGCTCACATCTGTAATTCCGACACTTTGGGAGGCTGAGGCAGGAGGATCACTTGAGGCCAGGAGTTTCAGGCCAGTCTGGGCAACATAGGGAGACCCCATCTCTAGAAAAAATTTTAAAAATTAGGCAGGCATTGTGGTGCTGTAGTAACTGTAGTCCCAATTACTCGGGAGGCTGAGGTGGGAGGTCACCTGAGCCCAGGAGGTTGAGGCTGCAGTGAGCTATGATTGCGTCACTTCACTTCAGCCCAGGTGAAAGAGCACAATCCCGTGTCAAAAAAAAAAAAAAAAAAAAAAAAAGGGCAAAGGATTTGGATAGGGTAGACGTTTCTCCAAAGAAGAGGTACAAAGGGCCAATGGGTGCATAAAATGATTCTCAATGTCATTAGTCATCAGCAAATCAAAACTATAATGAGATGCCACTTCTCACCTACTAGAATGGCTAGAAACAAAGGCGGATAATGACAGGTGTTGGTGAGGATGTGGAGAACCGGGCATCCTCCCCCATGCTGGGGATGATGTAAATCCACGCAGCTGCTTTGGAAATCAGCATGGCAGGTCCTCAAAACATTAAACATAGGCTGGGCACAGTGGCTCATGCCTGTAACCCCAGCACTTTGGGAGGCCGAGGCAGGTGGATAACCTGAGGAGTTTGAGACTAGCCTGGCCAACACAGTGAAACCCCATCTCTACTAAAAATACAAAAAAAAAAAAAAAATTAGCTGGGCATGGTGGTGGGTGCCTGTAATCCCAGCTACTTGGGAGGCTGAGGCAGGAGAATCTATTGAACCTGGGAGGTGGGGGTTGTGGTGAGCCGAGATCGCGGCACTGCACTCCAGCCTAGGCAACAAGAGCAAAACTCCGTCTCGAACAAACAAACAAACAAAAAGTTAAACATAGAGTTGCCATGTGATCTGGCAATTCCACCTATAAAACATGCTAAGTGAGGGAAGCCAAACACAGAAGGCCACATGTATTCAGGCCAAATGTCCAGAACAGACAGATCTGTAGAGACAGAAAGTAGATGAGCAGTTTCACAGGGCTGGGTGTGGGGGAAAGTCAGGGGCATGAGGGTGACTGCTAATGGGTGTGGAGTCTCTTTTTGGGGTAGTGGAAATGTTCTAAAATTGATTGTGGTAGTGGTTTCACAACTCTCTAAACATACCAAAAGGCACTAAGTCATATACTTTAAAGGGGTGAGTTGTGTGCTATGTGGTCTATAGCTCAAAAAAGCTGTTACCAAAAAGAAAAAAGTGCCAAGGAAGGTCCCTGCAGTTCTGTCACACACCAGCTGTGTGATCTTTGACAGGTAACTCACCCTCTCTGTGCTCAGTTTTCTCACTGGTAAAATGGTGATACTAATAGAACCAACCTTATTGAGCTGCTGCTGTGAGGATTAAATGAGTTAGTATGCATGAAGTGCCTGGCACACAATAGGTATCATGTTGTTATAATCTGTTTTAATTATCATTAAGATAGTTTAACAACTGGCCAGGCGCGGTGGCTCCCGCCTGTAATCCCAGCACTTTGGGAGGCTGAGGCAGGCAGATCACTTGAGGTCAGGAGTTCCAGACTAGGCTGGCCAACATGGGGAAACCCCGTCTCTACCCAAAATACAAAAATTAGTTGTGCGTAATGGCGCATGCCTATAATCCCAGCTACTTGGGAGGCTGAGGCAGGAAAATGGCTTGAACCCAGGAATCGGAGGTTGCAGTGAGCTGAGATTGCGCCACTGCACTCCAGCCTGGGTGATAGAGTGAGACTCCATCTCTAAACAAACAAACAAACAAAAAACACATAGTTTAACACCTGAAGGGGAATCTAAAGAAGAGGGTGAAAGACTGTTGAGAATAACAAGGGCCCACGTGTTGTCATGAAACTGCAAACAGTTCGTACCAATTCCCACAACCCATCACATGCAGGCATACCTTGTTTTATGCGCTTTGCAGATACTGCATTTTTTACACGCTGAAGGTATGCAGCGACCCTGCACTGAGCAAGTCTATCAGTGCTGTTTTCCCAGCTGCATGCACTCACTTTGTGTCTCCGTGTTACTTTGGTAATTCTCACAATGTTTCAAACTTTTTTGTAATTATCATGTCTGTGATGGTGATCTGTGATCAGTGATCTTCGATGTTGCTATTGTCCTCTTTTTGGGGCACCATGAAGCACGTCCGTATATGAAGGCGAACTTCATAAATGTGTGTGTTCTGACTGCTCCACCACTGATAGCTCCCCTGTCTCTCTCTCCCTCTCCTGTGGCCTCCCTATTCCCTGCAATGCAATGATATTGAAATTAAGCCAAATAATAACTCTACAATGGTCTTTAAGTGTTCAACTGAAAGGAAGAGTCACATGTCTCTCACTATTTATTTATTTATTGAGGCAGGATCTCACTCTGTCACCCAGCCTGGAGTACACTGGTGTGATCTTGGCTCACTGAAACTTCCCCCTCTGGGGTTCAAGTGATTCTCCTGCCTCAGCCTTCTGAGTAGCTGGCATTACAGGTGGGTGCCACCATGCCTGGCTAATTTTTGTGTTTTTAGTAGAGATGGGGTTTCACCATGTTGGCCAGGCTAGTCTGGAATTCCTGACTCTAAGTGATCTGCCTGCCTTGGCCTCCCAAAGCACTGGGATTACAGACGTGGGCCACCACGTCTGGCCACATATCTCTCACTTTAGATCAAAACCTAGAAATGATTAAGCTTGGTGAAGAAGCCATGCCAAAAGCCAAGATGGGCTGAAGGCCTTTTGCACCAAACAGCCAAATTCTGAATGCAAAGAAAAAGTTATTGAAGGAAATTAAGAGTGTTACTCCAGTGAACATATGAATGATAAGAAAGTGAAACAGCCTAATTGCTGATATGAAGGAAGTCTGAGTGATCTGGATAGAAGATCAAACCAGCCACAACATCCCCTTAAGCCAAAGCCAAATCCAGAGCAAGGTCCGAATGCTCTTCAGTTCTATGAAGGCTGAGAGACGTGAGGAAGCTTCAGAAGAAAAATTGGAAGTCAGCAGAGGTGGAAGTCAGCAGGGTTCATGAGGTTTAAGGAAAGAAGCAATCTCCACAACATAAAAGTACAAGGTGAAGCAGCAAGTACAGATGGAGAAGGCGCAGCAAGTTCTCCAGAAGATCTCTGATGAAGGTGGCTACACTCAACAACAGGTTTTCAGTGTAGATGAGATGGCCTTCGATGGAAGAAGATGGCATCTAGGACTTTCAGAGAAGTCAATGCCTGGCTTCAAAGCTTCAAAGGACAAGTTGACTCTCTTGTTAGAGGCTAATGCAGCTGGTAGGACTTCAAGTTGTAGCCAGTGGTCATTTACCATTTGGAAAATTCCAGGGCCCTGAAGAATGATGCTAAATCCACCCTTCTTGTGCTCTAGAAATGGAACAAAGCTGGGGTGACAGCACATCTGTTTATAGCATGCTTGACTGAGTGTTTTAAGCCCATTCTGGAGACCTGCTGCTCAGAAAAATAGATTTCTTTCCAAAGTTTGCTGCTTATTGACAGTGCACCTGATCACCCAAGAGCTCTGATGGAGATGTTCAAGGAGATTAGTGTTGTTTCCATGCCTGCAAACACAACACCCATTCTGCAGTCCATGGACCAAGGAGTAATTTCGACTTTCAAGTCTCATTATTTCAGAAATACATTTCATAAGGCTATAGCTGCCATAGATAGTGATTCTTCTGATGGATCTGGGCAAAGTCAATTGAAAACCTTCTGGAAAAAAATTCACCATTTTAGATGCCATTAAGAACATTCATGATTCATCAGAGGGGGTCAAAATATCAACATTAACACGAGTTCGGGAGAAGCTGATTCTGATTCTCATGGATGACTTTGAGTGGCTCAAGGCTTCAGGGGAGGAAGTGATTGCGGATGTGTGGAAATAGAGAACCAGAATTAGAAGTGGAGCCTGAATTGCTGCAGTCTCATGATGAAACTTGCACAGATGAGGACCTGCTTCTTACAGATGAGGAAAGAAAGTGTTTTTTTTTTTTTTCAGATGGAATCTATTCCTGGTGAAGATGATATAAATATTGTTGAAATGACAACACAAGATTAAGAATATTACATAATCCCAGCACTTAGGGAGGCTGAGGTGGGCAGACCACCTGAGGTCAGGAGTTCAAGACCAGCCTGGCCTACATAGGGAAACCTCTCTACTAAACATCTCTACTAAAAAAATTAGCTGGGTGTGGTGGCAGATGTCTGTAATCCCAGCTACTCAGGAGGCTGAGGCAGGAGAATCGCTTGAACCCCTCAGGCAAAGGTTGCAGTGAGCCGAGATCACACCACTGCACTCTAGCCTGGGCGACAGAGTGAAAGTGTGTCTCAAAAAAAAAAAAAAAAAGAATATTATATAAACGTAGTTGATAAATCAGCATAGAATTTGAGAGAATTGACTCCAACTTTCTTTTTTTATTTTTTATTTTTTATTTATTTTTTTATTTTTTATTTTTTTTATTGATCATTCTTGGGTGTTTCTCGCAGAGGGGGATTTCGCAGGGTCATAGGACAATAGTGGAGGGAAGGTCAGCAGATAAACAAGTGAACAAAGGTCTCTGGTTTTCCCAGGCAGAGGACCCTGCGGCCTTCCGCAGTGTTTGTGTCCCTGGGTACTTGAGATTAGGGAGTGGTGATGACTCTTAACGAGCATGCTGCCTTCAAGCATCTGTTTAACAAAGCACATCTTGCACCGCCCTTAATCCATTTAACCCTGAGTGGACACAGCACATGTTTCAGAGAGCACAGGGTTGGGGGTAAGGTCACAGATCAAGAGGATCCCAAGGCAGAAGAATTTTTCTTAGTACAGAACAAAATGAAAAATCTCCCATGTCTACTTCTTTCTACACAGACACGGCAACCATCCGATTTCTCAATCTTTTCCCCACCTTTCCCCCCTTTCGATTCCACAAAACCGCCATTGTCATCATGGCCCGTTCTCAATGAGCTGTTGGGTACACCTCCCAGACGGGGTGGTGGCCGGGCAGAGGGGCTCCTCACTTCCCAGTAGGGGCGGCCGGGCAGAGGTGCCCCTCACCTCCCGGACGGGGCGGCTGGCCGGGCGGGGGGCTGACCCCCCCACCTCCCTCCTGGACGAGGCAGCTGGCCGGGCGGGGGGCTGACCCCCCCCCCCACCTCCCTCCCGGACGGGGCAGCTGGCCGGGCAGAGGGTCTCCTCACTTCCCAGTAGGGGCGGCCGGGCAGAGGCGCCCCTCACCTCCCGGACGACTCCAACTTTCAAAGAAGCTCTACTGTGGCCAAATGTTATCAACCAGCATCGCATGCTCCAGAGAAATTTCATGAAAGGAAGAGTCCATCCAGGCAGCAAACTTCCTCACGGTCTTATTTTAGGAAATTGCCATAGCCACCCCAACCTCCAGCAGTTGCCACTGTGATCAGTCAGCCGTGTCACCATCAGGCAAGACCCTCCACCAGCAAAAAGATTATGCCTTGCTAAAGGCTTAAACGATTGTTAGCATTTTTTACCAATCAAATATTTTATTTTTATTTTTGAACTTTTAGATTTAGAGGGGGTACACCTAGCCTTTCTAGACTCCCTCAGTAATTGGTAAATTTCTCTTTTTATTTTGTTATTATTCCTTTTTTTCTTTTCTTTTTTTTAATTTTTATTTTTTAGAGACAGAATCTCATCATGTCACTCAGGCTGGAGTTCAGTGGCGCAATCATAGCTGACTGCAGCCTCGAACTCCTGGACTGAAGAGATCCTCCTGCCAAAGACTCCTGAGTAGCTGGGACCACAGGCACAAAGCCAGTGTGCCCTGCCCATTATTATTACCTTTTTTTTTGAGACAGAGTCTCGCTCTGTCACCCAGACTGGAGCACAGTGGTGCAATCTCCGCTCACTGCAACCTCTGCCTCCCGGGTTCAAGTGATTCTCCTGCCTCAGCCTCCTGAGCAGCTTGGATTGCAGGTATGTGCCATCATGCCCAGCTAATTTTTGTTTATTTAGTAGAAACGGGGTTTCACCATGTTGGCCAGGCTGGTCTGGAACTCCTGACCTCAGATGACCCACCCGCCTCGGCCTCCCAAAGTGTTGGGATTACAGGTGTGAGCCACCGCGTCCAGCCATTATTATCACTTTTAATGGCTGCTAGTTCCAGGGTGCACAGAGATTTAAAGGGCACATTCTTCCAGGGATTGGGCATAACATGAGCACTGGGAATGAAGGTGATAGGTTCTACAGGGGAGGCAGTGCCTGGGAGGGTGGATCTGGGTGTGGGTGCGACCACTCCCTACCCCACCGCGGCTTTTTCTTGTCCTTTGAAGAGACAGAGTGACAGCAAGAAACAAAAAGGGGACTTGGGCCTGGGGTTGGACGGTCTGGTGTTAGGTCTGCAGTCAGCCTCTTAAAGGCTACCTGGGGTTGACACTGTCCCCAACCTCTCTCCTGCATCTTTGCAACGAGGGAGGTGAGGTTGGACAAACTCTGAGGTCCCTTTCAGCCTTAATACTCATTGTGATATATTATTGACTGCTGGCTGTATCCTGGGTGCTGTTCTAAGAACCGTAGGAATTCCTCTCCTGAGCATGGCTAAACTCTGAGCTAATAGTATCATTATATGAAAGATGAGGAAACGGAGGCACAGACAGATTGAGTCCTTGCCCACGGCCTCGTGGCTCATACGTGGAGGAGTCAGAATTGGAACTAGAGACTGATCGAATGAATGACACTCGGGTCACCAGGACACCCTTCCTATCTCCACTCTTACATCTGTTTCTTAGCAATCATCTCCCAACTCCTACCTCCTCTTTTCAGGTTCTTCTTGGTGACATCTGTTCACAACTCACCCCTTCTCTCCCTTTCCGATGGTCCTACCTCCATATTCCCCTTGTTACTTATTTCCAACTTCTTCCCCTACTTTCCATCTTGATTCACCCTTCTCTCCTCTGGCCAGCGGATCGCGGGCTCCCAGCTCTCCTCCAGGCTGCAGTATTTTGGGCAGGCACTGAGCGGGGGTCAAGACCTCACCCAGGATGGACTGGTGGACCTGGCTGTGGGGGCCCGGGGCCAGGTGCTCCTGCTCAGGTGAGAGCAGCCTTTCTCAGAGGCTCCCCAGGTGGTCCTAGGTTCAGATGGGGGTGCCCACCCCACGTGGTGCTCCCAGGAGCCGACGGCCTGTCCTCAGCTCGGTGCTCTGCCCGCAGGACCAGACCTGTGCTCTGGGTGGGGGTGAGCATGCAGTTCATACCTGCCGAGATCCCCAGGTCTGCGTTTGAGTGTCGGGAGCAGGTGGTCTCTGAGCAGACCCTGGTACAGTCCAACATCTGCCTTTACATTGACAAACGTTCTAAGAACCTGCTTGGGAGCCGTGAGTCCCCTCCCCTCCAACCCAGGACACCCTGACCTCTGGAGTCCCCCATCCCAGGCCCCTGTCTCCCACCCTGCTCATTGTCCACCCAAGGAGTTCCTGTCTCAACGCCGTCCCTGCGACCGCCTACAGGTGACCTCCAAAGCTCTGTGACCTTGGACCTGGCCCTCGACCCTGGCCGCCTGAGTCCCCGTGCCACCTTCCAGGAAACAAAGAACCGGAGTCTGAGCCGAGTCCGAGTCCTCGGGCTGAAGGCACACTGTGAAAACTTCAACCTGCTGCTCCCGGTGCGTCTGGGCATGAACGTGGGTGGCGGCCGCGCTGGGGCTGGCAGAAGGCAGGGCAGGGAGAGAACAGGCTGTGTTCCGGCCTCCCTGTGGCTCAGCCCAGCACAGGACCAGCCATGCAGGACGTGCTTACTGCACGTTAGCCAGTGAGTGAGTGAGCGAGCAAACAAGTGATGAGATCGGCTGCAATTTCCAGGGGCCACACGATTGGATTTCAGGAAAGAGAATTGGGCAACCTGAGAGAGCTCTGGGGCTTCCGGCTGGGCTTTTTTTCAGGCATTCACTGGACAGGGGTTTATCGAGCTGCTCCTGGGAGACAGGCCTTGCCCTGGGGGCCAGGGGCATAGGTGGCCAAAACAGTCATTGCTGATCGGGAGGTCTGGGGGGGGGGAGGAAAAAAACAAAGACAAACAAGGGGAGAGAACAGAGAGGGTGTCAGGGAGGCCTCCTGAAGGCGGTGACGCTGAGCAGGCTCTGGAGGAAGCTGAAGCCGCGCGGGAGCTGGGCAGAGGCAGGATAAGAACTGCGGATGAGGCCGAGCGCAGCTCTTACCCTCCCCTTACCCTCCGCTCCCCGCGACGCCCGTCCCCCAGAGCTGCGTGGAGGACTCTGTGACCCCCATTACCTTGCGTCTGAACTTCACGCTGGTGGGCAAGCCCCTCCTTGCCTTCAGAAACCTGCGGCCTATGCTGGCCGCCGATGCTCAGAGATACTTCACGGCCTCCGTGAGTCCTGGCACTGGGTCTCCCAGAGAGGGTGCACAGCGTGGGGCCTGGGTCTCGGAGAAAACCCCCCGTTGCCTTCCCACGCAGCTACCCTTTGAGAAGAACTGTGGAGCCGACCATATCTGCCAGGACAATCTCGGCATCTCCTTCAGCTTCCCAGGGTGAGCGCCCCCACCTTAGACCTGCCCTACTGCCCCAGCCTCCTTCCTGGAATCTGGGACTCCTGCCTCTGGCTCTCCCTAACATTGTCTCATCCTATAGTCAAAACCCAGGTGTCTTGGCTGGGCACAGTGGCTCACGCCTGTAATCCCAGCACTTTGGGAGGCCGAGGTGGGAGGATCTTTTGAGGCCAGGAGTTAGGGATCAGCCTGGGCAACAGAGCGAGATCCCATTTCCACAAAAACAAAACAACAACAACAACAACAACAACAACATCACTTGAGTGTGGTAGAGCATGCCTATAGTCCCAGCTACTTGGGAGGCTGAAGCTTAAGGATTGCTTGAGCTCTGGAGTTGGAGGCTGCAGTGAGCCATAATCACACCACTGCACTCCAGCCTGGGTGAAAGAGCAGGACTCTGTCTCTTAAAAAAAAAGAAGAAGAAGAAGAAGAAGAAGAAGAAGAACCCAGGGGTCCGTCCCCTGTCTATCTCCCAAATCCCCACCCACCCCATTTTATCCCAGACCATTTCTAGCCTCAGTCACAGAATCATCTTCTCCTTTCCTTCACCTGATACCCAGCTTGAAGTCCCTGCTGGTGGGGAGTAACCTGGAGCTGAACGCAGAAGTGATGGTGTGGAATGACGGGGAAGACTCCTACGGAACCACCATCACCTTCTCCCACCCCGCAGGACTGTCCTACCGCTACGTGGCAGAGGGCCAGGTGCACCCTCTGGGGAAGGAGGAGGAGGCAGGGCTGGGCGTTAGCGTAGATTCCCGTGCGGTTCAGAACCCGGGCTGGGCTTGGAGGTGGTAGTGCCATCTGGGGCACGCCTCTGCTCGTGTGGGTGTTCAACTTTGGGCATCGCAGTTTAAGGACACTGACTATCAGGAATGATTTCCTGAGAGGCCACTAATGTGGAGACAGAGGGGAACCTGCCCAAATTTCTTTCTATTCCATATTATATCAGTATTCCTCTTTTAAATGAAAACATACCTCAGCCTTCAAATATTTTAAAACACTGTTCTGTAGAAGCAAGGGGTTGAATTTATTGGTCACTCTACATTAAGGCTTGGCGACCTTTTTCTATAAAGGGCTAGATAGTAAATATTTCAGCTTCGTGGTCTGCGTGGTCTGTGTCACAGCTGCTAACCTCTGGTGTTGTGGAATGAAAGCAGCCATTGACATGAATGAGTTTATGAGTGAATATACCTGCGATGCAGTAAAACTTTATAAAAATAGGTAGTGGCTGTTGGTTGCCAATCCCTGCTTTAAAATGCAGAACTAGGACCACGGGGAGTCAAAGAGAACCAGATTTTTTAAACAAAGATGTTATTATGGCTGGGAGTGGTGGCTCACGCCTGTAATCCCAGGACTTCGGGAGGTTGAGGCAGGCGGATCACCGGAGGTCAGGAGTTTGAGACCAGCCTGGCCAACATGGTGAAACCCCATCTCTACGAAAAATACAAAAATTAGCTGGGTGTGGTGGCAGGTGCCTGTGATCCCAGCTACTGGGGAGGCCGAGGTGAGAGAACTGCTTGAACCCGGAAGACGGAGGTTGCAGTGAGCTGAGATTGTGCCACTGCACTCCAGCCTGCACAACAGAGCAAGACTCTGTCTAAAAAAAAAAAGTTATTATGAAAAATTTAAAACATTTACAAAAGTAGAAAGTAGTTCAACAAACCTCCCCAAAACTTGTCACCTAGATTCAACAATTAGCAGCATTTTGCCACATTTGTTTCATCAATTTTTCCCCTTTGCTAAGGTATTTTCTTTATTTCTTTATTTTTGAGACAGGGTTTTGCTCTGTCACACAGGCTGGAGTGCAGTGGCACAATTTCAGCTTACTGTAGCCTTGACCTCCTGGGCTCAAGCGATCCTCCCATCTCAGCCTCCTGAGTAGCTAGAACCACATGCACACACCACCACACCTGGCTAATTTTTTAATTTTTTTTGTAGAGTTGGGGTCTTACCATGCTGCCCAAACTGGTCTCTAACCCCTGGGTTCAAGCAGTCCTCCTATCTTAGCTTCCCAAAGTGTTGGAGTTACAGACATGAGCCACTGTGCCTGACCTGCTAAAGTATTTTAAAACAAATCTCAGACATGGGGGTCATTGTACTCCTCCTTATTCACTCTGCTATGGTTTGAATGCATCACCCAATGTTCGTGTGTTGGACACTTAATCCCCAATGCAACAGTGTTGAAAGGTGAAACCTTTTAAAGGTGATTAGGTTATGAGGGCTTTGCCCTCATGAATGGATGAATACTATTATCTCAAGAGTAGATTAGTTATTTCAGGAGTGGGTTTCCTTCCTTCCTTTCTTCTTTCTTTTTCTTTCTTTCTTTTCCTTCTTTCTTTCTTTCCTTGAGAGGGTCTTGCTCTGTTGCCCAGGCTAGGGTGCAGTGGCACGATCTTGGCTCACTGCAGCCTCTGCCTCCCGAATTCAAGCAATTCTTGTGCCTCAGCCTCCTGAGTAGCTGGGATTACAGGTGCCCACTGCCACGCCCAGCTAAGTTTTGCATTTTTAGTAGAGATGGGGTTTCACCATGTTGGGCAGTCTGGTCTTGAACTCCTGACCTCAAATGATCCACCCGATTCGGCCTCCCAAAGTACTAGGATTACAGGCGTAAGCCACGGAGCCTAGCCCAGGAGTGGGTTTCTAATTAAAGGATGAGTTTGGCCCCCTTTCCCTCTCACTCTCACATGCACTGCCTTGCACATGCAGCACAAAGGCCCTCACCAGATGCTGGTGCCATGTTCTTGGACTTCCCAGCCTCCAGAACCACAAAGCTTCTATTGATACATTACCTAGTTTGCGGTAATCTGTTATAGCAGCAGGGAACAGACAAAGACACACTCTATAGTTCTGAACAATGAGGACCTCTTATATGACCTCAACACCATTATCACACCCAATGAAATAAGTGATTCCTTGGTATTAAGATCATAGTCAAAATTGTGTAACTGTCTCAAAAATATCTTTTTACTTCTGGTCTATTTGAACGAAAATTCGAACTAGGTCCATACATGATGGTTGGTTGTTATTTCTGCTGTCTCTCTTAGTCTAATATTCCCAGCGGAAGCGCATTTTGATTAACGTATAAAAGAACACAGCAGGAAAGGCCATCTCTTGCATGTGAGGGGTGATCACTGTCAATGAAAGTGCTCCTAGACATATCAACCAAATGTAATGGGTGGACCTTTGCTGAATATTGATTTTAACAAATGAGCTGTAAAATAACATTTTTGGAGACAATCTAAGAAAATAGAACATGACCAGTATATTGGTATATTAAGGAGTAATTGTTAATTTTGTTGGCTGTGATTTGTTGGTTCTTGTGGTTACATTTAAAATACCCTTATCTATTGGTGGTATACACTGAAGTATTTCTAGATGAAACAATATGGTGTTTGGAATGTGCTTTAAAGTGTTCAGAAAGAGAACATAGCAGAAACAAGAGTAGAAAAATGTTGGTTACTTAAAATGAGTGATGGTTATATGGGGTTGATTTTCCAGTCTCTCTATTTTTTAATGTGTTTTAAATTTTCCATTATAAGAGGCCTTTAAAATAACAATAAAAAGGTGAACATTTTAATACATTTGAGATTTCTACTTTGGAAGAAAGTTTGACCAGATAGCTATGGGGGAGCTTTTAAAAACGTAACCTTGGCTGGACATGGTGGCTCATACCTGTAATCCTAGTGTTTTGGGGGGACAAGATGGGAGGATTGCTTGAGGCCAGGAGTTCAAGACCAGCCTGGGCAATATAGCGAGGTCCCATTTATAAAAAAATTTTTTTAAAATTAGCCAGGCATGGTGGTGGTGTGTGCCTGTAGTCCTAGCTACTCAGGAGGCTGAGGCAAGAGGATGGCTTGAGGCCAGAGTTTGAGGCTGCAGTGAGCTGTGATTGCATCACTGCTTTCTAGCCTGGGTGACAGAGTGAGACCTGGTCTCAAAAAACAAACAAACAAACAAAAACATAAGCTTAAGGTGGGCTCCAGGAAGCTTTATCACTACTTCGTGGCGTGTCTTTGGAATGCTGTTATATTAGGTTGGTGCAAAAGTAATTGGGTTTTTGCCATTGCTTTCAATTTCAACTAATACTCCTCTACTTTTTCTCATGCCTAGAAACAAGGGCAGCTGCGTTCCCTGCACCTGACATGTGACAGCGCCCCAGTTGGGAGCCAGGGCACCTGGAGCACCAGCTGCAGAATCAACCACCTCATCTTCCGTGGCGGCGCCCAGGTCAGCCTGGCTTCTGTCCCCTCACTGCTCCCCTGCCCCACCCTGTCTTTACTGCTCTGTGACCTCTCAGTTCCTTTTCCTCAGATCACCTTCTTGGCTACCTTTGACGTCTCCCCCAAGGCTGTCCTGGGAGACCGGCTGCTTCTGACAGCCAATGTGAGCAGGTGAGCCGGGCCAGGCCAGGGGCAGTGCCCCTCATCTCCAGCCTCACACCCCATTCTCCTCCTCTGGGGCCTCTGGCAACTGAGTCTCTCCTCTTTCTCCAGTGAGAACAACACTCCCAGGACCAGCAAGACCACCTTCCAGCTGGAGCTCCCGGTGAAGTATGCTGTCTACACTGTGGTTAGCAGGTCAGCAGGTACCCCACTGCAGGAAAAAGGGTTCTTCTCTCTGACCTCAAAAAGAAAAAAAAAAAAAGGCCTTGAAACGCTGCCACAGAGGGTGAGATAAGGTGTTTGAAACTAAAAGGTCAGGTGTTTCAGCAGACACCTTCCTTCAGCCAATGCCTTCCTCGAATTTGCTGTGTGCCAGGCAGGGTGCTGTGGTTATTTTCCATACATTCATTTGACATTCATTGAAGATTTACTGAGCCCCCATTATGTGTGATCAAAACCAGACATGAACCCTCGCCCTTGTGGGGTGTGCCTTGCTGGATGTTCTCCTGTGCCTGGTGTTTCCCACTCTCACCTGCACCTGCATGCGTGGAGGCTCCCAGCCAGGTGCACGCTCTGAGCTCGTGTGCTGGGGTGTGCCCCAGGCTCTCATACCCCTTGGCAGGGGACCCACAGGCAGGGCTCACCTACTCTAGGCATGTGTGGTCCACAGCTTGGCCACACATGGCAGGTGTGATCCACAGCTTGGCCACACATGGCAGGTGTGACTCTGTGGGTTAGGGCACAGGGAGTGCCAGGTTGGGGCATTTCTGGGGGAGGCCAAGGTGGGAGGATTGCTTGAGGCCAGGAGTTCAGGATCAGCCTGGGCAATATAGTGAGACCCTAGCTCTACAAAAAATTGGCAGAGGAGGAATGAGGCTTCAGAGTAGGCGTGGTGGGCTGGTGTTTGGACTATGCCAGCTGGAGGACAGGTGCCGGAAGAGTGAAGCAGTGAGGCAGTGGTGAGACTGGCCACCTGTGTGATGGTCCCAGCTGCCCACCAGGTCTCCAGGCTTGTGCCCAAAAAGGGCTCAGGAGGTGTTAAACTGAGACCTCATGAAGAGTCTGCTGTGGGCCCTCCCTCCCCTCCAAGCCCCAGGCCCGGAAAAGCCAAGGAAATGGGAAAAAAGGGCCCCCGGGGAGGTATGTGGGGGACTGGGAAGGGGCAATGCTCAGTAGCATTTGGTCAACAGCGTCAGCCTGGGCCACCCCAACTCTGTGCTGTGTCCCACAGAGCCCTGGCATCCTACATCCCCACAAAGGGATGGAAGGAAAGCGGAGGGGCAGGCCATGGCCCCTGCTCTCCTGCAGTCAGTGGCAGAGCTCTCTGCTCCGTTCATTGTACCGACTACCCGGCCCCACTGGCAGCCTCCTCTGCAGGCAGCTATGAGCTCTTTGCCTCATTTTTTTTTTTTTAAAGCCCAGGTCTTGCTCTGTTGCCCAGGCTGGAGTGCAGTGGTGTGATCACAGCTCACAGCAGCCTTGAACTCCTCTTGGGCTCAAGCGAGCCTCCCACCTCAGCCTCCCAAGTAGTTGAGACTACAGATGTGTGCCACCATGCCTGGCTAATTTAAAAAATTGTTTTGGAGAGATGGGGTCTTGCTATGTTGCCCAGGCTGATCTTGAATCCTGGCCTCAAGTGATCCTCCCACCTCAACCTCCCAAAGTGCTGGGATTGCAGGTGTGAGCCACTGCACTCAGCCAATTAGCACTTGTTTGAAGCCCAGCCCTGCTTTTCTAGACTCTCTCTCTTTTTTTTTTTTTTTGAGACCAAGTCTCACTGTGTTGCCCAGGCTGGAGTGCAGTTGTACCATCTCTGCTCACTGCAACCTCCGCCTCCTGGCTCCAAGCAATTCTCGTGCCTCAGCCTCCCAAGTAGCTGGGATTACAGGCACCTGCCACCACACCTGGCTAATTTTTGTATTTTTAGTAGAGATGGTGTTTCTCCATGTTGGCCAGGCTGGTCTTGAACTCCCGACCTCAGGTGATCTGCCTGTCTCAGCCTGTCAAAGTGCTGGGATTATAGGCGTGAGCACTGTGCCTGGTCTCTAAACTCTCTCTCTCTGTTTTTTTTTGAGAGAGAGAGAGTCTTGCTCTGTCATTCAGTGGCGTGATCTGGGCTCACTGCAACCTCTGTCCCCTGGGCTCAAACAATTCTCCTGTCTCAGCCTCCTGAGTAGCTGGGATTACAGGTGCACACCATCATGCCTGGCTAATTTTTGTATTTTTAGTAGAGACAGGGTTTCACCATGTTGGCCAGGGTGATCTCGAACTCCTGATCTCAGGTGATCCGCCCATCTCAGCATCTCAAAGTGCTGGGATTACAGGCCTGAGCCACCGCGCCTGGCCTCTAAACTCTCTTATAACCTAACTCAGCCACAGCCCTCATTCCAGGACATTCCAAGGCCCCACCGACCACCTGTCCTCTCATGCTCTAGCCAATGCCTTCTGCAGATGCCCCATGGTAGTTCACATCCACTTATGCGTCTTCTCTCTCCAGCCACGAACAATTCACCAAATACCTCAACTTCTCAGAGTCTGAGGAGAAGGAAAGCCATGTGGCCATGCACAGATACCAGGCAGGTGGTGGAGACGCAGGAGACTGGGCTGGGGTGGGAGGCTGGGAGCCGGAGACTGGGGAGGGATTTGGGCTTTGGCGTGGGCTCTGCCCTCAGTGCCCTCTGTGCAGGTCAATAACCTGGGACAGAGGGACCTGCCTGTCAGCATCAACTTCTGGGTGCCTGTGGAGCTGAACCAGGAGGCTGTGTGGATGGATGTGGAGGTCTCCCACCCCCAGGTACCCAAGGACTGCATGTGGCTCCTCCACGAATGCCCTTTCTACCTGGATTCCTTGTGCCCCATGTGGGTCCCTGATGTCCCAGCTGAGACACTTGTTCTCTGCATTTTCCCCCAGAACCCATCCCTTCGGTGCTCCTCAGAGAAAATCGCACCCCCAGCATCTGACTTCCTGGCGCACATTCAGAAGAATCCCGTGCTGGTGAGGAGGGCTCTGGGCTGGCCCTCACTGTAGGCCCCACATCAGAGGAATTTAACCCAGGAGTTCATGTTCCATATCCATCCTGCTGAAGTACCCTCTTGCATTCGGATATGGCCGCTGCCCTCAAGTCACACCGCATAATGCTGCCTCCCACCTTCACACTCATCTTTCTCAGCCCCATGCTATTTATCTGCCCCCAGGACTGCTCCATTGCTGGCTGCCTGCGGTTCCGCTGTGACGTCCCCTCCTTCAGCGTCCAGGAGGAGCTGGATTTCACCCTGAAGGGCAACCTCAGCTTTGGCTGGGTCCGCCAGGTGTGTGGGTGCAACGACAGAGCCCCTGCCCCAGACTCAGGCGGGACCTGGCATGTCTGTGCCCATCTGCAAGCCAGGGCACCCCCAGAGCTCTGAGCCTCCCCCAGAGCCAGTTCAACAGGTTTCCCCCAACCCCTTTGCAGATATTGCAGAAGAAGGTGTCGGTCGTGAGTGTGGCTGAAATTACGTTCGACACATCCGTGTACTCCCAGCTTCCAGGACAGGAGGCATTTATGAGAGCTCAGGTAGAGACCATGTGGAGGGCAGCGACCAGGCTGGAAAGAGGGCCCCTAGGGCTACATCTGTGGTGCTGGGTGGGGGGTTTGCAAGCCTTGGGGGAGGAGGGCGAAGGCCTCTGGGCAGGATAGCTGTCCCTAAGGGCACGGGTGCTGCTGTGTCTCACCTCTTGGAGCAGGGCCTGGGGAAGGAGGGGAGGGAGTTAAAGGTTGGGGAGCCTGGGAGGAGTCTGGGATAGTAGGAGGATGGGAGTGCTCTGACAGGGTCACTTCCACTTCAGACGACAACGGTGCTGGAGAAGTACAAGGTCCACAACCCCACCCCCCTCATCGTAGGCAGCTCCATTGGGGGTCTGTTGCTGCTGGCACTCATCACAGCGGTACTGTACAAAGTGAGTGTTTTATGCCACTCTTGACACCACCAGCATCTGGTCCCGCTCTTTTTGCAGAGTGAGAAGGAGCTCACTTTGAAGGCAGAGGCACATTCTTACTGGGTCACTTCATATGAGAAACTGCTTCCCACCTGCAATGTCACCTGTCCCCAGTGGCCCCCTGCTTTGTGATTCCCAGGCTTCCTCTAATATTTCTCCCTTTCTTTCCTGCTCTTCTCCATCATTCTACGTGTTTCCCTTGACAGCAGATTATCATATAAAAGCACAGACCTGGGTTTGAATGTCGACATCACCACGGGTTCTTTTTGTCTTTGACCATAGGCCAGTGTCTGCTCCACTCTGGGCCTTGATTTCTCAATGTGAAGGTGATTCTACCCCAGCTCATAGAATTTTGGCTAAATCTAGGCTGGGCACGGTGGCTCATGGCTGTAATCCCAGCAGTTTGGGAGATCGAGGCAGGTGGATCACTTGAAGTCAGGAGTTAAGAGACCAGCCTGGCCTACCTGGTGAAACCCCGTCTCTACTAAAAATACAAAAATTAGTTGGGCATGGTGGAGGTTGCAGTGAGCCGAGATCACGCCACTGCACTCCAGCCTGGGCAACAGAGTGAGACTCCATCTCAAAAAGAAAATAATTTTGGCTAAATCTAGATGACATGATGCATATAAAGTTCCTAGTGCAGTGCTTTGAACCTAGCAAGGATTTCAGAAATAGTGACCCCTCTCCCTCAGTCATCTCTTTTCCTCTCTTCCACTGAATGGGCTTCCTGAGTTTCTTCTTCGTCCTCCCCCCTAGGTTGGCTTCTTCAAGCGTCAGTACAAGGAAATGATGGAGGAGGCAAATGGACAAATTGCCCCAGAAAACGGGACACAGACCCCCAGCCCGCCCAGTGAGAAATGATCCCCTCTTTGCCTTGGACTTCTTCTCCCCCGCGAGTTTTCCCCACTTACTTACCCTCACCTGTCAGGCCTGACGGGGAGGAACCACTGCACCACCGAGAGAGGCTGGGATGGGCCTGCTTCCTGTCTTTGGGAGAAAACGTCTTGCTTGGGAAGGGGCCTTTGTCTTGTCAAGGTTCCAACTGGAAACCCTTAGGACAGGGTCCCTGCTGTGTTCCCCAAAGGACTTGACTTGCAATTTCTACCTAGAAATACATGGACAATACCCCCAGGCCTCAGTCTCCCTTCTCCCATGAGGCACGAATGATCTTTCTTTCCTTTCTTTTTTTTTTTTTTTCTTTTCTTTTTTTTTTTTTTGAGACGGAGTCTCGCTCTGTCACCCAGGCTGGAGTGCAATGGCGTGATCTCGGCTCACTGCAACCTCCGCCTCCCGGGTTCAAGTAATTCTGCTGTCTCAGCCTCCTGAGTAGCTGGGACTACAGGCACACGCCACCTCGCCCGGCCCGATCTTTCTAAAATACAGTTCTGAATATGCTGCTCATCCCCACCTGTCTTCAACAGCTCCCCATTACCCTCAGGACAATGTCTGAACTCTCCAGCTTCGCGTGAGAAGTCCCCTTCCATCCCAGAGGGTGGGCTTCAGGGCGCACAGCATGAGAGGCTCTGTGCCCCCATCACCCTCGTTTCCAGTGAATTAGTGTCATGTCAGCATCAGCTCAGGGCTTCATCGTGGGGCTCTCAGTTCCGATTTCCCAGGCTGAATTGGGAGTGAGATGCCTGCATGCTGGGTTCTGCACAGCTGGCCTCCCGCGTTGGGCAACATTGCTGGCTGGAAGGGAGGAGCGCCCTCTAGGGAGGGACATGGCCCCGGTGCGGCTGCAGCTCACCCAGCCCCAGGGGCAGAAGAGACCCAACCACTTCTATTTTTTGAGGCTATGAATATAGTACCTGAAAAAATGCCAAGACATGATTATTTTTTTAAAAAGCGTACTTTAAATGTTTGTGTTAATAAATTAAAACATGCACAAAAAGATGCATCTACCGCTCTTGGGAAATATGTCAAAGGTCTAAAAATAAAAAAGCCTTCTGTGGATATGAGTCCTGAAGGATGACACCCATGGGGTCCCTTTACCACGGTGGACCCTGGCCAGCACTGAGGCCTGGGGCCAGGACAAGAAGTTAACCAGAGTAGGGTTGTGAATATCCCTCTCTTGGAAGTAACCTGACCTCTTAATCTGCTCACTCCACTCTCAGGGCTGGTGCCGATGGTAAGCTGGTGGAGCTGTCGGGTGGAGGGGGCATAGAATAGAGAAGGGACAACCTCCAGTGGCTACTTTTCCACCTGGAAAGGTCTCTGGAGTGACCAATACTCACAAGCGTTTCCTACAAGTCCTAGGATGTGTTGAAGGGCACACTGTCTGCATATAGTGAGTGATTGAAGAACATGTTGGGGTCCCACATTGAGAGCTGCTGCCCACAATAAGGTCATTCTTGCTATTATGCCACCATCCTGGCATAAAGTTCATCATGGTGCTTGGCACTGAGCTGGGGGCCTCACAGGACAAGCCATTCCTGACCTCGGAGTGACGCCACTGCAGCTATCACCAGCAAGGGACCCGGGCCGTGTGGATGTTTCAATTAGAAAAACAGAAGGGAGGCAGTTGAGTGATTTGAAGGGAAGATGGAAAGTGGCCCTTTACCTCCAGCCAAAAATGTCTGTCCTATACATCAGCAGAGGCTCCAAAATCCCTGTGGATTTTGAAGCTTTTGAGTCCCCAGGATGACTAATTATTATGCAGTTTCCTCAGAAAGGGAATCAGAAGATAAGGCTTTGTAAGAATTCAGCCCTAATGGCTGGGCACAGTGGCTCATGCCTGTAATCCCAGCACTTTGGGAGGCCGAGGCAGGAGGATTGTTTGTGCTCAGAAATTTGAGACCACCCTGGGTAATATATTGAAACCTTGTGTCTACAAAAAAATTTAAAAATTACCCAGGCATGGTGGCATGTGCTTGTAGTCCCAGCTACTTGGTAGGCTGAAGCAGGAGGATCACTTGAGCCTGGGAGGTTGAGGATACAGTGAGCTGTGATTTGGACCACCACACTCCAGCCTGGGCAACAGAGAAAGATCATGTCTCAGAAAAAAAAAAAAAAATTGACCCTAGAGTGGTGTTTCTCAAAATGTGTTCCACGAACCACTGGTGGTCAATGATGGTCTTCTAAGTGGAAGGTTTTAGAGAAAAAGAGCAAGAAACCCATACATCTCAAACATTTGAAACTAGTGATTTGCACAGAAATAGTGTTGTGGCCTTAATAATTGTGTGGCACACGGACTCCAGGGACTACAGTGGGTTCTTGTCTAAATTCAGGCAACAAGTTGTTATTTTCTATTTTATTTTATTATTATTATTTTTTGAGATAGTCTCACTTTGTCTCCCGGGCTGGAGTGTAGTGGCACGATCTCGGCTCAACGCAACCTCTGTCTCCTGGGTTCAAGTGATGCCTCTGCCTCAGCCTCCCAAGTAGCTGGGAGTACAGGGGCGTACCACCATGCCCATTTTTATTTATTTATTTTTGAGACAGAGTCTCGCTCTGTCACCCAGGCTGGAGTGCAGTGGCATGATCTTGGCTCACTGCAACCTCCGCCTCCCAGGTTCAAGTTCAAGCGATTCTCCTGCCTCAGCCTCTGGAGTAGCTGGGATTACAGGCAGGCACCACCATTTCCAGCTAATTTTTGTATTTTTAGTATAGATGGGGTTTCACCATGTTGACTAGGCTGGTCTCGAACTCCTGACCTCATGATCCGCCCTCCTCGGCCTCCGAAAGTGCTGGGATTAGAGGTATGAGCCACTGTACTTGGCCGACAAGGTGTTATTTTCTGATATTCTTCCTTTGTGTGTTATTGTGTACATTTATTACATTTGCATTTTCAGGGTTGGCTATTGTGTTGCATTAGATCCCCGAATCACAAAATGGATCAATGGCTCAAAAGCATGGAAGTTGTGATTAAAAACTAATCTAATTGCTACAATTTACAATAATGTCATCAAAGTCAATATTGACTTTTAAATATTGAGCCCAGTGCACGTATAGTATAGACATGCATACCGGAATAAGTGATTGTGAGCCAAAACCCGAAAATATCTAGAAGGTATTATACTCCCTGACAGGTAGGTTGTATTGGTTCTGACATGTATTTGTCCCTAGTGTGCTGCCCATTCTGAAACTTTATCAAACAGTCGCATGAACCTCTGAAAGCTTTTGTGTTATTTTCTTATTTATTTATTTATTGAGATGGAGTCTTGCTCTGTCGCCCAGGCTGGAGTGCAGTGGCATCATCTTGGCTCACTGCAACCTTTGCCTCCTGGGTTCAAGTGATTCTCCTGCCTCAGCCTCTTGAGTAGCTGGGATTACAGGCGCGCACCACCACGCCCAGCTAATTTTTGTATTTTTAGTATAGACGGGGGTTTCACCATGTTGGTCAGGCTGGTCTCGAACCCCTGACCTCATGATCTGCCTGCCTCAGGTAAAGCAATAGAGATTTCTTAGAACAACTGCTACATGTAGCTTTCCTATTCAAAAGTGATTAGTGTTGTCACCGAATACAGAGGAGACAGCAAAACCACAGTGACATAAATCAAAGGTGCTTTTTAAAGTAGCAAAAGTAGGTACAAGTCACATAATTTCCAAGAAGCTTGTAGAAATGGCAGTAGAGTTCATACCTGTATTGAAAGGTTGCTTTTGGCTGCAAATAATAGAAAAAAACAAAAGCATGTAAGAGCAGACAGAAGACCTTTACTCTGCAAGAGGTTCAGGTGCAGGTTAGTGTTTAATGCAGAGTCTCAGCATTGACAGATTCTTTCTGATCTTCCAATTGATCGTCCTTGCGGGGGCGGTTTAGTTCTTTCCCACTGACTAGGATTGGGTCAAATTCCATCCCCTTGGTTGCATGCAGTGCTGAGAAGGTGAGCATGTGCTTTTCACAGGCTTAATAAAAAGAGGTAGCTCCAGCCAGGTGCAGTGACTCATGCCTATAATCTCAGCACTTTGGGAGGCAGAGGTGGGTAGGTCACCTGAGGTCAGGAGATTGAGACCAGCCTGACCAACATGGCAAAACTCTGTCTCTACCGAAAATACAAAAATTAGCTGGGCATGGTGGCAGGTGCCTGTAATCCCAGCTACTTGGGAGGCTGAGGCAGGAGAATCGCTTGAACCTGAGAGGTGGAAGTTACAGTGAGCTGAGGTCATGCCACTGCACTCCAGCCTGGGGGACAGAGTAGAACTCTGTCTCAACAAAAAAAAAAAAAAAAAGAGAAAAAAAAAGGAGGGTAGCTCCACCAGCCAGGAAGGTGGCAGCGCTGGTGGCTGTTGGATAGGCTACCTACAGTGTCTGGCAAATACTATGCTTGAAGACTATGCTGTGAGCAAGATTCCTTTGTGAAGGAACAGCTTGGACATTGTGTATGTCAGAGGTATACAGCAGAATAGCAGTGACTAACGCTTGTGTGGGAGAGCAAGCATGTCACCTCATACTTGGAATAAGTCACTGCCATACAAAGTCTGAATCAGCTTTCATCTTTGTGCAACACATGTATGTGGGAGCTTTTCAGCTGCTGAAACCTCTAGTGACAGAAAAGGAGGTTTTGTTGTTCATTTGTAATTAATGTTAATCCTATGAGTGGTGGGAGAGATAGTGAGGTAGGAGATCAGCAGGACCTGTTTTCTGGTCACAACCCAGCTAATCAGAGCATGATCTGGTCAAGATGGGATGCACTAAAAAAACAGCCCAAACCAGCAGATGGCCAGGAAAGCAAACTCTCATTACCCTCGCCACTTATTAGCATAAAGACACTCCCACCGGTGCCATGACAGTTTACAAATGCCATGGAAACACACCATAGCAACGGTCAGCAAGTTACCTCATATGGTTCTGGAAACTCCCCACACCTTTTCCAGATAGTTCTGAATAACCCACCCCTTAATTTGCATGTAATTAAAAGTCGGTATAAGTACAGTTAGCCAGCAGCCCACTGGCTGCTACTGTGGGCTCACTGCCTATGGGTTGTCCTGCTCTGCAAGGAACAGCTACCTTGCTGCCACTGCTGCTTCAATAAACCTGCTTTCTTCCACCACAGGCTCGCTCTTCAGTTCTTTCCTGAGCAAAGTTAAGAACCCTCCCGGGCTAAGCCCCAATTTTGGAGCTTGCCTGCCCTGCATCAGTAGAATGGGCTAACTACTTATGGTGCACTCAGGCTAAAGAGGCTGATGCTTGCAGGGCAGTATTCACAGAGCACACGGTAGTTCACGGGATGCCTCTCACCCTTGACTCAGTGCTTAAGAAAGGAGGGAAAATGGTGAACATGATCAAATCATGGCCATTGCCTATTCATCTTTTCAGTGTTGTATGGAGGAATAGGCAAGTAGGAGATTGCTTTTCACATTAATGTCAAAGAGAAAGATAGTTACTTGGAACTTAAAAAAATTAATTGTGATAAAATATACATAACATAAAATTTACCATCTTAACCATTTTTAAGTATAGCCAATCTCAAGAGCTCTTTCTATCTTGTAAAACTGAAACCCTATACCCATTAAACAACTCCCAATTCTCCCCTTTCCCTAACTCCTGGCAACCACAATTCTTTCTGTCTCTATGAATTTGACTGCTTTGGCATGTCATAGAAATAGACTCATACAGCATTTGTCTTTTTGCGACTGGCATATTTTGCTTAGCATAATGTCCTCAAGGTTCACCCATGTGGTAGCATGTGTCAGAATTCCTCTCCTTTTGAAGGCTGAATAATATTCCATTGTGTGTATATACCACGTTTTGTTTATCCATTTGCCCATCAATGGGCATTTGGGTTGCTTTTTTTGCCTCTCATGAATGATGAATATGGGCGCACAAATATCTCTTCAAGACCATGCTTTCAATTCTCTTGGGTATACACCCAGAAGTGGAATTGCTGAATCATATGGTAATTTTTTTTTTTTTTTGAGACAGAATCTTGCTCTGTTGCCCAGGCTGGAGTGCAGTGGCACAATCAGAGCTCACTGCAGCCTTGGTCTTCTGGGCTCAAGCGATCCTCTTGCTTCAGCCTTCCGAGCTTCTGGGACTAAAGGTGTGTGCCATCATGCCTGGCTAATGTTTTAAAAACGTTGCCAGGCATGGTGGCTCGTGCTTGTAATCCTAGCACTTTGGGAAGCTGAGGCAGGTGGATCCCCTGAGGTCAGGAGTTTGAGACCAGCCTTGCCAACATGGTGAAATCCCGCCTGTACTAAAAATACAAAAATTAGCTGGGTGTGGTGGCATGTGCCTGTAGTTCCAGCTACAGGCAGGAGAATTGCTGGAACCTGGGTGGCAGAGGCTGCAGTGAGCCGAGATTGCACCACTGCACTCCAGCCTGAGTGACAGAGTGAGACTCTGTCTCAAAAAAAAAAAAAATTTTAGAGATGGTGTCTCACTGTGTTGCCCAGGCTGGTCTTGAACTCCTGCCCTAAAGTGATCCTCCTGCTTCCGCCTCCCAAAGTGCTGGGATTACAGGCATTAGCCACCATGCCTGGCCTAGCTAAATTGTCTTTAATGTCGCATGTCTGCAAAAAACACATCTATAAAGCTAGAAAAGTTGAGCATCCAACTTTTTATGATTTAACTCTCATGACCTGGCAATTTTTCTAGCAAGGAGCCTGGGCTGGTGGTTTTAGGAGAACTGAGTGAAAAAAAGAAATACATTAACTAGATTGGATGCAAAGTGCCTGCTGGTCATGGGTGTTTTCTGCTGGCCCCTGTTCATCTGTGCCTGTTAGCCCACCCATGGGTGAGTGGGGCAAAGTGGCCAAACTGATTCTTAAGAGAGGCATACATGCAGAATCCAAGTTAGTCATGATTTCGTTTCTAGTCTGAGTGAATGTGTGTCCAGAATATTTTATAAACTTTATCAGCTCAGAGGGGAAAACCTGTCTCCATACTACGTGGTTTATACAAAGCTGTCAGGAATTCAGCATGATGAAGAAATGCACAAAACAAGTGTGAACAGATAAGTAAAAGGATCTACTGAAAATCTTCAGGGTAGTATATTGTGTGACAGGACCAAGAATTTGAAGTCAACATCTGTATTTGTGCCCTCTGGACAAAGGTATTATCCCTGATGATATAAAAATTAATTTTGGGCTGGGTGTGGTGGCTCATGCCTGTAATCCCAGCACTTTGGGAGGCTGAGGAGGGTGAATCGACTGACGTCAGGAGTTGGAGGCCAGCCTGTATCGACTAATAATACAAAAAAATTAGCTGGACATGGTGGCGTGCACCTGTAATCCCAGCTACTCAGGAGGCTGAGGTGGGAGAATTGCTTGAACTCGGGAGGCCGAGGTTGCAGTGAGTCGCACCACTGCACTCTAGCCTGGGCGACAGAGTGAGACTCCGTCTCAAAAAAAACAAAATTAATTTCGAGGCCAGGTGCAGTGGCTCCAGGTGCGGTGGTTCATACCTGTAATTCCAGTGCTTTAGGAGGCCAGAGGATTGCTTGAACCCAAGAGTTCGAGATCAACCTGGGCAACATAGTGAGACTCCATCTGTAGAAAACAAACAAACAAACAAACAACAACAACAAAAAAACCAGAGGTGGGAGGATCACTTGAGCCCAGGAGTCCGAGGCTGCAGTGAGCTATGGTCACGCCACTGCCCTCTAGCTTGGGCAACAGTGCCAGACTCTGTCTCTTAACAACAACAACAACAAAAATTAATTCTACTTTAACTGTCAGTTTCATGATATCCTTCTATTAAGAAAAACCTTTTCTATCTGATGAACTATTGGCTAGGTTTTCTTTCTCTCTGCTTTTGACTAATGCATTTAATTACTTTCATTTGCAAACTCTATCCTTCTCATCAACTTTGTATTTTAGATGTGTCTATTGACAGCCTGGCTTCCCTCAGCGATCATTATGATGATCAAAGTAGATGAATAGGTAAAATTCAATGCAAATATTCCAGGGCATCTAATCCATACCCCAAATGGAAAAGGGGAGAATTGGAAGCCAGCAATTTGAACACATTACTATGGATGTATTTTTCTCATGCGGGGGAAAAAGTGATTTGGAGAGAGAGAATTATGAATGCATGTGAAGAATAAAGCCAAATTTCCTGGGAGGAGGGGAAGACCAGGAGAAACAAAACCAAATCCTGGCTGTGGCCTCTAAGGCATGGGGACCTGGAGTTATGCTCTCCAGGCAGACACAGCTCATTCTGGAGAAAGGCTGCAAAAATATTCTCCTTCACATTGATTTGAAAACAATTATTAAATTCTTGTTTTCTTATTTATCTAAGTGTAACTTTTTAAAACTTACTGAGAGAAGACGGGCACGGTGGCTCACTGCTGTAATCCAGTACTTTGGGAAGTCAAGGCAGGTGGATCACCTATGGTCAGGAGTTCGAGACCAGCCTGGCCAATATGGCAAAACCCCGTCTCTACTAAAAATACAAAAATTAGTCAGGTGTGGTGGTGTGTGCCTGTAATCCCAGCTACTCGGGAGGCTCAGACAGGAGAATCACTTGAACCTGGGAGGCAGAGGTTGCAATGAGCTGAGATTGCACCACTGCACTCCAGCCTGGGCGACAGAGCAGGACTCCATCTCAAAATAAAAATTAATTGATTAATTAATTAAAAATTTACTGAGAGCTGGTGGTTCCTTTAAGGGTGGAGCCGCCATCAAGTCCCCAGAGGATGCCCTGAATTTGGGGGCATCACCTTCAGCTGCTGTGGACTCTGAGCCTTGGCAGCTCCAGCTCCAGGCCTGGGAGAAAGATGATTTCCTGGCAGCGTGCAGTGATTGTGAGCATTTGACTACCTTACTGCATTTTGCCCTTATCATTGCTCTCCAAACATGAGTGGAAAACAAAAAATTTTGCTGAGACAAGCGATAATACGAGTTAGGGAAAGTTGGAGAATTTTATAGTTGCTGATATCAGCAAATCGTGAGTTTCAAGCACTACTTACAGAAGGAAGTCCAAAATTAAAGGGGATATAGAAATGTGTAAAAGATGAGGTGTGGTGAAGATGGAGAAAATGAAGAGCTCTTTAAATTTCTGAATTATGAAGAATCACCAACAAATTATTTTGTGGTTCCAAATACAGGGAGAAGTTCACAGATCCACAGAACTGATGACAGGGTGCGGCCAGCCACAAACCTTTCAGCACAAGAGGGAGAAGGCTGCCGCTCCACTTTGCCTGGGCAGTCTTTGTAAGGCAGTAGATAAGTCAGCCTCGAAGTTAGCAATCACAGCCCTCGGCTCGGTTTCCTGCAAGGGCATCGTTAATGCATCACAATTAATTTCTTCTGTCCATTAAATGTCAGCTCTCAAGTAAATTGATGTAAAATTTTTGTATAGAAAACTATTTCATATTATTTGCACTTGATGTTTAATTACATTTTAAATGTTTTGTTTGTTTCATTTTGTTTTGTTTTTGAGACAGAGTCTTGCTCTGTTGCCCACGCTGGAATGCAGTGGTGTGATCTTGACTCACTGCAACCTCTGCCTCCTGGGTTTAAGCGATTCTCCTGCCTCAGCTTCCTGAGTAGCTGGGATTACAGGCGTGCACCACCATGCCTGGCTAATCTTTGTATTTTTAGTAGAGATGGGGTTTCACCATGTTGGCCAGGCTGGTCCCGAACTCCTGACCTCAAGCTATACACCTGCCTCAGCCTCCCAAAGTGCTGGAATTACAGACATAAGCCACTGTGCCCAGCCAAATGTTTTAAATAATTGTCACATATATATACAAAATAATTTATGTTATAGGTAGGGATCTTGTTATATTTTAACCTTCAAAGTATATTCCTAAGCTTTTTATTTATTTTTTATTTTTTATTTATTGAGACAGTCTTGCTCTGTCGCCCAGGCTGGAGTGCAGTGGCGCAATCTTGACTCACTGCAAACTCTACCTCCTGGGTTCAAGCGATTCTCCTGCCTCAGCCTCCTGAGTAGCTGGGATTACAGGTGCGCACCACCATGCCCAGCTAATTTTTGTATTTTTAGTAGAGACGGGGTTTCACCATATTGGCCAGAGCTGGTCTCAAACTCCTGACCTCAGGTGATCCATCCACCTCAGCCTCTCAAAGTGCTGGGATTATAGGTGTGAGCCACTGCGCCTGGCCTATTCCTAGCCTTTTATATATAGACCTTTTTCTTTTTCACATTTTAAAGGAACTTTTATGTTTAATCATGGAATATTTCAAACATACAGAAAAATCACAGAAAATAAATAACAACCACTCATTTATCTTCTCCCCAACCCCATGTAATAAATATTAAAATATTGTGTTAAATGCTAAATTTAACACATGCTAAAGGTTCCTGGCTGGATGTGGTGGCTCACGCCTGTAATCCCAGTACTTTGGGAGGAGGAGGTGGGAGGATTGCTTGAGTCCAGGAGCTCGAGACCAGCATGGGCAACATAGTGCGATCTCGTCTCTACAAAAAACAAAAAAATTAGCTGGGCATGGTGGTGTGCATCAGTAATCCCAGTGACTGGGAGGCTGAGGTGGGAGAATTGCTTGAGTCTGGGAATTTGAGGCTGCAGTGAGCCCTGATCATGCCACTGCATTCCAGCATGGGCGACATAGCAAAACTTGTCAAAAAAAAAAAAAGTTTCCTCTCTGCCCCACCATAGACAACCACTCTTCTGATTTCTATCTTCGTAGATGAATTTTGCCCATTCTCTTGTATATGAAAGGAACCAGACATTAGGCATTCTGGTGTCTGGTTTCTTTCACTTAAGATAAAATTGAGTTAACCTGTATTGTTGTACAGAACTGCAGTTTGTTCTTTGTTATTTATTGTAAAGACAGGGTCTGGCTATGTTGCCTAGGCTGGTCTCGAACTGTTGGCCTCAAGCAATCCACCTGCCAAGCTCTGGGACCACAGGCATGAGCCATGGCATCTGATCTGTAGTTTGATCTTATTTCTTGCTGAGTAGTAGCCCATGGCATGACTTTATTATTTTGGGTGTCCATTCTCCTCTGGAGGGGCTCTGCTTTTTGAAACCACACCCTGGCCTAGCTCCCCTTCTCCCTGCCTCTCTGCCGGCTCACATCCACATGCCAAGACCTCTGCAGCCATTCTGCTTCCTGTCCTTCCACTCCTGTGGGACCTCAGAGAGCTACGGGGCTCCCTGGGTACCAACTGGCTCCTGAGGCCTGGGGGAGGGTGGTCTTCTGGGAGAAGGAAGCCAGGTCCCTGCAGGTTGTGGAGGGGGACAGAATGAGGGTTTTTCCCCAGGGTGTTGTTGGCCCCTGCCCCCACTTCTGTTCCATAATTAACCACGCCCCTCCTACCCACTGTGCCCCTCTTCCTGCTGTGTGGAGGCCCTGAATCATTATTTTAACTACCCCCTGGGAGGGTGAGCACCTTCTGTGCTCTGTCCCCAACCTTCCACTTCCCCTCAACGCGCTGCTCAGGGATGACCTTCGGCACTGTGCTTCTTCTGAGTGGTAAGTGGGGCCAGGGTGCTGGGGAGAAGCTTGGAGGAGTTCTGAGGGGACTCCATCTGGGAGGGCAGGCTGGGGGCTGGTGGTCGGCTCCAACCACTCTTATGAGGAGCTGAGGCAGGGGAGTGCTTCATGTGCGAGTGGCCCGGAGTCAGTAGAGTGTGACCTGAATGAAGAGGGGCTCAGGGGCTGTGCTCAGGTGGCGACTAAGCTACCTCTCCAGCTGGCTATGTTGTCCCAGGCTTCCCTGCTCCCACTCATGGAGTCCCTGGTGTGGGTGACAGAGGTCTCCCCAGCCTCCCCCGGGAGTGGAAGGCCACAGAAGCCACCAGGGAGGGGGAAAGGTTGGACATCACCTCCCTGGGCCTGTTTCCCCCAAGTCCTGACTGCACGTAGGGAAGAGGCCCCCTGCTGAAAACTGCATCAGAGTCACATTCACGTGCCATCAAAAATCAGGCTTGGCTGGGTGCGGTGGCTCATGCTTATAATCCCAGCACTTTGGGAGGCCGAGATGGGCGTATCCCCTGAGGTCAGGAGTTTGTGACCAGCCTGGCCAACATGGTGAAACCCCATCTTTACCAAAAATATAAAAATTAGCCGGGCATGGTGGCGTGCACTTGTAATCCCAGCTACTTGGGAAGCTGAGGCAAGAGAATCGCTTGAACCCAGGAGACGGAAGTTGCAGTGAGCTGAGATCGTGCCGTTGCACTCCAGCCTCAGCAACAGAGCGAGACTCCATCTCAAAAAAAAAAAAAAAAAAAAGAAAAAAAAGAAAAAGAGGCTGGGAGGTCCTAGGGATTGGGGCTTCTTTAACTCCCAGCCTCCCCGCCCACCAAATATTCCTCAGTCCTGGCTTCTTATCATGGATTCAACCTGGATGTGGAGGAGCCTACGATCTTCCAGGAGGATGCAGGCGGCTTTGGGCAGAGCGTGGTGCAGTTCGGTGGATCTCGGTAGGCCCCACTCACCCTCCTTCCCCAACCTCCACTACATCAAGTCCTGTGGATGGGTACACGTGGGTTACCCCAGGGAGGTGTCCTGGAGGAAGGCCAGCAGGGGTGAGAAGTCTTCCCTTGGCTCCTTGGAGGCCCTGACATCAGCACCTATTATTCTCAATCCCAGGAAAGGCCACAAAACTCTAGACAAGACCCTACCTTACCTCGGGAGGGAAGCCTTGAACCTGCCTCCCAGGCAGGGCCCACTTCTTGGGGCCAGTATGGTCACACAGGGCCCACACTCATTAACTTTGGAGTTTAATGTTCTGCCCTTGACCTCTTGAAATTCCTGATTATTTTTATTTTTATTTTTACTCCAGCTCTGTTACCCAGGCTGGAGTGCAGTGGTGCAATCACAGCTTACTGCAGCCTCAAACTCTCGGGCACAAGTGATCCTCTCACCTCAGCCTCCTGAATAGCTGGGACCACAGGTGCATGCCATCATGCCTGTTTTTTGTTTTGTTTTGTTTTACTTTTTACAGAGATGGAGTCTTGCTATGTTGTCCAGACTGGCTGAACTCCTGGGCTCAAGCAATCCTCCTGCCTTGGCCTCCCAAAGTGCTGGGATTACAGGTGTGAGCCACCCTGTCTTGCCAATTCTTAAAAATTTTATCTGTGCATTTGTGTTTTGCAAGTAAAGAATGATGGCAGGGCTGGGCACCATGGCTCACGCCTATAATCCCAACGCTTTGGGAGGCTGAGGCGGGCAGATCATCTGAGGCCAGGAGTTTGAGACCAGTTTGGCCAACACAGCAAAACCCCATCTCTACTAAAAATGCAAAAAAAATTAGCCGGGCATGGTGGCAGGCATCTGTAATCCCAGCTACTTGGGAGGCTGAGGCAGGAGAATCGCTTGAACCTGGGAGGTGGAGGTTGCAGTGAGCCGAGATCGTGCCACTTTACTCCAGCCTAGGTGACAGAGTGAGACTCCGTCAAAAAAAAAAAGTCATGGGAGAAGGGAGATGCACTGGGGGTTTGGAGCCTTAGCTCAGCAGCAGCCCCACCTCCCACCGCCTCCTGAAGGGTGGTGAAGGGGTATCAGCTGCTGGCTCCCCCACCCATGTGGGAGCAATGACCGCTGCTACCTTCCGCCCCTGGCATGAGCTGGGTAAAGTCAGTTAGGGGCGCTCACTCTGGGAGTACCCCGAGGGAGTGGGACACTACATAGCAAATAAAAAACGTCAGGACAGGTTGAGGAAGAGAGCAGAAGAAAGGTAAGAGCCCCCCAACCCCAAGAGACCCCACAGTTTTATTTCAAATTGGGACCCACAAATTATGAACCTGCCCCCACTTCCAGGAGCTCACATTCTCCTGTCCCAGAGAGTTCAAGTCACAATGTGACACAGGTGTCACCAAGGTCTGGGGGGCGCAGGCAGGGAGAGAGCAGACCCAGGAGGGTTCCATGGAGGAAGTGGTGCTGGCAGTGAGCCCCAGTGGACAGGAAGGCTCAGTTGGTCACGAGGAGCTATAAGAGGTCACCGAGCTCCAACCGCGCACCCCTCTCCCTTCCTCATGTGACTGGCAGTCTGGGGGGATGGAAGCAAGCACCAGGCACCAGGCTTTTGTTTTTCTTTATTTGGAAATGTGGTCAACTGAGGTGCACAAATCTGAAAGACCCAATCTGATAAAGGATACACATGTGCGTGCCTGGGTGAGCCCCACCTAGGTCAGCTGCTCCAGTGTCAAATCCCACAGGCACAGGGCTGCCGTGGACCCCTTCTCATCACCCAACATCCCCAGAGAACCCCTGGTCAGACTTCTGTCACCATCAGTTTTTTGGGCCACATTTTAAAAAAAGAATACATTGGCTGAGTGCAGTGGCTCATGCCTATAATCCTAGAACTTTGGGAGGCTGAGGCGGGTGGATCACCTAAGGTCAAGAGTTCAAGACCAGCCTGACCAATATGGTGAAACCCTGTCTCTACTAAAAAATACAAAAATTAGCCTGGCGTGATGGCAGGTGCCTGTAATCCCAGCTAGCTGGGTGACTGAAATAGGAGATTTGCTTGAACCTGGGAGGTGGAGGTTGCAGTGAGCTGAGATCACGCCATTGCACTCCAACCTGGGTGACAGAGTGAAACTCTGTCTCAAAAAACATATGGGTTGATGGGTTACACTAAAGTTTTGCTCATCGTTTGTATCAGCAGGTTCCAAACTGCTACCTCTCTAGCCAATGCTCAGATTTTCTTCACAAAGCCTTAGGCATCCCCTGAATCATGATGCACAGGGATTGTAGCTTTCTGTAAAGGAGCGGCACCTAGAAGGAACCCTCACATGGCCATTTAATGAAGCCTTGCTTGGCGCATTAAAATACACCAGTATCTGTCTGCTTTTCTCACAGACAGGAGATTGTGGGTAGTGAGAAAACATTTCCAAAATTAAAAAACTTTCCCACTCAGGGAGTTTTGCAAATAAACCCTTGACTCTACATAACTATAGATATAGTTATGGATCCTAGTACACTGCTTTACATTGGCCAATTGAAATTGCTTATACAATATTTAAATTGGTCCAATGAATTACAGAATCAACTATTTGTTTTGAAAGCACATGTCTTCAGGAAATTGTTCCAATTAACTTGAGATGATCTTATTTCTTGGGTGGTTCAAAATAATGGCAACTCAGAAACGCAATGTGCTTACCCATGATTGGGAAATGCCATTTTGGTCTTTAAATAGGTTTTTTTTTTTTTTTTTTTTTTTTTTTTTGGTGAATGTTAAAAAGAAATTTCTAAACATAAATACACACATACGTACTTATGCACACTCAAAACCAAATAAACCCCAGCATGGCCCCTGGGCATCTGTGAGTTACACTTGGGCCCTGATTTCTGAATATTCTGCCAAGTGGCAAATGCCAGGAATTTCCCCCACAGAGTCTCGCTTCCCCATGGAGGGACACTTCCTCACCCCCAAGTGCCCGCTGCTCCCACCCCTCCTGTGGCTGCAGTGACATGGCCATGGTTGTGTCTCCAGACTCGTGGTGGGAGCACCCCTGGAGGTGGTGGCGGCCAACCAGACGGGACGGCTGTATGACTGCGCAGCTGCCACCGGCATGTGCCAGCCCATCCCGCTGCACAGTGAGTGACCACCTGGGAATTGGGCCCCTCAACCCTCCTGGACCCAACTGTGCCCCCGCTTAGCTTCCAGTCCAGACCTTCCCCGCAAATGAGTGTGTGCTGTGAGTGAGACCCCGCGTGTCTGCCCTTGCAGTCCGCCCTGAGGCCGTGAACATGTCCTTGGGCCTGACCCTGGCAGCCTCCACCAACGGCTCCCGGCTCCTGGTGAGTGAGTGTCTTGGGCCACGGGGGGGTGGGGTGGGGCGGGGGGTGTTGTTGGGGAGGAGGCTGGGGCTGGGAGTGAAGGAGGAGGGGCTGCTAGGGACTCCTGGCTCACAGGCTTCTGCCTCCAGGCCTGTGGCCCGACCCTGCACAGAGTCTGTGGGGAGAACTCATACTCAAAGGGTTCCTGCCTCCTGCTGGGCTCGCGCTGGGAGATCATCCAGACAGTCCCCGACGCCACGCCAGGTAGGTCCCTGGCAGGCCATGGTTCCCTGTGGAGCACATGCTGGCACTGAGGGTGAGCAGGCGTGAGGCCTGTGTCTGGGCCCCTGTGCCCTCCCTGGAGGGCCGAGTGTGGCTAGGAGAGAAGCCAGGAGAAGAGGGTGGCTCAGGCAGGAGCCCTGCTGCTCCAGGGTAGAAGTTCTTTGCAGGGTTTTTCTTTATATTTTTTTCTTTTTAAGACAGGGTCCCTGCCAGGCACAGTGGCTCAGGCCTGTAATTCCAGCATTTTAGGAGGCTGAGGTGGGCGGATCACCTGAGGTCAGGAGTTCGAGACCAGCCTGGCCAATGTGGTGAAACCCCTCTACTAAAAATACAAAACAAAACAAAACAAAATAGCAGGATGTGGTGGTGTGCGCCTGTAATCCCAGCCACTCGGGAGGCAGAGACAGAAGAATCGCTTGAACCCAGGAGGCGGAGGTTGCAGTGAGCTGAGATTGTGCCATTGCACTCCAGCCTGGGTGACAAGAGCAAAACTCCATCTCAAAAAAAAAAAAAAAACAAAAAACAGAGTTTCTGTCAGGCTGCATGCACCACCACACCCTGCTAATTTTTTTGAGACAGAGTCTTGCTCTGTCGCCCAGGCTGGAGTGCAGTGGTGCAATCATAGCTCACTGCAGCCTCGAACTCCTGGGCTCAAGTGATCCTCCTCCCTTAGCCTACTGAGTAGTTGGGACTGCAGGTACATGCATCACACCTGGCTAATTAAAAAAAATGTTTTTGTAGAGATGGGGGTCTTGCTATGTTACCCAGCCTGGTCTTGAACTCCTGGGCTCAAGTAATCCTCTGCCACAGCCTCTCAAAGTGTTGGGATGACAGGCATGAGTCCTTGTGCCTGGCCTGAGGGATGAAAGTTCTGATGGAGGCAGAGAGGAGCCCCACTGTGCGGGCTGTAGAGGGCACAGCATCTTCCAGTTGCCAACAGGTGCATGGCCACTTCTTGAGTTTCAGAGGAAGGACCTTAGTGTGGTAAAGAACGTGGTGAGGAAGATAAATCCATGAGGGAGGTGTTTCTTCTGGATGGTTCACTGCTGAGCTTCCAGGATTCCCCAAACTAACTTTCCTCTCGAAGAGGAGCAAATGACAGGGCTGCGGAAAATGCGATGTGCAATTTTGTCAGTGCCCATGTCTTCCACAGAGAACAGGGCCTGGGGACACCACCATGACATCTCTCTGAGGGTTGGTCTGCATCATGGTGGTTCCCAAGTTTGTTTTCCATGGGCACCAGGCTTCATTCCCTTGAAGCTTCATTCCCTCAAAGCCATTCAGTTTCCTCATTGGTAAAATAGAGCTCAATAATCAGGGGGTTATGAAGGTGAAAGGGATTGAGGTGCATAAAGCACTTGGAACCCTGCCTGGCACATAGTATGTGATAGCCCCTCTGACCCATCTTCCAGCTGGGGACTGCATGCTGGGACTGGGAGGAAGATACAGGCAAACTGTCTCATCTGCCGTGTGAGAGGGAATGCCAGGGGCCGCTCAGGGTGCTGACCGAGGGTGGGGCTTCAGACCAGAGAGGCCATGATGACAGGCATGCTGGGCCTTTAGACAAAGGTGGAGCAGCAGCAGAAACATTACCAGAGCAAATGGTGAGGGTGGAGTCTATGGAGGGGACCAAGGGAAGGGGGAAGGGACATCCAGGGTTCTTGGGGGGACCGTGCCCAGCCTGAGATGTCTGTGAAGCCAGGTTAGGGAGGTGGCACTTAAAAACAAGGGGTAAATGTCTTCTCACAGCCATCCGTGGAACTCATGAGGTGGGATGCCTGATGCAAATGGGACTGGAGCACAAAACTGGTGCAGGCAAGGGGGGTGTGGGTCCAAGTAGAAGGGACCAGGGTCCACTGAGGATCACCTGTGTGCCAAGCAGTGCTGAATACCTGGTATGAATCACCTTATTGCATCCTCACAACATCCTGGGTGGCGGGCAGGCCCATTCTCATTTTACAGATATGAAAACCAAGGTTCAGATAGATGAGTTCCATCGATAGCAAGAGGCAGAGCCCAGAGCTTGAGCCATCCTTGCCTGATTGGTGGGGTCCTTTTTCAAAAGGATAAGTCCAGGCTTCTGCTAGTGGGAGACCAGGGGATACAATAAAAAGACCAAGAAACAGAAGAGACATTGTGAGAGGATTTGCCACAGACCTGGCCTGAGAGAGGATGAGAGGGTGGTTTCTTGACGCAGCTGAAAAAACAGGCACCACTGCAAGATGTTGGCTGCCCAGATGTGGGCAAAAAACGGGGAGCTCCTGGGGGGATCTGCAGCCTGCCCCATGGATGTCAAGATTTGCTGGTGATTGAAGAAGCAGGAAGGAAGTGACCTTCTGTTTCTCCCCAGCACCCTTGAAGCACCAGTGGTTGAGCAAGTGGGGTAGGGGAGAGGAAAGAGGAAAAGGCATTTTTTTTTTCTGCAGTGGTGGGCAGGGGGCAGAAACCACAGCCCTGTGGTGTGGGCCTCACACCTTAGTGCTCTGGTGGCCTGATCTCCCAGTGCCCTGCGGGCAGCACAGGATGTGGCTGCTGGTGGAGGTACCAACTGGGCCCTGAACACAGGCCACACACCCCCCATGAGCCTGGGGACAGCATGAAAAGTCTTATTTGTTCATGTGCATATGATGTGCCCTCACGATTGCAGAGTGAACTCCACAAACTCTGAGGTCACTTGGGAATGTTCTTTTTTTTTGAGACGGAGTCTCACTCTGTCGCCCAGGCTGGAGTGCAGTGGCACAATCTTGGCTCACTGCAGCCTCCACCTCCCAGGTTCAAGTGATTCTCCTGCCTCAGCCCCCCAAATAGCTAGGATTACAGGCACCGCCACCATGCCGGGCTAATTTTTTTGTATTTTTAGTAGAGATGGGGTTTCACCATGTTGGCCAGGCTGGTTTTGAACTCCTGACCTCAAGTAATCCGCCCACCTCAGCGTCCCAAAGTGCTAGGATTACAGGCGTGAGCCACCACTCCCAACTGGGAATATTCTTGGGCACCGCACCCATGGGAGCATGAAGGGTGGATGCAATGCAATCATAACAGAGGCCCAAGGTCAGCACTGGGGTGCTTGCCTGTCATCCCAGTGCTTTGGGAGGCCGAGGTGAGTGGATCGTTAGAGCCCAGGAGGTTGAGACCAGCCTGGGCAACATGGCGAAACTCCGTCTCTACAAAAAGATACAAAAATTAGCCAGGCAAGGTGGTGCACACCTGTAGTCCCAGCTACTCAGGAGACTGAGGTGGGAGAATTGCCTGAGCCTGGGGAGGTCGAGGCTGCACTGACCTGTGATCACACCACCACACTCCAGCCTGGGTGACAGTGAGACTCTGCCTCAAAAAAACAAAAAATGAAAAAACCAGAGGCCTCAGCCAATGCCTGGGGGGCTCAGAGTGCAGCTGGCCCTTCAGACGCTGAACCAGTCATCGGTAAAGGTTTCCTCCAGGGGCAGGAGGTGTCCCAGTGGGCAACAGTTCCCCTCTGCCTAGCGTGATTCCTGGGAAGGGACTCAGCTCAGAGCCAACTCCACGTAGCTGGAAATAAGGACCTCTGACCGACTGGGGGTAGGGTGGGGTCTGGGGTGGATCCCTGCCCCACCCCCACAGCATCCCTACAGGCATATCCTACAGGCCTCGAAGGTGCCTGGCACGTGGTGAGAATGGTGCCAGCGGCTGACCCTGGCAGAGGGCCAGGACTTGTCTCCAGCACCCATGTGCGTGTTGCTTTATCCTTGCAGTGATCCCACGTGGTAGCCACTGATATTACCTTCATTTTACAGATAGGGACACTGAAGTCCAGAGAAGTTAAGTAATGTGCCTGAATTCACCAATTAGCACGTGGCTGAGCTGGGGTTTAGCCCAGGCACACTGGCTCCAGAACACGCGCCCTGAACCACTTTGCTAAACATTCGCCCTTGATGCTTGTGGCACCCCTAGCATCTGTGTTTAATGAATATTTGTTGATTAAATGGATGAGGAGCCCACCTGGGTCCTGTGTTGTCATCCCTCTCTTTCCAGGCCATGTGGGAGGAAGGGAGCAGGGGGCTGGGGTGGCAGACTGGGGCCTCCTCCAAGGAGGGGTCGGAAACTAGGTGGGGATGCCAAGAACAGCCCCCGGGCTCTGTTGAGCAGGAGCTGCAGGAGGGGGTTGGGCCCCCGCAGTGCATCTCCGATTCCTCCCCATTCCCCCACAGAGTGTCCACATCAAGAGATGGACATCGTCTTCCTGATTGACGGCTCTGGAAGCATTGACCAAAATGACTTTAACCAGATGAAGGGCTTTGTCCAAGCTGTCATGGGCCAGTTTGAGGGCACTGACACCCTGGTGAAGACTGGGCACCTGGGGCTGGGGTTTGGGGGACGGGGGAGGCTGGCCTCGGGGAGGCATCCCGGGAGGGGTGGGGGCAGGCCAGTGAGCCGTGTGTGATGGGGCTGGGGTGGAGAATGAAGCTATGGTCCCAGCACAGGCCCAACTTGAGCCCTGACCTAGGAGGCCCTCTTGGCATTTAATAATGTATCCAAAAGCTACAGGAAATACAATGTTTCTGCTGTTTAAAAACATTGAAAGTGTTTAAAAAATAATTTTGCTATGGAATTTGACTGACATATTTTCTATGTAACTAATGATTTCTTTTTATTATTTTATTTTCCCATAACTAGTGCCTATGTATGTGCAAAAAAACCCCACTGTTTTGTTTTTTAAACAGGGTCTTGTTCTGTCATCCAGGCTGCAGTGTGGGGGTGCAATCATAGCTCACTGCAGACTTGATCTCCCAGGCTCAAGTGATCCTCTTTCCTCAGCCTCCTGAGTAGATGGGACTACAGGTGCATGCCACCATGCCTGGCTAATTTTTAAAAATTTTTATTGTAGAGATGGGGTCTTGTTATATTGCCCAACCTGGTCTCCAACTCCTGGCTCAAACAACCCTCCCACCTTGGCCTCTCAAAGTGCTGGGATTACAGGCATGAGTCACTACGCCCAGCCACAAATTCTTGAGAAGGGAGGAAATACACAAATTGATTTAATGTGTGATAAAATTTTTAAAAAGCTAAGGGTAGCAAATATTGTGGTTGGCAAAGTTATTTTTAATAAACTGTGAAGGAAATATCATTTGGTTTAGATTTTCCAGTTTATATTTTGTATTTTTGGGCCAATGAATTTTCTTCTCTGGGTTTCAGTATATTATTTGTAGGGCTTCAAAACACATGGGAAATGGTTTGTAAATCCAAAATAATTCCAAAATAAAGTTTATTAAAACTGAAAACAATATGGCTTGGTGTGGTGGCTCACACCTGTAATCCCAGCACTTTGGGAGGCTGAGGTGGGAGTATTGCTTGAGGCCAAGAGTTCGAGACCAGCCTGGGCAACATAGTGAGACCTTGTCTCTACCAAAAACAAAACAAAACAAAAAACAAAGCCAGGCATGTGACGTGTGCCTGTAGTTCCAGCTACTTGGAGGCTGAGGCAGGAGGATCACTTGAGGCCAGGAGTTTGAGAGACCCTGTCTCTACAAAAAATTAAAATAAAAACAATAGTAACAGGCACTGAGCCCTGGGCCCTCCCCACTGGCCTTTGCAGTTTGCACTGATGCAGTACTCAAACCTCCTGAAGATCCACTTCACCTTCACCCAATTCCGGACCAGCCCGAGCCAGCAGAGCCTGGTGGATCCCATCGTCCAACTGAAAGGCCTGACGTTCACGGCCACGGGCATCCTGACAGTGGTGTAAGCAACCCCGACCCCAGCCTGGCGATGTGACTGCCACCCCCACTTCCTAACCCTGGGTCAGCACAGCTCTTCTCAGAGGCTGAGGGAGGCTCCAGGGAAAGGGGCTACCAAGGGGCATGTCGGGGCTGCAGGGAGAACCTCCCCCCGGGGTGCTCCTGGTTGCCTCGCTGCCAGTCTCCCTGATATAGGACTAGGCTCCTCTGCAGCTATGCCTCCCCTTTGCCTGGTTCTGCAGAGCCTGGACCCCAGGACCCCTCCCCACCCCACAGCAGCCAGAGGCCCGGGCTTTGGCTCAGACACATCAGGCTCCCATCCTGGCTCCCCGTGAGCTACTCTGGGTGTAACCCTGGGGTGATGGGCTCTAAGTCTCAGTAACTCTCAGATGAAGATAAGCTCACAGCTTAGGATTGAGATCATGTGTGTGGGGTGCTCAGCCCGGGGCACGTAGGAGGTGTCGGATAAATGCCTGAGGTTTTATCAGAGAATGGAGTAGTCAGGGACTCAGGAATTGTCACCCAAGGTCGTCCTGGTGCCTTTCTCCCCACTCACCTCCTCTCCCGCATCCCTCACCCCTGCGCACCCCCTGTGCTACCCAGGCACTCACCGTGGGCCTGCCCCGTGCACATGCAGT
The DNA here is from genome assembly GCF_000001405.40 of Homo sapiens. NCBI lineage: Eukaryota > Metazoa > Chordata > Mammalia > Primates > Hominidae > Homo > Homo sapiens. The sequence goes on from NC_000016.10 coordinate 31,404,280, forward strand.
CTATTCCTAAAACGATGTAGGAGGTGGGACCCCCGAGAAAGGCATGTGGTTCTTGTAGGAAGGAGCTGGGCTGACGGTCGGGGATCCTTGGCTTCCTGCACACACCCCTGGGAGCAGCCCTGGGGTGGTGCTAGAATTTGGCTTAAACAAGAGATGCTCCCACCAAACGCACCCTCTTTACTTCTGGGAGGCTCTTCTGCCTTGAACGGTGGCCCCTTGTGACTCAGCAACCCAGAGGAAGGCCTCCGTCTGTCCTGTAAGTTTAAAGTCACACGGGAGTGTCCCATTCTGGAGTCTCCACCTCACCCCTCAAAGTTCTTCCAGTGGTGGGGCCTGGGGAAAAAAATGAATGAGGCAGGGGTGACCGAGTGGTTCTCACCAACTCCAGTCCTGCTCTCATGCCCAGACTGCAGGAAATTTCCCAGCAGCCTTTGCTCCCCAGAGCCAAGCCCATCTCAGGGCTGGACTCAGCCAAGGATTGGACCTCCCTGCTGCCGGTCCTTCCCTTCCCTCCCTCCCTTCCTTTCTCCCTCCCTCCCTCTTTCCCTCCTTCCTTTCTTCCCTTCCTCTCTTCCTCCCTTTCTCCCTTCCCTCCCTTCCCTCCCTCACTTCATTTCTTCTCTCACTCTGTTTTGTATTTTAGACAGAGTCTTGCTCTGTTGCTCAGGCTGGAGTGCAATGGCACAATCTTGGCTTACTGCCACCTCCATCTTCTGGGTTCCTGGATTCTCCTGCCTCAGTTTCCCAAGTAGCTGGGATTACAAGTGCACACCACCATGCCCGGCTGATTTTTGTATTCCAAGTTCAAGCAATTCTCCTGCCTCAACCTCTGAGTAGCTGGGACTACAGGCCCGCACCACCACACCTGGCTAATGTTTGTATTTTTAGTAGAGATGGGGTTTCACCATGTTGGCCAGGCTGGTCTCGAACTCCTGACCTCAAGTGATCTGCCTGCCTCAGCCTCCCAAATGCTGGGATTACAGGCGTGAGCCACCATGCCCAGCCTCTTCCTTCTCTTTCTTTTCTTCCCTTTCTTTCTTGTCTTCTTTTTTTAAAAAGAAGTTTTATTACAAAAAAACAAAAACAAAGCAAAACCCAAACGGCAATAATGGTAAGGAAACTTTTTTTAAAAGAAGTATTATATTACCCACAGTCCCTCTAGTCAACCGCCCTACAGTATTTTAGTAACATCAAGGGATACTTACAAGTGAATCAATAAATCTCAGCTGCATAGCACAATGCCACTTCCATACTCATCTTTATTCAGGCTTATTTTGTATGGTCACATTCAGGGCAGAAGCTATTTTCATCCTGTCTGGGTTTTTTTCCCCCTCATCTAGGTCCACAATTTTTTGTTTTCCTTTTTTTTTTTTTTTTTTTTTGAGACAGGTCTCACTCTGTCTCCCAGGCTGGGGTGCGGTGGCACGATCACGGCTCACTGCAGCCTCCAGCTCCTGGGCTCAACAATCCTCCTGACTCAGCCTCCCGAGTTGGGATCACAGGTGCATGCCACCACATCTGGCTAATTTTAAAAAACATTTTTTGTAGATATGGGGTCTTGCTTTATTGCCCAGGCTGGTCTTGAACTCCGGGCCTCGAGAGAGCCTCCTGCCTCGGCCTCCCATACTGCTTTCCTTTGAAATGGCTGTGTCTACTAACAGGCTAGGTCATGACTGGCTAAACCCTTTCCCCAGTGTTGGATATTTGGGTTATTTCCAATATTGTATTTGACACCTGTGTGTATTTGCTCTGAGTTTATCTGAGTTTATAGAGTTACATGAGCAGGTAGTTACTTTTTTTTTTCTTTTTTTTTGAGACGGAGTCTTGCTCTGTCGCCCAGGCTGGAGTGCAACGGCATGATCTCGGCTCACTGCAACCTCCATCTCCCAGGTTCAAACAATTCTCCTGCCTCAGCCTCCTGAGTAGCTGGGATTACAGGCACGCGCCACCATACCTGGCTAATTTTTGTATTTTTAGTAGAGATGGGGTTTCACCATGTTGGTCAGGCTGGTCGCAAACTCCTGACCTCGTGATCCTCCCACTTTGGCTTCCCAAAGTGCTGGGATTACAGGTGTGGGCCACTGTGCCCGGCCGATAGTTACATTTTTAATTGTTTGTTACAGCTGTTATCTAATTAGTAGTCACCGTAGGCCATTCACTGTAAAAGCTTGACCTTGTTTAATCTTCAGGATAATCTGACACTAATTGTTTCAGTTATCTACTGTTGCCTAACAAACCATCCCCAAATTAAGTGGGTTAAACAATCCAGCACTAAGCTGGTGTCTGGTGCCTGTGGGGGATATGCTGGAAGGCAGGCTTGGTGGGGACGGCTGAGCCTCTTATTTCAGGTGGCCTTCCTCCATGGGTGCCTCCAATAAGGCAGCTGGACTTCTCTCATCGTGGCTCAGGGCTTCCAAAAGTGCAAAAGCCGAAGAAACCAAGGCTTCTGAGACCTATAACTGGCATGGTGTCACTTCCACCGCACGTTACTGATGAGAGTGGGACTCAGCCAGGCCAGGTCCAGTGTGGGAGGGAACCAGGTGTGGTTCACTGGGGGCCATCTTTTGAGACAGCTACAGCACAGTTATCCTCATCATGCATGGAGAAAGGCAGAGGCCCGGAGAGGTTAAGTCCCATGCCCAAAGTGTGTCTGACTCCAAAGCCCCTGCTTTGAACCACACTGCCTCTGGGGAAGAGAGTTCAGCCATGGATAGAATTTAGAAACAAAGAATGTGACTTTTTTTATTATTGATCTAATTATGGTTTGTGTGGCTTTCAAAAATGGCCAAATTAGCTGGGCATGGTGGCTCACGCCTGCAATCCCAGCACTTTGGGAGGCTGAGGCTGGTGGATCACTTGATGTCAGGAGTTTGAGATCAGCCTGGCCAACATGGTAAAACCTCCTCTCTACTAAAAATACAAAAATTAGCCAGTCATGGTGGTGGGCACCCATAATCCCAACTACTCAGGAGGCTGAGGCAGGAGAATCACTTGAACCCGGGAGACGGAGGTTGCAGTGAGTGGAGATCACGCCACTGCACTCCAGAGCCTGGGCATCAGAGCGAGACTCTGTCTCAAAAGAAAACCCAAAACGGCAAAATCAATTCCTTAACATGCCTGATAGAATGTGAGGGTGCCAGGACTCCCCAGCCTCTCCAGATGAGAGGACTGCAAATGATGTCTTTCCAGAATCAATCACATCTCAGTAGAGTCATCTTCCTTTCCTCCCCGACAGGACACAGCTATTTCATCATAAGAATGGGGCCCGAAAAAGTGCCAAGAAGATCCTCATTGTCATCACAGATGGGCAGAAGTACAAAGACCCCCTGGAATACAGTGATGTCATCCCCCAGGCAGAGAAGGCTGGCATCATCCGCTACGCTATCGGGGTGCGCCTCTTCTTCACCCCTGCCCCAGGCTCAGCCTGCATCTCCTTCAGGTGCAGTGCTGCTGGGCTCATCCTCCTCGGCTGTCTCTCTGCTGCAGGTGGGACACGCTTTCCAGGGACCCACTGCCAGGCAGGAGCTGAATACCATCAGCTCAGCGCCTCCGCAGGACCACGTGTTCAAGGTGGACAACTTTGCAGCCCTTGGCAGCATCCAGAAGCAGCTGCAGGAGAAGATCTATGCAGTTGAGGGTAAATGGAAGCAAGGGTGCGCCTGGGAGCCAAGGGGTCCCCACCCAATTGTCCCGTGCAGGCTTTTTTTTTTTGAGATGGAGTCTCACTTTGTCCCCAGGCTGGAGTGTAGTGGCACGATCTCGGCTCACTGCAACCTCTGCCTCCTGGGTTCAAGTGATTCTCTCGCCTCAGCCTCCTGAGTACCTGGGATTACAGACACGCACCACCATGCCCAGCTAATTTTTGTATTTTTAGTAGAGGCGGGGTTTTGTCATGTTGGCCAGGCTGATCTCGAACTCCTGACCTCAGGTGATCCGCCAACCTTAGCTTCTCAAAGTGCTGGGATTACAGGCGTGAGCCACTGCGCCCAGCCTGTCCCGCACAGTCTTGATGGGCCATTCCTGTTCACAACTCACTCAAAATTGCTGTCTGGAACCCAAGCCTCAGATCATGTTCTCCTCCCTGTGTTCTGAGTCCTCATGGGTCTCATGGCTTCTAGGAACTTCACTGACCTGTTTCCCCACAGGAACCCAGTCCAGGGCAAGCAGCTCCTTCCAGCACGAGATGTCCCAAGAAGGCTTCAGCACAGCCCTCACAATGGTGGGTAGAGCCTGCCCTCAATCCATAGCTCTTGGATACCAACTCTGCACCCACCCTGGGCTGGGGGCTGGGAGCCAGACATAAACAAGAGCAGACCCCATCCTCAATCGCCAGGGAGAGGCCCCCACGCGTGTGTTAGGGGCCAGGAGCACAGCAGGGAGGAGGGTAGCCTGGGTTCCTGCTCTCAAGGATCATGTATTCTAGTGGAGGAGACAGTAAGCAAGAGCCTCTCAGATAGCACTAAGCATCAGGGTAGAGAGAGAGATAGCCAGAGGAGCCTCAGTAATGGAAAAGGCCAGCCCTGGACAAATCAGGGGAGACTGTTCTGGGCACAGGACAAAGCAAGTGCCAAGGTCCTGAGGCAGGACCCAGGTCCTCGGCGGGAGAGATCCGGGCTTGCCAGAGCCCAGGGAGCCCAGGCAGCCTGGAAGGAGAGGGCTGGAGGCTGAGAAGGACCAGGTGGGATCAAAGATGTGGTTTGGAAGTGCGTGTGTGTTCAAAGGATCCAGATGGGGCCGGTCACTGTGGCTCATGCCTGTAATCCCAGCACTTTGGGAGGCTGAGACGGGCGGATCACTTGAGGTCAGGAGTTTGAGACCAACTGGCCAACATGGCGAAACCCCACCTCTACTAAAAATACAAAAAAATTAGCCAGGTGTGGTGGCTCATGCCTGTAATCCTAGCTACTTGGGAGGCCAAGGCAGGAGAATTGCTTGAACCCAGGAGGCAGAGGTTGCACTGAGCCGAGATTGTGCCACTGCACTTCAGCCTAGGTGACAGAACGAGTCTCTGTCTCAAAACAACAACAACAACAAAAACAAAAACAAAACAAAACAAAGCAAAAAAAAACAAAAACAAACCCAGATGGGTTTACTTCAGAGTAATTTGGGGGTGTCTAGGGGGTGGTGAAATGAAATAAGATTGGTCAAGAATTGATCACTCAAGGTAGGTCACACATACTTGGGGGTTCATTATACATTTATTTCTACTTCTGTATGTGTTCTAAATTATCCATATCAAAAGTTCAAGAAAGCAATAAACAAAGTACACCCAGGAGGAAATGCCTGTGGCTCCCTGAAGGAGCTGAGGAAGACCTCACAGAGGAGGCGACATTGACGTTGACTTTTCCAGCTGGGCATAGTGACTCACACCTGTAATCCCAACATTTTAAGAGGCTGACGTGGGAGGGTCACTTGAGGCCAGGAGTTTGAGATCAGCCTGGGCAACATAGTGAGACCCTGTCTCTACAAAAAATAAAAAAAAATTAGCCAGGCATGGTGGCACATGCCTGTGGTCTCAACTACTCAGGAGGCTGAGATGGGGGGATTGCATGAGTCCAGGAGTTCAAGACTGCAGTGAGCGATGATTGTGCCACTGCATCACAGCCTGTGTGACAGAGCAACAGCCTGTCTCAAAAAAAAAAAAAAAAAAAAGAAAGGATGAAGTTGACTCTTCCAGGGAGGGGAAATGAGCTGAGTCCCAGAAAACAAGAAGGGGAGGGAGGTGTCCTGGCCAAAGGCTTGATGTGCTTTGGAACAGAGGGAGGCTCCATGGCTTTGATGGGGAAGGGTCCTAGGTACCACCGTAAGGGCCTTGGTGATGGTTTTCCAGCAGGGGTGGCTGCACATTTGGGTTTGGGAAAGCCTGGCACTGGGGCAGTAGACAGAGAGGCAGTGGTGAGCACAGCGGGGGCAGACAGGGTGGAGAGTGAGAGGAGAGGGGGCTGGCGGAGCAGTGGCTGTGGGGACAGGCAGAGGCACAGAGGCTGCTGGTGCGGGCCGGGAAGACAGAGAAGAAAAGCCTGGATGGCGAGTGATGCGGGTGGCAGGCGTGTCTCTGGGATATGCTGTCTTCCCGCTCTAGTCTCTGCCCAGCCCTGGAATTCTTTCCTCCCAGGATGGCCTCTTCCTGGGGGCTGTGGGGAGCTTTAGCTGGTCTGGAGGTGCCTTCCTGTATCCCCCAAATATGAGCCCCACCTTCATCAACATGTCTCAGGAGAATGTGGACATGAGGGACTCTTACCTGGGTGAGAAACGGCCAGGGGTTGGGGACAGGTTGGAGATGCACTGCCCAGGGTGGGGTCCAGGGTTCTGGGGAGGGGGGATGGGCGCTGTGCTGCCTGGGGTGGGTTCCAGGGTTCTGGGGAGGGGAGATGGGGGCTGCGCTGCCTGGGGTGGGGGTCCAGGGTTCTGGGGAGGGGGAATGGGGGCCTTTGTGCTGAGGCCTGGGCCCCTCAGGTTACTCCACCGAGCTAGCCCTGTGGAAGGGGGTACAGAACCTGGTCCTGGGGGCCCCCCGCTACCAGCATACCGGGAAGGCTGTCATCTTCACCCAGGTGTCCAGGCAATGGAGGAAGAAGGCCGAAGTCACAGGGACGCAGGTTGGGCGTGACAGGAGCCAGAGGGGAGGATGAGGGTGGGGAGGATGAGGGTGGGGACAGTGGCCGGGGCTAGGGAGAGGATGGAGGGGCTTTGGGGGCCTTGGGAGAGGTCCTGGTACCTGGGGAGAGGCGGGACCCTGGCCCACAGGGCTGCCTCTGGCTGGGACAGGCAGCATGACCCAGGCTCTGCCCTCCAGATCGGCTCCTACTTCGGGGCCTCCCTCTGCTCTGTGGATGTGGACAGCGATGGCAGCACCGACCTGATCCTCATTGGGGCCCCCCATTACTATGAGCAGACCCGAGGGGGCCAGGTGTCCGTGTGTCCCTTGCCTAGGGGGGTGAGTGGCTGATGGGACCTAGGCTGGGTGGGGTCCGGTGTGAGTGGAGGCGTCACCTGGATTGGGGTCTGACACTGCTTGTGTTCAGCAGAGGGTGCAGTGGCAGTGTGACGCTGTTCTCCGTGGTGAGCAGGGCCACCCCTGGGGCCGCTTTGGGGCAGCCCTGACAGTGTTGGGGGATGTGAATGAGGACAAGCTGATAGACGTGGCCATTGGGGCCCCGGGAGAGCAGGAGAACCGGGGTGCTGTCTACCTGTTTCACGGAGCCTCAGAATCCGGCATCAGCCCCTCCCACAGCCAGGTGAGGCCCGTCTTCAGCCTCTTTTAGTCCCAGCTCCTTCCCATGTCCTGAGTTCACTGAACGCAGCCTCCTGTCTCTGTCACCATTCCCTTCCTTGTTGCAGTGGTTTGTCAGCTAAGCACACGTCATCTCTCTTCTCTCCTTTGTTCCAGAAAGCCTTCCATCTGTGTGGGCAGCTTAATGGTTAGGAGAGCAGACTTTGAGGTCAGAGGCCAGTTCAAATCCCTGGCCGGGCCGGCCATCCTGAGCTGTGTGGCCTTAGGCAGGTGACTGACAGCCTTGGTCAGCCTTAGTTTCTTTCTATAAAACGCAGAAATGATAAAACCAACTCCTTAGGCCTCTTGTAGAAATAACAGTGAGAGTGCTAAGGCAATCACCACTGCACTCACTGAAGGTTCATGAGTGACCTGACCAGTGATGAATACACAAATATATTATACGCCTATTGTTACGCTCTTACTTCCTCACCAACCTGCACCCTCATGACGGGTTGGACCCAAAGAGCCCCCTTCTCTGTTTGGGGGTCCCGAGGTCCTCACCCTGTTTGCTTTTTTTTTTTCTTTTTTTTTTGAGACAGAGTCTCACTCTGTCGCCCAGGCTGGAGTGCAGTGGCGTAATCTTGGCTCACTGCAACCTCCCGAGTAGCCTCCCGAGTAGCTGAGATTATAGGCTTCTGCCACCATACCCGGCTAATTTTTGTATTTTTAGTAGAGATGGGGTTTCACCATGTTGGCCAGGCTGGTCTCGAACTCCTGACCTCAGGTGATCTGCTTGTCTCAGCCTCCCAAAGTGCTCGGATTACAAGCGTGAGCCACTCCGCCTGGCTGTATTTGCTTTCAATTTCTATCTCCACATCTCTCCTTTCCAATTTCTGTCTTCTGATCCTCTTTCACCACAATCTGTTTTCCAAATCTCTCCTCTCAAACCTTTCCCATCACCTCCCTTTGACTTCCGCCACTCCCATCTCTCTGGCCAGCGGGTTGCTGGAAAGATGAGCAAACGGAGGGACAGACAGATTGAGTCCTTGCCCACGGCCTCGTGGCTCATACGTGGAGGAGTCAGAATTGGAACTAGAGATTGATTGAATGAATGACACTCGGGTCACCAGGACACCCTTCCAATCTCCACTCCTACATCTATTTCTTAGCAATCATCTCCCGACTCCTACCTCCTCTTTTCAGGCTCTTGTTGGTGACATCTGTTCACAGCTCACCCCTTCTCTCCCTTTGCCACCATCCTACCTCCATATTCCCCTTGTTACTTATTTCCAACTTCTTCCCCCATCTTCCAGCCTGATTCACCCTTTTCTCTTCTGGCCAGCGGATTGCCAGCTCCCAGCTCTCCCCCAGGCTGCAGTATTTTGGGCAGGCGCTGAGTGGGGGTCAGGACCTCACCCAGGATGGACTGATGGACCTGGCCGTGGGGGCCCGGGGCCAGGTGCTCCTGCTCAGGTAGCGACTCCCCAACATCCTGCCCTCCCGCGCTGTGTCTGATTCACCGGTGCTGCCTCCCCAGCCACGTTATCCTCCCAGAAGCCAGTGTTCTGTCCTCCCCACTACTCTGCCCCTCAGGAGTCTGCCGGTGCTGAAAGTGGGGGTGGCCATGAGATTCAGCCCTGTGGAGGTGGCCAAGGCTGTGTACCGGTGCTGGGAAGAGAAGCCCAGTGCCCTGGAAGCTGGGGACGCCACCGTCTGTCTCACCATCCAGAAAAGCTCACTGGACCAGCTAGGTGTGTTTCCCCCATAAAGGGGGCCCAGGCCCCTCATTCCATTAGGGGCCCCAATGCCATCCTGAGGATGGGATGGGCCTAGGAATCCAATCTTACCTCCACATTCACTCACCACCTGTGCCAGAAACCTGGCTCATTCTCTCCCCTCTTCCTCACACCTGGGCCTGTGGATTCTGTCTCCAGGGCTGACCTGAAGTCCACCCAGTTCTCTCCTGGGCCCCAGCCACTGCCTTCCCCCAGCCCCTGATTCCCTTCCACCTACACCAAAGTCATGACATGAAGCAGTTCCCACATCTCTTCTTGCACCCTCCCACCCATTTTCCACAGAGGAACTAGAGTCGACTGGTCCTAAAATGCAAATCTGGGCTCCTCACTCCCCTGCGTAACCCGCCTTGCATTTACAAAGACTCCAGTCCTTCCCTCCAGTGCCCTCTCTGACTTGGCCTCCTGGCCTCTCTGACCTCATAGCATCCCACTCCTCCTTACTAGGCACGCTTTTCGTAAATGCACCAGCTTTGCTCTCCCTTCTGGTCTTAGGCCCTGTTCCCATGGTCCCGGATGTTCTCCCCACTCCTCACCTGGCTCCTGCTCATTCTCCAGGTGGCTGCTTAGCCATGGTCCATCCGGGATGGCAGCCTGGCCAGGTCCAGCAAGCATGCTCTCCTTAGAACCACAGGAGAGCCTCCCCTCGCACTGATCACGCTGCAACATCACGTCCCATGTGCTTGGCTTCTTTCTTAGATTGTGAGGTTCATGAGAGTGGGGGCCATATCTATCTAGCTAGCTAATCTATCATCTATCTGCCAAATCTGTCATCTATCTATTATCTATTAATCTAATCACCTATCTAATCTATCATCTATCTACCAATCTATCACCTATTATCTATCATCTATCACCTATCTAATCTATCCTCTACCAAATCTATCATCTATTATCTATCATCTGTCTATCTAATCTGTCACCTATTTAATCTATCATCTATTTATCTATTATCTAGCCATCCATCCATCCATCCATCCATCCATCCATCCATCCATCATCTATCCGTCCATCTATCTTCTTCACATGTATCCCCAGCACGTGGTACAGTTCATGGCCCATAGCAGTGTCCAGCAAACATGTATTGCATGAACAAATAATGAAAACAGAGCATTCTAGGTTATTTCTGCCTTTTCATTTTGCACTCTCCCCTGCACTTCAGGTGACATCCAAAGCTCTGTCAGGTTTGATCTGGCACTGGACCCAGGTCGTCTGACTTCTCGTGCCATTTTCAATGAAACCAAGAACCCCACTTTGACTCGAAGAAAAACCCTGGGACTGGGGATTCACTGTGAAACCCTGAAGCTGCTTTTGCCAGTGAGGACTTTGGGTTCTGGGAAGGGGGAGAGAGGAGGAGCCCAAGGCTGGCCTGGAGCACCCCCGTTCTCTGCTGAGCGAGGTGGGAAGGGTTAGGATGTTGGGGCTGGAGAGAGGGACATTAGGGCAGGAGAACCTGGCTCCACGGCTTGGAGGGAGCACTGTCAGGGCAGTGGGGAGTGGATGCAGTGGAGGAGGACTTGTGGTGGAGCGTAGAGAGGACAGCAGGTTCTTGAAAGCCTGTTCTCTCTCAGGATTGTGTGGAGGATGTGGTGAGCCCCATCATTCTGCACCTCAACTTCTCACTGGTGAGAGAGCCCATCCCCTCCCCCCAGAACCTGCGTCCTGTGCTGGCCGTGGGCTCACAAGACCTCTTCACTGCTTCTGTGAGTCTTCTGATGAAGTCCCAGGGATGTGCTGACTTCATTTTGTCTCCATGAGCTTAAGAATCCACTGTAGCTCCCCAACACCCAACCACATCCAGTCCAGAAACCTGACTCCAGTCTCTCCCTTCCTCCTCACACCCAGGCCTGTGGGTTCTGTCTCCAGGACTGACATGAAGTCCACCCATTTCTCCTCCTGGTCCCAGCTGCTGCCTTCCCCCAGCCCCTCGATTCTCTCCCACCTACACCAGAGTTGACACGAAATGGTTCCCATATCTATTGTTGTATCCTCCCACCCATTTTCCATAGAGGAGCTAGAGTCGACTGGTCCTAAAATGCAAATCTAGGCTCTTCACTCCCCTGCGTAATCCCCCTTGCATTTACAAAGATCCCAGTCCTTCCCTCTGATGTCCTCTCTGACTTGGCCTCCTGGCCTCTCTGGCTTCACGGCATCCCACTCGCCCTTACTAGGCACGCTTTTCATAAATGCGCCAGCCTCGCTCTCCCTTCTGGTCTTAGGCCCTTCTCCCACCTCCATCCACACACCCAGGAACTGTACACATCCTAGGCAGTTCCCACTTTTCCCTAGCACAGACTCTCTTGTTCATTCCCAGATCCCTCCCAAGTTTCCTCATTCCTACCTCTGTGCCTTTGTCCCTGTTTCGCCCCTCACTTGGAAAACAGTGCCTTCTGCCTTCTCTCCCCGTTTTCCCCCGAAGCTCCAGCCTTACCTCCCTCTCTTCTGAAGGCCACACTCAGCATCTGCCGCTCCTTCTCTGGTCCCTGTTACACCAAGGTGGTGCCACAGCAGATATCACATGGCTGTTATAACCATCTGCATCTACATTTGAGGCTGTCTTGGGACTGTAGTTTCTTTGAGCATAGGAACCATGTCGAATTTGCCTGTCATTTCCACCTTCCCCCAGCCCTCGCCCAACCCAGAACCTGCACAATTATTGGCACTTAATAATGTTTGTGGAATAATTGTTCCAGGATAAGCTGGATGTAACTCAACTGAACTTTATGTCCCTTGAAGCCAAGGATCTTGTCTTATCTTTCTTTTATATGCCAACCTCCAAACCGCACCTGCGCCCCTTGTTGGTGTCCAGCAAAGTGCTGGGGGCAGTGGCTTAGTAATGCTCAATGTTGGAGAGTGCTTCTAAGGAGGGGCTTGGAGAAAGACTAAGATGTCAGATGGGAACAGAATATACTATTTTGCTGCAGCTCCCCTTCGAGAAGAACTGTGGGCAAGATGGCCTCTGTGAAGGGGACCTGGGTGTCACCCTCAGCTTCTCAGGGTGAGCTGTAACTCCCTTCATATCCAGACACTCAGGCTTCTGAGTCCCCCATCCTCCTGGGATGCTTGTGCTGCTCTCTGGCTCTTTCTAACAAAAGTGATGTTCACTGGATTGTTATTGGCCCAGAGCTCCAGAGTTCCTGGGATTCTGCCCTGCCCTTCCCAGTTCCCACCTATTTCCAGTGGAGCGCCACTCCCAGCCTCGTCCTTCCCCTTCAGCCTGCAGACCCTGACCGTGGGGAGCTCCCTGGAGCTCAACGTGATTGTGACTGTGTGGAACGCAGGTGAGGATTCCTACGGAACCGTGGTCAGCCTCTACTATCCAGCAGGGCTGTCGCACCGACGGGTGTCAGGAGCCCAGGTAACAACTGCTGTAGGCTCTAGTGGGAGGGGGCCTCTCCCCTGCCCTGTAGCCCCGGGAGTTACACAGTGTTCTTCAAAATTGTTCTGTGATGATATGTGCTCTCTCTCTCTCTCTCACACACACACACATACACACAGAGAAAGTGCATAAAGCATACATACGGTTTAATGAATAATATTAAACAAACCATAGAGTTAACATCCAGATCAAGAAATAAATCACTGCTAGCATCCCCAGAACCCCCTCCCTGTTTACCTTTCCCCATCACAGCTCCATCCTGTCCCCAAAGGTCATCACTATTCTGACTTTGTGGTCATTTCCTTGTATCTCTCTCTCTCTCTCCTTCCCCCCTCCCTCCCCCCTCCCTCCCTCCCTTACTTCCTCCCTCCCTCCCTCCCTCCCTCTTTTTTTTGAGACTGAGTCTTACTCTGTCACCCAGGCTGGAGTGCAGTGGCACAATCACCACTCACTGCAGCCTAGACCTCTTGGGCTCAAGCAATCCTCCCACGTCAGCCTCCCAAGTAGCTGGGACTACAGGTGCATGCCACTACGCCCAGCTAATATTTATTTATTTATTTATTTATTTATTTATTTATTTATTTATTTTTTAGAGACAGGGTCTCACCATGCTGCCCAGGCTGGTCTCAAACTCCTGGGCTCAAGTAATCCTCCCACCTCAGCCCTTAAAGTGCTGAGATTACAGGTGTGAACCACCACACCTGACCATATTGTTTCTGTGTGTGGGTCTTATTTAAGAAACACTTCCAGGTTATGAAAATAGCCCCCTATATTATATTCCAAAAGCTTCATGGTTTTGCTTTTTCACATTTAAGTATTTAATCCAGTTGGAATTTATTTTAATTTATGGAGTGAGGTAGGGATCCAATTTCTTTTTCTTCTTTCTCCTCCTCTTCCTCTTGTACTTTCTTTACTTTTCTTCTGCTTTTTAAAAAATTTTTTGTATGGGTCAATTTTCCTGGCATTGATGGAAATTGATTGAAAAGTCTGTCCTTGGCCGGGTGCAGTGGCTCACACCTGTAATCCCAGCACTTTGGGAGGCCAAGGCGGGTGGATCACCTGAGGTCAGGAGTTTGAGACTGGCCTGGCCAACATGGTGAAACCCCATTTCTACTGAAAATACAAAAATATTAGCCAGGCATGGTGGCAGGCACCTGTAATCCCAGCTACTCAAGAGCCTGTGGCAGGGGAATTGCTTGAACCCAGGAGGTGGAGGTTGCAGTGAACCACGATCATGCCATTGCACTCCAGCCTGGGTGACAAGAGTGAAATCCGTCTCAAAAAAAAACAACAACAAAAAAAGAAAAGTCTGTCATTTTCCCTAGTGCTCTGCAGTGCCACCACTGCTGTGTATCAAGCCCACACATGCATGCGGGTAACTTCTTAAAATTCATTCTCCTCCCCTAGAAGCAGCCCCATCAGAGTGCCCTGCGCCTGGCATGTGAGACAGTGCCCACTGAGGATGAGGGCCTAAGAAGCAGCCGCTGCAGTGTCAACCACCCCATCTTCCATGAGGGCTCTAACGTCAGTGCTTCTCCCTAAATCCCCATCACTGTCCTCCCTTGTCCCAATCTGTCCCTCACTCTGCCATGCCCTTCCTTTTATCCCCATTCTTTCCTTCTTCTTCCCTCAGGGCACCTTCATAGTCACATTCGATGTCTCCTACAAGGCCACCCTGGGAGACAGGATGCTTATGAGGGCCAGTGCAAGCAGGTGGGTCCAGGCCAGGGTATCCCCCACCCTCCATCGCATGCCCCGGCTAGAGACCCCTCTCCTGGATTCCTTCCCATTGGTCCCTCCTTTCTGTCTCCAGTGAGAACAATAAGGCTTCAAGCAGCAAGGCCACCTTCCAGCTGGAGCTCCCGGTGAAGTATGCAGTCTACACCATGATCAGCAGGTGCCCAGTCCCTGGCCTTCCCCTTGGACCTCTGGCCTTCCTCTATGCCTGGTACTCCTTCTGAGTCCCAGCCTGCTCTTCCAATGATGCACATCTAAGCTCTCCTGTTTTGGGATGCCTTTGTGGGTGAATGGCCATATATAATGACATTTATGCTGCATAAAGATGTTTCTGGGCTGGGCGCGGTACCTCGCGCCTGTAACCCCAGCACTTTGGGAGGCTGAGGCAGGTGGTTCACCTGAGGTCAGGAGTTCGAGACCAGCTTGGCCAACATGGTGAAACCCCATCTCTACTAAAAATACAAAATAAATTAGCTGGGCGTGGTCATGCGTGCCTGTAATCCCAGCTACTTGGGAGGCTGACGCAGGAGAATCACTTGAATCCGGGAGGCGGAGGTTGCAGTGAGCCGAGATCATGCCACTGCACTCCAGCCTGGGTGACAGAGGGAGACTCTGTCTCAAAAAAAAAAAAAAAAAAAATTAGCTGGGCCTGGTGGCGCATGCCTGTAATCCCAGCTACTCAGGAGGCTAAGGCAGGAGAATCTCTTGAACCTGGGAGGCGGAGGTTGCAGTGAGCTGAGATTGTGCCACTGCACTCCAGCCTGGGCAATAGAGCAAGATTCTGTCTCAAACAAAAAAAAAAAAAAAAGGTGTTTTTGTCAACAGTGGACCCACATTTACTACGGGTGGTCTCCTAAAATTATAACGGAGTTGAAAAATCTCCTAATGATGTCATAGCAGTTGTAACATTGTAGTGCAACTCATTGCCTTTTTTATGTCTAGATACACAAATACTTTCCATTGTGTTACAATTGCCTACAATATCCAGTACAGTAACACGCTGCATGGGTTTGTAGCCCAGGAGCAATAGGCTATACCATATCACCTAGCTGTGCAGTAGGCTCTACCATCTAGGTTTGCATAAGTGCAACCTATGATGTTTGCACAATGATGAAATTGCCTAAGGCCGGGCGCAGTGGCTCACACCTGTAATCCCAGCACTTTGGGAGGCTGAGGCAGGCGGATCACCTGAGGTCAGGAGTTCAAGACCAGCCTGGCCAACATGGCGAAACCTTGTCTTTACTAAAAACGCAAACATTAGCCAGGCGCAGTGGCACACGCCTGTAATCCCAGCTACTGGGGAGGTTAAGGCAAGAGAATCGCTTGAACTTGGGAGGCGGAGATTGCGGTGAGCTGAGATCGCGCTGCTGCATGCCAGCTCAGGGGTGACAGATTAAGGCTCTGTCTCAAAAAAAAAAAAAAAAAAAGAAAAAAAAAGAAAAGAAAAAGAAATTGCCTAACGATTAATTTCTTGGAATGTATCCTTGGTGTATTTGTACCCTAATAATATATACCATAGCTCTTGCTGCTTCTCTCAAATCGACTTGCTGGTGGGACACACACACATTGCCACCACTGTGCCTTTCCCCCTCTCCCTCTAAAAGGAAGGCTTCCTTTTTTAACATGAAACAAATTCTGTCCTTTGTATTAAATGTGAATGTGCTGAAGCAAAGCTGCTACATGGAGATCAAGGCTTTTCTGAGCACCCTGAATTGGGGAGCTTGTGCCCAACAGGATATGGTCTGTCACCACACAGAGGAAAGGAAAGGTCAGGTTTCTATAAAACTCAGAGTGGGGCAGAGGTGTGAGAAACTGTTGGGAAGGTCTCTTAAGAGCCTGGCCAAGGCAGCGCAGGAAAGGCAAGTGTAGGGCTGAAGGCAAGAGGGTTCTGCAGGTGGTGGAGGCACAGGGGCAGGCGAGGCTGGATGCAGAGCAAGGCATCCCATACACTGGGCTGAAAGACTGTAACACTGCTGTGGGACAAAGTTTGCTGCTATTGCTTTTTTTTTTTTAGACGGAATCTCACTCTTTCACCCAGGCTGGAGTTCAGTGGTGCAATCTGGGCTCACTGCAACCTCCACCTCCCAGGTTCAAGTGATTCTCCTGCCTCAGCCTCCCGAGTAGTTGGATTACAGGCATGCACAACCACATCTAGCTAATTTTTTGTTTGTTTGTTTGTTTGTTTTTGAGATGGAGTTTCACTCTTGTTGCCCAGGCTGGAGTGCAATGTTGCGATCTCAGCTCACTGAAATCTCCGCCTCCCAGGTTCAAGTGATTCTCCTGCCTCAGCCTCTCGAGTAGCTGGGACTACAGGCATGTGCCACCATGCCTGGCTAGTTTTGTATTTTTAGTAGAGACAGGGTTTCACCATGTTGGTTAGGCTGGTCTTGAACTCGTGACCTCAGGTGATCCACCCCCACCCGAGGGCCTCCCAAAGTGCTGGGATTACAGGCATGAGCCACCACACCTGTCCACTGTTGCTTCTGATGTATTAAGTTGTTAGGGGAAGGAGCGAGGGAGATCAAGCAGTGTCATTGTCCTTTCAAGCCACATGTAGGTTTCCCTTTCTATCCACAGGAAAATACTTACAATAAGAGCTTACAGTTATATATACCCATGTCAGGCACGTTTTATGTTGCTGTTGTTTTATGGTGGTTTTCTTACACCATCTTAAGTACTTTATATGTATTTACATTTATTTAATCCTACCAATAATTATATTGTTATCCCTATTTTCACCAACAAAGACATCAAGAAGTGAAATACTTTGTTCCTGTCAATCTCCAAGTGGGCAGCAGAACCAGGAATCAGACCCAGACGGTTTGGCTGCAGAGCCCATGCCCATGGCCATACATGGCATGCCTCTCCAAGGACTGGGGAAAGCTGGGTGGTTTACTTAGATCTGAAAACAGGCTTAGGCTGCGCACGGTGGCTCGTGCCTGTAATCCCAGCACTTTGGGAGGCCAAGTGCTGGGATTACAGGCATGAGTGGGAGGATGGCTTGAGCCCAGGAGTTTAAGACCAGCCTGGGCAACATAGTGAGAACCCATCTCTACCAAAAAAAAAAAATTAAAAATGAAAATAAAATAAAACTTTAAAAATGAAAAGAGGTTTAGAACTAGATTTTAAGATGAGAAAACAGAAGCATAGAGAGAAGGGTTTGGGGTGGGGGGCACAGAGGAAAACCGGCATACTTAGGGAAAAATAAACCTTAAGATTTATGGAGGAGTCCCTGTGTGCTGGGCACTACCAAGCCCTGGTCACAACTCTACTACAGGGAGGTTGCTACGGTTTGCATCCCCATTTTAAAGAGTGAAAAGCTACAGTTTCCAGAGACGTGAAGTGGCTTGCCTCAGTGACTCAGGTAGGAAGTGGTCGACCTGAGATGTGAACCTAGGCGGTTTGACACTGGAGCCCATGTTTTTAGTCATCAGGCTGATGGGGGGTGGACTGCTGGGGCTGTTTCTGTGTGGCTGGTCTGGCTGCTGCATGCGAGGTGCAGGCCCCTCTGCTGGTCTGCTTACTTTTGCTTTTTGTTTGTTTTGAGACAGGGTCTCACTCTGTCACCCAGGCTGGAGGGGAGTGGTGTGAACATAGCTTACTGCAGCCTCGACCTCCCAGGCTCAAGCAATCCTCCTGCCTCAGCCTCCTGAGTAGCTGGGACCACAGGCGTGTGCCACCACTTGCAGCTAATGTTTGTATTTTTTTTTTTTTTTGCAGAGACGAGGTCTCTCTGTGTTGCCCAGGCCAGTCTTGAACTCCTGGGCTCAAGCGATTCTTCTGCCTTAGTCTCTCTAAGTGTTGGGATTACAGGCGTGAGCCACCTCGCCTGGCCAGCTTGCTCATTTTTACTAAAACTTTAGATGTTAAGTGGTGAGAGGGCAGGGAGTTATGGCTTAACTTGAATCCCCAGTGCCAACCACACAGCCTGTGTTTGCTGAAGGAAGTTTGGGTGGAAAGACCCCACCTGCTGCCTGGAACACTGATGTCCCTTCCACAGGCTTGTGCACAGGCACTATCTTCCTTCACATTTACTCACCTGCCCCAGGACAGCCGAATCTATTTTCTTCATTCCCACCATGAAGGGGCCCTCACTCCATGTCTTCCTGAGTGATCCAGCTCTCATTCCTAGAGTCCCCTTAGGCTAACTTGTTCTGCTACAATCTCTGTAAGCATTACCAGAGGCCAAACACTACCTATTAGAGAAAGCAATGCAAACGCCTTTGCCCCATGTAGGAGACATGAGGTTTAAGTTGGGTCTTTAAGTGTAAATTTCCAAAACTGGAGACAGTAAGAACGTTCCAAGGAGAAGAGCTTGAGCAAAGTCATGAGGCTATGAAAGAGCCAGCGGTGTGCATGGCAGAGCTAGTGGATCTGGGTGATGGGGGCAAGGGACATCGGAGGGAGGGGAGCTGAAGCCGAGGCAGCAAAGGTTATGTGGGACCATCTTTTACTTATTTACTTTGAATAGGGACAGGGTCTCACGATGTTGCCCCAGCTGGTCTGGAACTCCTGGGTTCAAGAAACCCTCCTGCCCCAGCCTCCCAAAGTGCTGGGATTACAGGCATGAGCCACTGTGCCCGGCCAAATAATGTCCATCGTTATTTCCCTGAGACATCTGCCCAGCCCAACAGAGCTCTCTGCAGTAGGACAGGGCACAACTGGGGACAGTTTCAGGGCTGTTTTTCACCCACAGGCTCTCTCTCCAGGCAGGAAGAATCCACCAAGTACTTCAACTTTGCAACCTCCGATGAGAAGAAAATGAAAGAGGCTGAGCATCGATACCGTGTGAGAGTCTAGGGAGTATCCATGTCTGCCTTCCACGTTGTGGATAAAGTTGGAAGTTGGTGGAGAAGATGGAGAGGAGCCTTGGGGTAGGGCCAGGAGGGAAGTAGGATTTGGAAGGCTCCAGAGACCACAATAACACTCTGCCTTGATTTCCTGCAGGTGAATAACCTCAGCCAGCGAGATCTGGCCATCAGCATTAACTTCTGGGTTCCTGTCCTGCTGAACGGGGTGGCTGTGTGGGATGTGGTCATGGAGGCCCCATCTCAGGTACCCGCCTATCTCTCCTCTTTCTTCAGACTGACATCCCACAGCACAGCACTCCCTCTTACCAGGGACATGTTGCTCATTCTGTGGCTAAGTGCTTCTTTCTCTTCCCAGAGTCTCCCCTGTGTTTCAGAGAGAAAACCTCCCCAGCATTCTGACTTCCTGACCCAGATTTCAAGAAGTCCCATGCTGGTGAGAAAGTCCCTGAACCCCCACCGCCAAGATCAGCCCCCACCGGGGATACTGGGAAATGTACTGCTAGGCCACAGAGTTCCGTGCATGTCCTGTAACTGCTCATCTGTTCCCCACCCCAAACCTGACCATATTTTTTCCTATGGCTCCCTCCTCAGGGAAGAACCCCTCAGTTTCACCCCTCTTCTGCCCCCAGGACTGCTCCATTGCTGACTGCCTGCAGTTCCGCTGTGACGTCCCCTCCTTCAGCGTCCAGGAGGAGCTGGATTTCACCCTGAAGGGCAATCTCAGTTTCGGCTGGGTCCGCGAGGTGTGTGGGGGCAGCGGCAGAGCCCCTGCCCCAGACTCAGGCAGGACCTGGCATGTCTGTGCCCATCTGCAAGCCAGGGCACCCCCGAAGCTCTGAGCCTCCCCCAGAGCCAGTTCCACAGGTTTCCCCCAACCCCTTTGCAGACATTGCAGAAGAAGGTGTTGGTCGTGAGTGTGGCTGAAATTACGTTCGACACATCCGTGTACTCCCAGCTTCCAGGACAGGAGGCATTTATGAGAGCTCAGGTAGAGACCATGTGGAGGGCAGCGACCAGCTGGAAAGAGGACCCCTAGGGCTACATCTGTGGTGCTGGGTGGGGGGTTTGCAAGCCTTGCGGGAGGAGGGTGAAAGTCTCTGGGCAGGACAGCTGTCCCTAAGGGCACGGGTGCTACTGTGTCTCACTCCTTGGAGCAGAGCCTCAGAAAGGAGGGGAGAGAGTTAAAGGTTGCGGAACCTGGGAGGCATCTGGGATGGCATGAGGCCGGATGCTCTCTGATCTCTAAATCAGATGGAGATGGTGCTAGAAGAAGACGAGGTCTACAATGCCATTCCCATCATCATGGGCAGCTCTGTGGGGGCTCTGCTACTGCTGGCGCTCATCACAGCCACACTGTACAAGGCAAGTGTTTTATCCAACTCTTTTTTTTTTTTTTTTGAGATGGAGTTTCCACTCTTACTGCCCAGGCTGGAGTGCAATGGCATGATCTTGGCTCACTGCAACCTCCACCTCCCGGGTTCAAGTGATTCTCCTGTCTCAGCCTCCCGAGTAGCTGGGATTACAGGTGGACTGCACCATGCCCGGCTAGTTTTTTGTATTTTTAGTAGAGATGGAGTTTCATCATGTTGGCCAGGCTGGTCTCGAACTCCTGACTTCAGGTGATCCGCCCACCTTGGCCTCCCAAAGTTCTGGGATTACAGGTGTGAGCCACCTCATCCGGCCTTATCCCATTCTTGACACCACCAGCATCCAACCCAAGCCCTCCTACAGACTGGCTGATATAGTGAGAACTCAGACTGTGGAGGCAGACAGGCCTGGACACACATTTTGGCTCTATCATGTACTCACTGTTTAATGTTAGGCAAGTTGCTCCACCTCTCTAAGCCTGTTTCTCTCTTTCTTTTTTTTCTTTTGAGATGGAGTCTCACTCAGTTGCCTAGGCTGGGGTGCAGTGGCACAATCTCAGCTCACTGCAACCTCCACCTCCTAGGTTCAAAAGATTCTCATGCCTCAGCTTCCCAAGTAGCTAGGACTACAGGCACACACCACCACACCTGGCTATTTTTTGTATTTTTAGTAGAGAGAGGTTTCACCATGTTGGTCAGATTGGTCTCAAACTCCTGACCTCATGTGATCCGCCCACCTCGGCCTCCCAAACTGCTGGGTTTACAGGCATGAGCCACTGTGCCCGGCCGTTTCTCATTTTTGAAATGATAATAATGCTTATATCACAGAGTGGCTGAAGTGAGAGAGAAATGAGGCCAGGGCATGTGCACAGATCTGCCTGGATCTATGCTGTCCTGCCACGGGTCGTGTGTGTACCTACTGTGCTCGGGGCCAGCAGATGCTCGATATATGATAGCTGTTCACATAAATGTTCTCGCACACAAACGTAAGTTAGCTTAGTTGTTGCCTCCTCTTCTCTCTCAGCTTCCTCTTATTCCCAATTTTCTTCCCTGCCCTCTTACCCAGCTTTTCTTTCTTTTCTTTCTCTTTTCTTTTTCTTCTTCTTCTTTTTTTTTTTTACATGGAGTCTTGCTGTCTTGCCCAGGCTGGAGTGCAGTGGCATGATCTTGGCTCACGGCAACCTCTGCCTCCCGGGTTCAAGCGATTCTCTTGCCTCAGCCTCCTGAGTAGCTGGGATTACAGGCGCACCACCACACCCAGCTAATTTTTGTATTTTTAGTAGAGACGGGGTTTCACCATGTTGGCCAGGCTGGTCTCCAGCTCCTGACCTCAGGTGATCCACCCTCCTCAGCTTCCCACAGTGCTGAGATTACAGGTGTGAGCCACCGGGCCCGGACTTACCCAGCTTTTCTAATTTATTTCCCCTGATAGCTTGGCTTCTTCAAACGCCACTACAAGGAAATGCTGGAGGACAAGCCTGAAGACACTGCCACATTCAGTGGGGACGATTTCAGCTGTGTGGCCCCAAATGTGCCTTTGTCCTAATAATCCACTTTCCTGTTTATCTCTACCACTGTGGGCTGGACTTGCTTGCAACCATAAATCAACTTACATGGAAACAACTTCTGCATAGATCTGCACTGGCCTAAGCAACCTACCAGGTGCTAAGCACCTTCTCGGAGAGATAGAGATTGTAATGTTTTTACATATCTGTCCATCTTTTTCAGCAATGACCCACTTTTTACAGAAGCAGGCATGGTGCCAGCATAAATTTTCATATGCTTAAGAATTGTCACATGAAATGAGGATGTTTATAGCACACTTTCCTTGCGTGGAAGAGCTATAACCCAGGGACCTGAGTGCCTCTCTGGGAATAGTCGGGGGAACCTATTTGTGGGCATTGAAAAAGTTTTTTCACTTTCTATGGTGATGGGAGCCTGAGGTCATCTTTTCTTGATGGGGCTGAGAGGTGTGTATCAGGGGAGAGGGTCAAAGAGTGTGTGTGTGTGTGTGTGTGTGTGTGTGTGTGCATGTGCATGCACGTGCACGCAGGCATGCATTGGTCATGGGTTTCTTCACACACTTCAGGTTCCTCTGTAATGGTAAGTGGGCAGGCTGTCCTAGGAGGTGAAGAAATGTCCAGAGCTCATTTGAACTCCTGTCCCCCTTGAATGAGGTACTCAGAAGCCAGGAGAGCCAGGCTAGGAGCATGTGATTTCCCATATAGAAGACTCATTAAGAAAGATTATAGGCCGGGCGCGGTGGCTCACGCCTGTAATCCCAGCACTTTGGGAGGCCGAGGCGGGTGGATCATGAGGTCAGGAGATCGAGACCATCCTGGCTAACAAGGTGAAACCCCGTCTCTACTAAAAATACAAAAAATTAGCCGGGCGCGGTGGCGGGCGCCTGTAGTCCCAGCTACTCAGGAGGCTGAGGCAGGAGAATGGCGTGAACCCGGGAAGCGGAGCTTGCAGTGAGCCGAGATTGCACCACTGCAGTCCGCAGTCCGGCCTGGGCGACAGAGCGAGACTCCGTCTCAAAAAAAAAAAAAAAAAAAGAAAGAAAGATTATAGAGAATTATCAAAAGATTCCAAATCCAGCATTAGGTCCCAAGGCCTCACACACAGGACTGTGGAGCCTCCGTCTGAAATCCAGAGAGCTGGGATTCACAGACACCAGCAGCTCAGGTGTCAGGCAAGAAGTGGGACTTCAGGATCTGCAGCCCTGGGCTCCCATGGGGGCTCTGCCGAGCTGCCGGAACTTGGACAAGTCATTTAATTCCCAAGAATCTCAGGTCTTCCTCGGGAGAAGGTGAACTAAATTTATACCCTGCTCCCAGCGTTACTGTGAGGATTCGGTGTACGCGGAAGCCCATTACAGCCTAGAGCCCTAATTATTAATAGGTGTGTGTGAGAGGGAGGCCTCATTATTACCAGGTGAGAGACAGGGAGCTGGGATCGCCTACCTGTGAGTGGAGGAGGCTCCCTCGAGCACCTCCGTATCAGCGGCGTGGGAAAAGCACGTGGAGCGCCCACCGCGCTAGGCGCATGCGCGGAGCAGGAGCGCTTACCAAGCTGGGCGCATGCGCGGAGCGGGCGCCTCTGGGCGCGCTCCCCGTGGCCCCGCCCTCCCCACAGAGCCGCAGACTCGAAGCTTCACACCTTTATTGTGTCCGGGGGCGTCCGGGGCCTCAGGGGTGTTCGTAGCCCGTGGGCAGAGGGTTCACGTGGCTATTGTGGAACAGAGTGTGGTTGCCGTCCCCCCAGGGGTAGGGCTGTGGAGAGAGCGGGGGAGGGAGCGCGCGTGAGCGCCGTGAGTCCGGAGTCCGCGCCCCGCGCGACCCCCCCCCCGCAGCACCCCCCCCCGCCCCCGCAGCACCCCCCCCCGCCCCCGCAGCACCCCCGTGCCGCCCGCGCGCCCGTCCCGCGTACCTTGGTGCGGATGCGGAGGTGTTGGTAGGGACGGAACTCGGGGCGCGGGCGGTGGCCCGAGTGGAGATAGGAGTTGAAGGTGCAGAGGGCCACGCTGGGCAGCGCCAGCACGAAGGTCAGCAGACGCCAGGTACGAGCTGCGGACGGAGCGGGGTGAGCGCGGCGGTCCTGGGGCGGCGGGCCTGTGAACAGGTGGGCAGGGTAGGGGAGCCCCCGGATCCGCCCGTTCCCCACTCACCTCCTGCTCCTCCGTGGCCTCCTTTGGCAGCGCTGGCCAAGCCCCGGGTCAGGGGCCTCAGAGGCAAAGCCATGATGGTGCGGGGAGCCGGGAACCAGCGCTGTCCTCGCTCCCTTTCCTGGGGCCTGGGGTCACCTCCCCTCTCTGGGCCAATCACCTGTTGAGTCTGGAGCACTGGCGGCTATTCTTAGGGGTTTCTATATTTAAAATGGGGCCTGACTGGCTTGAGGTCATCTCCAGACAGCTGTTGTCCTGTGCCTCTTATTTTGGCAAGGAGGCATTTAAGTACAATATGCCATTCTTTTTATATAGTTGCAGGGAAACTATTTTGTTCCCTATTCTATGCCTGGTGGCTGGCACACAGTTGGGCTTTAATAAATATTTGTAGAATGAATTAAGTGTCTTTTTGAGTCTCAGTGTTTTCAGCTGTAAAATGTATAATAATTCGTACCTTAAAAGATTTTTTAAATACTGGAGACGGGGATCTCACTATATTGTCCAGGCTGGTGTGGAACTCTTGAGCTCACGTGATCCTCCCGCCTCAGCCTCCCACAGTGCTGGGATTACAGGCATGAGCCACTACACGGCCCTTACATCATTTTTATGAAGTTTATGTAAGGTAGGAATGTGTCAACCTGGATTTTGGCAGGTAACAGTAGTTCAGTATATGTATTAGTCACAGTTCTTTGCAAAGAACAGAACTCACTCTTACTAGTTTTAGAAGATAAGTAATTGAGAATCTTAGGTAGCTTACTATGTCTGATATAGCCAGAGATGCCTACAGTCTGCACAGTCATAAACAAGTCATTCCGTTGGCCAGCTGCAGTGACACCCCCACAGCTCACACTGCTGGACCCTGGATGCCAAAAGCTTCATTAAGGCTGCCCTGGAAAACCAGAATTTTCCACCCTCATCCCCTCTTGAAAACAGATTCTTCATGAAACCTGTATCCTGGGTCGCTCTTTTCTGAAAGAATTATGTGATTGCACCAACTGGCAACCCCTAGGTCCCCCAGCTGCAGGAGGGGATGGGAAACTGAGCTCTGGATTCTGCCTTAGGGAGGCAGGAATTGTAGGGAAAATCTCCAGGTCTAGGATGAGTATTCAAAAGGTTCCAGGCAGCCACAAGCCTGACAGGTGTCTACTGCAAAGTGCATTATTTCAATCTGAAAAATATGACTACTTGGAGAAAGCAAGCCTAGACAGGGCTGGTGTGAACCCTCTATCAAAGCAGGTCACAAGAAAGCCACAAGACCAGGCAGGGATGACATCTGCCTGTTCTGTCCTCAGCAACGGGCAGGGACCTTGGCATGAAGGAGGTGTTCTAAAAATATGTATGTAATGAATGCTTGAACCTTGTTACTTTGGTTAACCCTACAACAATGCCTTTTCAGAATTACAATCCAATAGGAAGCTTCTAGCTTTGATCAAGGGCTGATGTACTAATATGAACTTAATATACAAAAGAAGAATGAATTATATAGACATATAATCTGAATTTAATATATAAAAAAAACGAGGAAGATATATTTTCAAGAAGGGGCTCTATACCTGTTTCTCATTGGTAATAAACTGAACAGTATGTTCCATCCAACTTTAAGCTGCTGCTATTTTTAAAAAAAATAACCTCCTTGAGCAGTCAAATGTTATACAGTGTTACAAAAATTATTCCTGAGCTCTCACTGAGCTATAATAGAATTCTTCCTACAGTTTTTTTCCCAGCTGGACTTTGGCATTGTTGCAGAGAAGATGGGGCCCTATTCCAGTTAAAGATACCTGGCATCTCCCTCTACACATAGCCCCCTCCCTACGTATATAAGATAATGGCTCCTGGAGAAAACAGACATGAAGACAGGTATTTTTACTTGACAAAGTTCTAGAGGCCTGGCATAGTGGCCCACGCTTGTAATCCCAGCACTTTTGGGAGAATGAGGAGGGCGGATCACTTGAGGTCAAGAGTTTGAGTCCTGCCTGGCCAACATGGTGAAACCCCATCTCTACTAAAAATGCAAAAATTAGCTGGGTGTGGTGGCCCGTGCCTGTAATCCCAGCTACTCGGGAGGCTGAGGCAGGAGAATCGCTTGATCCCAGGAGGTGGAGGTTGTAGTGAGCCAAGATTGTGCCACTGCACTTCAGCCTGGGTGACAGAGTAAGACTCTCTCAAGAAAAAAAAAAAGAAGGAAAAAAGGAAGAAAAGGTTCTAGGTTTCTTTTCTCCCCTAAAAGGCCCCTCAGAGTTTTTCTGGTTGCTGCCAAACAATTCCCTGGGAATTCCCATCCCTTTGTTCTCAGCTTGGGAGCTCCTGTGGAGAGGTTTTCTTGCTGGGATGTCAAGAACGCCCTGAGGAGGGCCACTTCTGTCCTGGGCTGCTGTCACCATCACGAGGTGCACTTGCCCAGGTACCCAGAGACCTCCGCTCAGGTGGTCTGTGCTTTTCTGGGCTTGTCACCATCTTACCTGCCTCTCTAGAGGGTGTGCAGAGCTGTCTCTTCCAGGCTGTGCACTCACCATTGTTTCTGTAAGTTCTCACTCACACAGTTCTTAACCTGGCTGCTGCCAACACTTTCAGTTTCTAGAGGTTTAATTTTTCCTCCACTTTAGGCAGAGGGAAGAACAAACTCACCAGGTGCTAAATAAACCCCGGAGGGCAGCATCTCAGCCTCTGTTCAGAGTATCTCAGCTGTTGGTGGTGAAGGAGGTGGAGGCATGACTCAGGGTCAGTTTCTCTTGTGCCCTCTTCCTGGGATGCTGCATACCATGACCACATTTTCTAAAGCAAAGATCGATTACATGTGATCTACTAAGTATAAATGTTTATGGGGGCCCTAGGGACAGCGTATTTGAAATTAGAATAGTCCTGGAAAAACAACTGTGATACAGGACATGGGTTAGCTAGAACGAACAGGTACAGAGAGATGGAGCTCAGACAGCATTGGGGTGGGGTCCAGTGGCAACAGGGACATAGACTCTAAATAAATGGGGCTCTGAGCTCCCTCTGCACTTGGGAGGGGCCAGTGGCTATGTGATAGTGGATGTCTACTGTTTTGTGTCATATGACCAATATATCTATGCCTTCTTTTCTGATACTGACACACACACCCCTGCCCCCCTTATTCTCAGTTCAAGTTCAAGTGGGGTTGACTCCCTCCTCTAGCTCCAAGAAGGGCCACATGATCCAGGCCTACCCAATCAGAGCATTCTATTCTCCAGGTCATAGTGATTTTTTTTTTTTGAGACAGAGTCTCACTCTGTCCCCCAAGCTGGAGTGCAGTGGTGCAGTCTTGGCACACTGCAACCCCTGTCTCCCATGTTCAAGTGATTATTCAGCCTCAGCCTCCTGAGTAGCTGGGATTACAGGTGCACACCACCATGCTTGGCTACTTTTTTGTATTTTTAGTAGAGATGGGGTTTCACCATGTTGGCCAGGCTGGTCTCGAACTTCTGGCCTTAAGTGATCTGCCTGCCTCGGCCTCCCAAAGTGCTGGGATTACAGGCGTGAGCCACCCCACCTGGCCGTAGTGATTGTTTTTTGTATTTTGTTTTGAGACAGAGTCTGGCTCTGTCACCCAGGCTGGAGTGCAGTGGTGTGTTCATAGCTCACTGCAGCCTCGAACTCCTGGGCTCAAGCATTCCTCCTATGTCAGCCTACCAAGTAGCTGGGATTATAGGCACAAACCACTGTGCTCAGCTAATTTTTTAATTTTTTGTAGAGATGGGTCTCACTGTGTTGCCCAGGCTGGGATGATTGTTGTAGGGAGGGGCACAAGTCCATGAGTTCCAATTTTCAGGCCTGTCTCTTGGACTGTTGAAACACAATTATACTTCAACTGGACTTGGAGCTGCTGGAGCCTCAGGCTGGGGCCTTCAATTGAAGCCAATATTGAAGCCATTTTCAGAGCAGACCTGAAAAATGGGAGATCTAGCCTTGTTAATATTATGTGAATCCCTGAGTCAAGATGTGCCGGAATTGAGAAAGAGCTGAACTCTTAAGACTTTTCAGTTATGTGAAATAACAAATCCCCTATTCGTAAAAGCCAGTTAGAAATGGGGCTTTAAGTCCTAATTTATTGTTAAACATTTTTTATGAAGCTATACCACATCTCTAAACTTTTACCAGCACATTTCTGATTTCTGTTCCCCTGTACTGTGATCCATATTTTATTGAAGTTTTGGGGCTTCTTTTGTAGAAATGATAGAAATGTATTTAATAAACATTCTGGAGTATGCATGCCTTTAATGAATTAAACCTCATAGGCACTTGATATGAAGGGATTTAATGTTTGTGAAAATGAAGTGAGACAAATAAATTACACATTGAGATACAGCCCAAGTTGCTAAATGTTTAAAGGTTGAGGCTTGTAATTTTATTTTCTTCCATTTCATAATAGTGTAGTGACACATCACAATACATCTCTACACTGTGACTTGATTTCTCCCGAATCTGTGTCTGATGCTGGGAACACTGATGTTCTGGCTGAATCCATGACACTTGCACACTTGTGCTCAGTTTGCCTCATGACTGGGGTCACTCCAGCCAAGGCTGCAAACTAGGACAGAGTTTGAAACTGGTGCTCCCCTGCGAGACCTTTACTTCACATATTACAGAACCAGGACCACTAGGCCAGCTGGTCTATAAAGAGCGCCTAAAATGGCAACCTATTAATCTCAGATTTTTTTTTAGATGGAGTCTCACTGTGTTGCCCAGGCTAGAGTGCAGTGGTGCGATCTCAGCTCACTGCAGCCTCAGCCTCCTGAGTAGCTGGAATTGTAGATGTGTGCCATCACGCCCAGCTAATTTTTGCATTTTTAGTAGAGATGGGGTTTCACTATAATCTCACCATCTGAAATTATGGCCAGACTGGTCTTGAACTCCTGACTTCAGGTGATCCACCTGCCTCAGCCTCCCAAAATGTTGGGATTACCAGCGTGAGCTACCGTGCCTGACCATAATCTCAGATATTTTCTAAACCAGTATTTTGCCACCAGTAAATGCTGATTATTAAAAATACACTCAAAGGCCTTTTTGTCCTATGACTGATGCTGCTGAAAATTTGATGTAACCATCTTGGCAATTTGTGGTAATCTCATTTCTACAAATGTGTGGAGGAGATGCACGAGACCCGAGTAAATAATATTGTTTTCAGTTGCTTTTTTCTGTTATCACTATAGACATAACCGTGGAATCATCGAATGACAGGCACAGTAACCAGGAAGACATAGATTGATTGGGTGGGGTCACCTTCATAGTCACCTTGGCTAACTTTCCAATTATGTACACATTGTATCTTGGGAGGACAACAAGGATGAAAGAAACCCAAGTTTTAGCATAGAATACTTGAGCAGCTGGAAGTGGTTCCTTCACATAAGTAATATTAATTGAGCACCCACTGTGAGCCAGGCCCTGCACCAGGGTCTCTGCTCTCGTGGAGCTCAGTCTGCTGGGGAGATAGGTTACCAGACAGACATGCCCTATGTTCTTAATGCCACTGGAGCACTCACCACGTCAGGTGTGACACGAGAGGTGGGGCAGTCTCTAAGTGGAAGTGGGGCTCATATGAATGAGTAGGGCAAGTCTGGGAGACAGAAAAGGGGAAAGGTCATTTTGGGCAGTGGAAAGAAATAAATCAAGTGCAAAGACACAGAGGTGCAGGAGGCCCTGGCCAGCAAAGGCACAGAGGTCAGGCGAAGCCCAATGGAGAAGCATGCATGCCACGCTAAAGCATTTGAACCCTGTTCTGTAGGCCCTGCTGGGGTCAGCGGAGGGGGTGGAGGGGTGGGAGTGGCAGGCAGGAGATCCTTTCAGGCAGGAGACTGACATCAGATTTAGTGTTGGAGTCTGGAGTCTGAGGGAGGAATCTATAATAACTGGTAGGTTCTATGGATGCTGAACCAGAATGCAGAGGCGGGAAGCAGGGGAGATTGGCTAGGAGTCTTCTGCAACAGTCCAGGCTCATGATGACAGGACTTGCACCTGTGAGAGAGCACAGGCCACAGAGGGCACGGGGTGCTGTCGAAAAACTCTTCTGAGGTACAACAAGTAGACGGCAGTGCCTGATACTACTTGGATTGGGAGAAAGAGGCATCAAGGACTGAGGTAGCAAGCTTGGAACTGAACCAGTAATGCTACCACAGACTTTCATGCAGTTTAAATTCTCATAGGGTAACTTTTCTTCCTCACTCTAATAGCACATCATTAAGACAACCAACAAACCAACAAACACTTTTTTTTTTTTTTTTTTTTTGATTCGGAGTCTCGCTGTCGCCCAGGCTGGAGTGCAGTGGCGCGATCTCGGCTCACTGCAAGCTCCGCCTCCCGGGTTCACGCCATTCGCCATTCTCCCGCCTCAGCCTCCAGCTTGGCTGGGACTACAGGAGCCCGCCACCATGCCCGGCTAATTTTTTTGTATTTTTTTTAGTAGAGACGGGGTTTCACCGTGTTAGCCAGGCTGGTCTCGATCTCCTGACCTCGTGATCCGCCCTCCTCTGCCTCCCAAAGTGCTGGGATTACAGGCGTGAGCCACCACGCCCAGCCGACAACTAACAAACACTTTTAAAAATACTTATCTAAAAAGCACAAGAGAGGCTGGGTGCGGTGGCTCATGCCTATAATCCCACCACTTTGGGAGGCTGAGGTGGGCGGATCACCTGAGGTCAGGAGTTCGAGACCAGCCTGGCCAGCATGGTCAAACCCCCTCTCTACTAAAAATACAAAAATTAGCTGGGCGTGGTGGTGGGCGCCTGTAATCCCAGCTACTCAGGAGGCTGAGGTAGAAGAATCGCTTGAACCCGGGAGATGGAGGTTGCAGTGAGCAGAGATCATGCCACTGCACTGCAGCCTAGGCAAAAGAGCACGATTCCGTCTCAAGAAAAAAAAAAAAGGAGAGAGAAATAATCACTAATATTAAGATAACACAATATTATTCCTGTCCACACCAAGAATATACCTTGTATATTATTGTTACTTCGATAATATACCTTGTATATTATTGTTACTTCGATAATATACCTTTGCCTACTACCTACCTAAATCCTTTTGTTATTTTAGTTATTTTAGAGAGACAGGGTCTCACTCTGTCTCTCACGCTGGGGTGCAGTGGCCTGATCATAGTTCACTGCAGCCTTGAACTCTCCAACTCAAGCGATCCTTCCGCCTCACCCTCCTGAGTAGCTGGGACTACAGGCCAGCGCCACCACACCAGCTCGTTTTATTTTTATTTCACAGAGATGCGGTCTCGCTAGGCTGCCCAGGCTAGTCTCAAATTCTTCGGGCTCACGCGATCCTCCCACCTCGGTCTCTTAAAGCGCTGGGATTACAGGTGTGAGTCACCGCCCGCAGCCGCACCTGCCTAAATCCCTTAATGTATAAGGGAAAGGAGCGAGAATTCAGGGGAAAAAAAACAAACAAAATAGCCCCCAGCACTTCTGAGAAAGATCTGCCATACAGAAAAGCCGTCCTGAGCGGGTCTGTGTGGAGGGAGGGGACTGCATCTCAGATCCACAGTCCACCGGCGGCTGCAACAATTCCACCCAGGGCTGCAGCACGCTGGTTCTTCAGTGTCGGGCCAGGTTGGACCTCCGGCTGGAGGCCTTCCACACCGGAAACACTGGTAGGGCTCCTCTCCAGTGTGGGTTCGAGGGCGGTGGAGGAGCTCGGCACTGTCGCTGAAGCCTGGCCCTGGCCTCGCCGAGCGGTCCGGCCGCTCTGTGCTGCGAGGCCTTCCGGGCTGGCTCAGGGTAGCCTGGGGCCTGAACCGCCTCCCGCGAGTCCCGTCCCGCGCTCGCACAGCTTCTGGGCCCCATCGCCCCCTCCTGCTGAGCTGCCGGCTGGGTGGCTGGCGGAACCTGGGCAACTTCCAGGCCTCCCAGAGGCACTGCAGGCACTGCGGGAAGGCCGGATGGAACCAGAGGCTGGAGACTGAGTGGGGGGCCAGGATAAAGGAAGGGAGGTCGGGGCAGGAGTGTGGATGGGGGCAGATGTTGAAGGAAGGACCCGGGGCTCCCACAGGGCCGGAGCCCAGAGGTGCTGTCCGGGGCGACTGAGCTGGGTGCGAGGCTGACGCTCTCCACGCTCCCACCCCTGCAGGTCTTCTCCCCTGGGTGCGGAAGGACGCGCTGGGAGAGGGAGGTCTTCTCATTGACACTGTCACCGCAGCTGCAGCAGCAGAAGGGACACACTCTCCTGTGTGAATTCGCTGGTGGCCGATCAGCTTCCACCGGTCCCCAAAAACCTGCTGGTACTGGGGACAGACGCAGGGCTTCGGCCAGTGTGTGCTCCTTGGTGAGCCAGCAGCAGAGCTGGCCGCTAAACCCTTGCCGCACTCCCGCAGACGAATGGCTTCTCCCGAGTGGACTCGCTGGTGCTTGATGAGGTTGGAGCGGCCACAGCAGGTCTTGCCGCACTGGGGACAGCGACAAGGTCTCTCGCCAGTCGCTGTGGACCCGCCAGTGCTGGAGGAGGGATGCGCTCTGAGTAAAACCCCTCCCGCAGGCCTTGCACTTGCAGGGCTGACGGCCCTGGGTGAATCTGCCGGTGCTGCAGCAGGTAGGAGCTCTGGCTGAAACGCTTTCCACAGTCAGGGCAAAGGGGAGGCTTCTCATGAGCAGGGCTTCGGAGATGACCGCTCAGGGAGTAACTGTACGGGAGGCTTTGCCGCACTTGGCGCAGCTGTGGGGCCTCTGCCGCACTCAGGCTTCCCGTGGCCACGAGCTCACAGTCTGGGAGCAGCACCCGGCCCCAGGCCTCGGGGGCTGTCTGGAGAGTTCTCTAATGTAAGACGCTGGGCAATGTCATCTGAAGGTGTTTCTTGAGGCTCTCGGGCATGTCCCTGGGTGTTCCCCATCACTAAGTCCATCCTCTTGGATACGCTGGTCCTCACTGCCGTGTCCAGTTCCTGCGGAAGGAAAGATTTCAGATCCCAGAGCCATCATTCTCTCTAGAGGGAGAGAAAACCACAGAAAAATTTTACTACAAACTGCAAAGGAGACTTTGCTTTCAGAATCCTGTAATCAATGCTTCTTTATTACTATTTTACTTTTTCTTTCCTTCTTTTTTTTTTTTTTTTTTTTTTTTAAGACAGGGTCTATTTCTGTTGCCCAGGCTGGAATGCAGTAGTACGATCTCTGATCACTGCAACCTTTGCCTCTCTGGCTCAAGTGATCCTCCCGCTTCAGTCTCTCAAGTAGCTGGGACTGTAGTTGCACACCACTAGGCCCAGCATTTTTTTTTTTTTTTTTGGTAGAAGCTGGTTTTTATCATGTTGCCCAAGCTGCTCTCAAACTCCTGGGCTCAAGCGGTTGGCCCACCTGGGCCACCCAAAGTGCTGGGATTGCAAGCATGAGCTACCATGCCCGGCCTCCTATAATCAATGTTTTTTTTTTTTTTTTTTTGAGAGGGAGTCTTGCTCTGTCACCCAGGCTGGAGTGCAGTGGTGCTAGCTATGTCGGCTCACTGCAACCTCTGCCACCCGGGTTCAAGCGATTCTCCTGCCTCAGCCTCCCGAGTAGCTGGGATTACAGGCGCCTGCCACCATTGCCGGCTAATTTTTTTTTGTATTTTAGTAGAGACAGGATTTCACCATGTTGGTCAGGCTGGTCTCAAACTCCTGACCTCATGATCCACCCACCTTAGCCTCCCAAAGTGCTGGGATTACAGGTGTGAGCCACTGCACATGGCCAATCAATGCTTCTTAATAGTAAGATTTATTTTAAAATTTGGATTGGGGTTATAAGACTTTCAGTAGTCTTGGATATTACCATCTTTATCCTGAATGAAAGTGTAGCAAGAGGCTGGGCGCAGTGGCTCATGCCTATAATCCTAGCACTTTGGGAGGCTGAGGCCAGAGGATCCTTGAGCCCAGGAGACTAACCTGGGCAACAAAGCAAGACCCTGTCTGTATTAAAATTACAAAAGCGTGGTAAGGATCATTTCCTCATTAACCTTGAACATCCAAACACAAACCATCAAAAAGAATCAACTTCAGAAAGACATTATTGCTTTATTGGTTAAGGTGATTAAAAGAAGGGGGCCCCTCAGGCCACAAAGATAATTAACTGATTGTCACAAACCATATTGAAACTCTTTTTTAAAAAGGGTATAGATAACTTTTAATTTACAATTTTAACAATCAAAGTAGCCAAGAGTAGAGTTTGCAATAGGACTAGAAAGTATTCCAGTGGCTCATATATAAGTGGGCTAATTTTATCTATTTTTAGGCCTATTAGGCCTGTCAGTCTGGATTTTCCATTACTTGGAAATGGGGACTGGGGAACAGATGCTTCTGGCCACTCTGAGCCCTGGCTTGATCCTTGGGTCTCATCTCTCTCTCTCTCCCCGTTTGTGCTTCACCTCTCAGCGGATACTTGGCTCTTATCTCAGGACCTGACCTCCCACTGAGCTCCAAGCCTGCAAAGCATGCTGCCACCCAGTTATTTCCCCCTTAACATCCTGCCATCACTTCAAATTTAATACCCCTATGCCAAAAAATCACTGACTCCTAATTTCACTTTTGTTGGTGGCACCAGTTTTATTCTCTTGGACACCTAAGCTCAAAAACAGTGGAACTTCTTTTGACTCATCGCTCTCCTTCCTTCCCTAGAAGTGAGCTACCATTTAAAAGTGATGTGCTCATTCTCAGCAAACTATCCCAAGGACAAAAAAATAAACACCGCATGTTCCCACTCATAGGTGGGAATTGAACAATGAGAACACATGGACACAGGAAGGGGGACATCACACACCGGGGCCTGTTGTGGGGTGGGGGGAGGGGGGAGGGATAGCATTAGCAGATATACCTAATGTAAATGACGAGTTAATGGGTGCAGCACACCAACATGGCACATGTATACATATGTAACAAACCTGCACGTTGTGCACATGTACCCTAGAACTTAAAAGTATAATGATACAAAAAAAGTGATGTGCTATCATCAGTCACCCGAGAAATGCAAATTAAAACCACAAGGAGTGCCCTTATGCACCCACTAAAATCGAGCAGACTGAAGGTGCTAACTGTTGCCTGAGGATATGGAGTCTCACACATTGCTGGGGAAATATAAAATGGCCTGGGCATTTTGGAAACCAGTTTTGGTTAACAGTAAATTAAATGTACACTTACCACATGACTCAATAATTCTACTCTTAGGATTTACTCAAGGAAAATAAAAACATATGTCCACACAAAGACTTTTTCACAAATGTGCATATCAGCTTTATTCATAATAGGCATAAGATAGAAACATCCAAATGTCCATCAATGGGTGGAAGAATAAAGTGTGGTTTACCCATGTAACAGAATACTAGCAACAAAGAGGAACTGCTGTTACCTGCAAGCAATGGATGAATCTCAAAATTATGTTAAACCAGAGAAGCCAGACACAAGAGAATACATACTATATGATTCAATTTCTGTGAAATTCCATTTCTACAAAAAGCAAAACTTACTCATAGGGGCAGAAAGTAGACCAGTGGTTCTCTGGGGCTGGGTCAGGGAGAGAGCAGCTGACTGCACGGGGCATGAGAGGGTGACGGCAAAGTTCTGCACCCTGAATGTGATGATGGTTATGCCCGTGTACACATTCACCAAAAACCAGCAACCTGTACACTTAAAGTGGGTGTGTTTTATATATAACTTATACTTCAGTAAGTGTCAGCACAGATAGGCTAAGCCTCTTCTGAGATGTAACACAGGTAGACAGGAGTATCAGTGCTGACTGGCCAACTATCTTTAAAATATTTTATTAAGCTATAAATAATACGGAGTTGAAATAGCCAGGACTTACAGTGTACTTACTACATGCCAGGTACTATTCTAAGAGTTTCCACATATTGGTTAGACCTCACAACAACTCTCCAAGATACTAACGATTACCCCATTTTATAGATGAAGAAACTGAGGCATAGAAAGTTTAAGTAATTTAGAAAAGCCATATATACGGTAAAAAAATTTTTGGCTCCAGGGAGCTTCCTCTGAACTACTATGCCACAATACTTCTCATTAGGACAATTTTGAAATAGACACACTCCTTCCTCCATAATTTCATCTCCTCTACAAAAAATATTTTCACGTTTGCATATTTTATTCAGGCTTTGCCAACATGCATATGCATTTTAACTACTCCATAATCATAGTTTAGACACAGAGCAAGAGGAAGCCATTCCAAGCAACAGACGAGTCTAATTTTGCTCTCTGAAAAATAAGCATTTTTTTAACTTATGAACATTTCTCATTCATTCACATTCTTTCATAATGATCTATTTTAATGGCTTTGTTTGAAATACCATATTATATTGTATTCATTTCCTTTATTATTGGAATAGATCATTAGTAGAGATAATGCTGTAATGAGCATCTTCATGGAATGCACAGAGCTTATTTTTTTTCCATGTGGAATCTTTTATGTAGGAATCATTCCCAGGAGCGCAGCTGCTGCCCCATATAAGAAAGGGCCTCTGGCCTCGATAAAGCAGCAGCTCTTATACCAGTATGAATGAGCTACTGTCCAATTTGCTAGTGCCTGAGACTGGTCCAGACTCCAGCCCATTCATGGTCTTGAGGGCCCTAGGAAGACCACAGCAATTCCCGCAGCTCTCCTTTGGGAGTCAGGGGGACCTGTTACCGAAATCAGTCCTTGTGCCAATTAAAAGTACCACAGGCTGCCAGAAATTTCCATCTAGTTTTCTACTATCACTCAACATTCTTCCTGTGACTATAACTCCTCTCTTACATTCCCTGTCATCAGCCTTGCCCAGGCTTTCCTAATCTCTTCCCTAGATGAGTGTGTTTTCCAGTTGGCCTTTTGTGATTTGATTCCCCTCTCTTCCAATGGATGATCTGACACAAGGGCTGTCAAGCATGCTTGTTACTGTAGGGCAGTGCTTACTGTTTTCACAGCATGGAACCCACAGAAAATGTTACAATATGAGTAACTCACAGGGATAAAGGGTTGAGATTGCTCCCTACTGAAGGTGCCCGGCCCAGTGCTTCGGGCCACCCTAGGCCCTACCTACCTTCCTCAGGGGTTAAAGCAGTGGTTCTCAGTGCTAGCTGCACATTAGGATTACCTGGGAGCTTTCAAAATTATTTTGCCTGTGCTGCACCCAGGAGTAACAACATACAGCCAAGGTTAAGAACCTTTTTAGCTAAATGGTTATCTGTTTATCCTCAGTTACCGCCACAGCTTATCCTTCTACTACAGTGCCTCCTGAGTAATGGGCACACCGTACAGTATTATTATTGATTATTATTAGTATTAGAGACAGGCTCTCCCTCTATCATCCAGGCTGGAGTGCAGTGGCACCATCATGGCTCACTGCAGCCTCGACCTCCTGGGCTCAAGCGGTCCTCCCTCAGCCTCCTGAGTAGCTGGGATCACAGGTGTGCACCACCACACCTGGCTAATTTTTTTTTTTTAAATAATTAGTGTAGACAGGATCTCATTGTTGCCTACGCTACTCTCCAACTCTTGGGCTCAAGCGATCCTCCCGCCTTGGCTTCCCGAAGTGCTGGGATTACAGACGTGAGCCGCAGCGCCCGGCAGAATACAGAAGTAATAAACTAAGGTCAAGGCCATGTACTGAGGTGTTCAAGGCTCTGAACTGCTGGACTCAATGTCACAAGATAAATTTTAACCTCACCAAACCCTCTCAGCTTAAGAGTATCTGCTAAGTTCTGAGAAAGCAAACGGGGCGTGTGAAAAGATGGGTGTTCATGCCTGTGTGTATGTGGGGTCGGTGATGCAGTTAAGGACAGAACCCAGGGGAGGACTCCGGGACGGGGGAGGCGGCTGAGATTTTAAGGCGGGCCGGGTGTGCTGCAGCCAGCACTGCCGGAGAATCGCTGGGAAACGGCTCCAGCAGGAGAATGGAGGGTGGACGGCCGGCCGCAAAGGCGGTGGAGGTGTTGGCCCGCCCCTTCCCTCCTGATAACACCGACGTGCGTGTGGGGTCCACGGAACGCCCCACCAAGCCTCGCCTGGCGCGGGGTCGAGGGGCTCGGCGGAGGCGCGTGTTCAGGTGGAGGCGGTGGGCCCGGGCTGCGGCCCTTCGCTCGATTTTATTTATTTATTTATTTATTTATTTATTTATTTTTGAGACGGAGTCTCGCTGTGTTCCCCAGGCTGGAGTGCAGTGGCGAGATCTCGGCTCATTGCAACCCCTGCCTCCCGGGTTCAAGCGATTCTCCTGCCTCAGCCTCCCGAGTAGCTGGGACCACAGGCGTCCGCCACCACGCCCGGCTAATTTTTGCATTTTTAGTAGAGAAGGGATTTCACTATATTGGCCACGCTGGTCTCGAACTCCTGACCTCGTGATCCGCCCGCCTCGGCCTCCCAAAGTGCTGGGATTACGGGCGTGAGCCACCGCGCCCGGCCCCTTCGCTCGCTCTTACCCGGTGAGGTCCCGTGCCCGCGTACCTCCCGCATGACACTTGGGCGTGCGGCCGAGCCGGGAGCGCCCCTGCCCCGCGAGCCGCCCCCGAGAGACACGGCGGATCGGAACCCAGCCGGGCGCGTAGCTCCGGGAAGGGGACGTGGCGAGGACCCGGCAGCCGCGGGGCCTGTGGGGAAACATGGTCCCCGCAAGGGACCCTGGGAGCTGGAGGCGTCCTGGCCCGGCGTCCGGAGCCCACGGCCCAGGACTAGGATGCCGGGGGTCTCGGGCGTCCTCCCTAACCTCAGTCATAGGGCGCTCCGTATCCAGCCCGCCCTGCTTGCCTCTCGCTTCCCCCAAATACTGCCCCGACCTGTCCCCTGGCCCTCACCAAGACAGGGAGAAACGACCGAGACACTGAGGACTCCGCTAACAGCTGCCTGAGACCCAACCCCTCCACTCCCTGACCAGGATGAGGGAGTCCGCGCCATGCGCATGCACACACGCGGGCCTCTCCTCCTCCCACCTTTTGCGCGTCTCGCCCGGGCATCGAAGGAAGGGAATGACGGCGCGACGGCGACCCCTAGGGGCGGGAGGAGGCGCTAGGAGCGGGGCTGGGAAGCGCCATGGTGCAGGTTGAACGGGGACATTGGGTCACCGGGATGGGTGGAATTAGGGTAGGGCGAGTGAGGCACTGGCTTCTGGCACAGAATTTAAGGAGACACCCCAAAATTTAGTAATCAGGATACACAGACTGAGCGCAGTGGCTCACGCCTGTAATCCCAACACTTTGGGAGGCCAAGGCGGGAGGACTGCTTGAGGCCAGGAGTTAGGGATCAGCCTGGGC
This sequence comes from Homo sapiens, assembly GCF_000001405.40. Lineage (NCBI taxonomy): Eukaryota > Metazoa > Chordata > Mammalia > Primates > Hominidae > Homo > Homo sapiens. The sequence continues at coordinate 31,443,464 of NC_000016.10, forward strand.
AACAAAGCGAGACCCCCATCTCTACAAAAAAAAATTAAAATTTAGCCGGACTTGGTGGTGGGCGCCTGTGGTCCCAGCTACTCAGGATGCTTAAGTGGGAGGATCACTTGAGCCCAGGAGGTTGAAGGTGCAGTGAGCTATGGTGACACCTCTGCACTCCAGCCTGGGCAACAGAGCAAGACCATGTCTCTTAAAAAAAAAAAAAAAAAAAAAAAAAGCTAGACGCGGTGGCTCACGCCTGTAATCCCAGCACTTTGGGAGGGCAAGGGTAGTGGATCAGTTGAGGTCAGGAGTTCGAGACCAGCCTGGCCAACATGGTGAAACTAAAAATACAAAAATTATTCTACTAAAAATACAAAAATTAGCCGGGTATGGTGGTGCACACCTGTAATCCCAGCTACTTAGGAGACTGAGGCAGGAGAATCGCTTGAACCCAGGAGGCAGAGGTTGCAGTGTTGCAGAGGTTGCAGATCATGCCACTGCACTCCAGCCTGGGTGAAAGAGTGAAACCCTGTCTCAAAACAACAACAACAACAACAACAACAACAACAACAACAACAACCACCACCACCCAAAGTATATTATATGCACACCCTACTGAGTTTGATTCCTGGTTCCACCAGTTAATAGCTGTGGGAGTTTGGGCAGTTTGGTGAATCTAATCTCTGTATCTCAATTTCTTCATCTGTAACATGGCAATAATAACAGCACCTACTTACCTCATAAGGTTGCTGGGAAGATTCAAGGAGATAAGCCAAGTGAAGAGCTTAGCACAATGTCTGGCACATGGTGAGTGTTCAGTGAATGTTAGTCAGTTGGTGGCTATGGCAGCCATCTGCTGAGATAGTTCCCAGTGATCCTACTCCTGGTGTTCACACCCTTTTTAGTCCCTTCCCACAATGCACCAGGGTTGGTCTATGTGACCTGTGGAATACTATAGGAGTTTCTTTCTTTCTCTCTTTCTCTCATTCTCTTTCTTTCTTTCCTCTCTCTTTCTTTCTTTTTTTGACAGAGTCTTGCTCTATCACCCAGGCTGGAGTGCAGTGGCACGATCTCGGCTCACTGCAACCTCTGCCTCCTGGGTTCAAGTGATTCTCGTGCCTCAGCCTCCCAAGTAGCTGGGATTACACACACGGCCACCACACCTGGCTAAATTTTGTATTTTTAATAGAGATGGGGTTTTGCCATGTTGGCCAGGCTGGTCTCGAACTCCTGACCTTAGGTGATCCACCCACCTCAGCCTCCCAAAGTGCTGGGATTACATGCATGAGCCACCGTACCTGGCAAGAATTACTTATAATTAGGTTATAAAAGTCATGACAGTGAAAACCTCCCAACTTATTCTGAGGCCAGTATTACCCTACTATCAAAATCAGACAAAGACATCACAAGAAAACTAGAGACTAATATCTCTTATGAATATAGACATAAAAATCCTCAAGAAAATACCGGCAAATAAAATTCAGAAATATATAAAAAGGATAACCAGGTGGGATTTATCCCAGGAATGTACGGTTAGCTTAACTTATGAAAATAAATTAATACACTACATCAATACAATAAAGGAAAACATTATTATTTCAATTGGTGTAAAAACAGCATTTGACAAAATTCAGCACCCTTCATCATAAAAATACTCAGCAAACTAGGAATAGAAGGAAACTCAATTAACGTGATAAAGGGCATCTATGAAAAAACCCACTGCCAACATCATACTCAATGGTGAGAGAATAAAAGCTTTTCCTCTAAGATCAGAAACAAGAAAGGGATGCCCACTTTTGCCACATCTATTCAGCCTTGTACTGGAAGCTCTCACCAGTTCTTGCCTGGAAGCTCTTGCCATGAGGCAAGGAAAAATAAAAAGCAAGCAAATCAGAAAGGAAGAAGTAAAACTATCTCCATTTATAGATGAGGTGATTTTATAGAAAATCCTAAAGAATCTATGAAAAAAACTTTGTTAGAGCTAATAAACAAATTCTGCAAAGCTGTAACAACAAAATCAATACACAGAAGTCAGTTGTGTTTCTATACTCTTGATATATTCTATATTCTGGTGTAGTCTATTTTCTGCTGCTATAACCATGCCACAGATTGGGTAATTTATAAAGAAAGGAGATTTATTTGGCTCACAGTTCTGCAGTCTTAGAGGTCCAACAGCATGGCACCAGCATCAAGGGTCATCCATGGCAGAAGGTGAAAGTGCTTTGTATTAGTCTGTTTTCACACTGCTGTAAGGAACTACCTGAGACTGGGTAATTTATTTAAAAAAAAAAAAAAGAAAGAAAAAAAAAAAGAGGCCAGGCGCAGTGGCTCACGCCTGTAGTCCCAGCACTTTGGGAGGCAAGGTGGGCAGATCACTTGAGGTACGGAGTTTGAGACCAGCCTGGCCAACGGTAAAACCCTGTCTCTACAAAAAATTTAGCTGGCTATGGTGGCAGGCACCTGTAATCCCAGCTATTCAGGAGGCTGAGGCAGGATAATTGTTTGAACCTGGGAGGCAGAGGTTGCAGTGAGCTGAGACAGCGCCACTGCACTCCAGCTTCGGTGACAGATTGAAACTCGGTCTCAAAAAAAAAAAAAAAAAGTTTAATTGACTCACATGGCTGGGGAGGCCTCAGGAAACTTACAATAATGGCAGAAGGTGAAGGGGAAGCAAGGCACATCTTACATGGCAGCAGAAGAGAAAGGGAGAGCAAAGAGGAAGAGCCACACACTTATCAAACAACCAGATCTCCTGAGAATTCGATCACGAGAATAGCAAGGGGGAAGTCCGCCCCCATGATTCAGTCACCTCCCACCAGGCCATTCCCCCAACATGTGGGGATTACAATTTGAGACAAGATTTGGGTGGGGACACAGAGCCAAACCATATCAGGCATGCAATCTTGTGAGACGTGAGACACAGAGAGAAATAGCACTGAATTTATCCTTGTATCAGGAGCCTACCCCTGTGATAACTAACTCATTCCCATGATAATGGCATTAATCCACTCATGAGGACAGAACTTTCATGACTTAATCACCTCGTAAAGGCCTCATCTCTTAATATTGTTACAATGGCAATTAAATTTCAACATGAGTTGGAGGGGATGTTCAAACCATAGCACTCTCAATAAAAAATTATACAATAGGCAGGGCGAGGTAGTTCCCTCCTATAATCCCAGCACTTTGGGAAGCCAAGGTGGGCGGATTACCTGAGGCAAGGAGTTCGAGACCAGCCCAGCCAACATGGCAGAACACTGTCTCTACTAAAAATACAAAAATTAGCTGGGCATAGTGACACACACCTCTAATCCCAGCTACTCGAGAGGCTGAGGCACAAGAATCCCTTGAACCTGGGAGGCAGAGGTTGCAGTGGGTTGCGATTGTGTCTCTGCACTCCAGCCTCAGTGACAGAGGGAGACTCTGTCTCAAAAAAAAAAAAATTAAAAATTAAAAAAATATATGTATATATACAAGGTAGATATTGAATATCTGCATGCAAAAGAATGAATTTGGATCCCTATATCACAATACATATAAAAGTTAACTCAAATTGAATCATAGAACTAAAAGTTAGGACTCTTAGAATCTTTATAACTTTGAATTAAGCAATGCTTTCTTAGATATGACACCAAAAGCACAAGCAACAAAAGAAAAAAATACAGAAACTGAACACCATCAAAATTGAAACCTCTTGCGCTTCATATGACATTATTCTTTAATTTTTTTCTTTTTCTTTCCAAATACCCAGACGTCAGGGAGATTCACAGGACATTATTAAGAAAAAGAGAAGATAAAAAAGAAAAGGAGAAGATAACCCACAGAGCAGGTAAAAATCTTTGCTAATCATATATCTGGGAAGGGATTTGTACCTAGACTGTATAAAGAACTATTGCAACTCAATGATAAAAAAGACAAATAATCCAATTTAAAAATGGAATTAGGCTGGGCACGGTGGCTCACGCCTGTAATCCCAGCACTTTGGGAGGCTGAGGTGGGCGGATCACCTGAGGTCAGGAGTTTGAGAACAGTCTGGACAACATGGTGAAACCCTGTCTCTACTAAAAGTACAAAAATTAGCCAGGCATGGTGGCATGTGCCTGTAATCCCAGCTACTCGGGAGGCTGAGACAGGAGAATCACTTGAACCCGGGAGGCAGAGGTCACAGTGAGAAGAGATCACGCCACTGCACTCCAGCCTAGGCGAGAGAGCAAGACTCAGTCTCAAAAAACAAAAAAAGGAAAGAAAGAAAGAAATCAGTCGAGTGTGGTGGCCTGCACCTCTAGTCCCAGCTACTCGGAAGGCTGAGAATCACTTGAACCATGGAGGTGGAGGCTGCAGTAAGCCGAAATTGTGCCACTGCACTCCTGGGCAACAGAGGAGTCCTTGTCTCAAGAAAAAGAAAGAAAAAGAAAAAAAATTAAATGGGCAAATGACTTGAATAGACAGTTCAAAGAAGTTATATAAATGGCCAATAATTACATGAAAAGATCCTCAACATCATTAGTCCTCAGAAAAATGCAAATCAAAACTACAACGAGGTGCCACATCATACATATTAGGATGGTGATAATAAAAAAGACAGGTAATTACGCCAGTAGTGGCGGCTCATGCCTGTAATCCCATCACTTTGAGAGGCTGAGGTGGGCGAATCACCTGGGCTCAGGAGTTCGAGACCAGCCTGGTGAACATGGTGAAACCTAGTCTGTACTAAAAACACACAAAAAATTAGCCAGGCATGGTGGCGGGTGCCTGTAGTCCCAGCTACTCAGGAGGCTGAGGCAGGAGAATCACTTGAACCTGGCAGGTGAAGGCTGAAGTGAGCTGAGATCACGCCACTGCACTCCAGCCTGGGAAACAGATGGAGACTCTATCTCAAATAATAATAACATTATTATTATTTTTAAAAATAATATTTAAAAAACATTAAAATTTTTTTTTTAAATAATATTTTTAAAAATGATATTTTTTAAATGATAATATTTACAGGCAGTGGCTCACACTTGTAATCCCAGCACTTTGGGAGGCCGAGGTGGGCGGATCACCTGAGCTCAGGAGTTTGAGACCAGCCTGGCCAACTTGGTGAAACCCTGTCTCTACTAAAAATACAAACATTTGCTGGGCGTGGTGACAGGCGCCTATAATCCCAGTCACTTGGGAGGCTGAGGCAGGAGAATCACTTGAACCTGGGAGGCGTAGGTTGCAGTGAGCTGAGATCACGCCACTGCACTCCAGCCTGGTGACAGAGTGAGATTCCGACTCAAAAAAAAAAAAGCTGAAAAGACAGTTAATTAACAAGTTTTTGTGAGAATGTGGAGAGATTGGAACCCTCACACATGGCTGGTTGGAACGTAAAATCATTCATTAACTTTGGAAAATGGTCTGGCAGTTCCTCAGATGTTTAAACATAGAGTTATATGATCCAGCAATTTCCCTTCTAGATATGTAACCAAAAGAAATAAAAGCATATTCCACAAAAACCTTGTACGTGAGTATTCATAGCAGCATTATTCATAATAGCCCGAGTGGAAACAACCCAAATGTCTGTCAACTGATGATTGAAGAAAGTGGCATATCCATGTCTTAGTCTGTTTTGTGCTGCATCGTAGAATGCCTAAGGCTGGATAATTTATAAAGAATAGAAATATCTTTCTTTCAGTTCTAGAGGTTGGGAAGTCGAAGGTCAAGGGCCCTGCATCTGGTGAGGGCCTTCTTTCTGCCTCATCCCACAGCAGAAAGCGGAAGGGCAAGACAGTGCAAGAGAGGGGGTGGGTGGGGGCAGAACCCATCCATTTATCTATCAGCTGTCCACTCCCTTGATAACTAACCTACTCATGCAATAATGCCATTAATCCATTCATGAGGGAAGAGCTCACATAACCTAATCACTTCTTAAAGTTCCCACCTCTCAACAGTTGAATTGGAGGTTAAGTTTCCAACACATGAACTTTAGGGGACAGGTTCAAACCACAGCAATCCATAAAGTGAAACTGTATTATTCCTAATAAAAAGAAATGAGATACTACAGTGTGGATGAACCTTGATAACATTATGCTATATGAAAGAAGCCAGACACGAATGACCACACATTGTATGATTCCATTTATATGACATGTCCAGAATAGGTCATCTGTAGAGATAAGATGTAGATTAGTGGTTGCCTAGGGTTGGGGTATAGGGGGTGTTATGGACTGAATGTTTGTATCGCCCCCAAATTTATACATTGTTTAACCCCCAGTGTGACTGTATTTGAAGACAGGGACTGGCTGGGCATGGTGCCTCACGCCTGTAATCCCTGAACTTTGGGAGGTCAAGGCAAGCAGATCACCTGAGGTCAGGAGTTCAAGACCAGCCTGGCCAACAAGGTGAAACACCGTCTCTACTAAAAATTCCAAAAAATTAGCCAGGTGTGGTGGCAGATGTCTGTAATCTCAGCTACTTGGGAGGCTGAGGCAGGCGAATGGCTTGAACCCAGGAGATGGATGTTGCAGTGAGCCGAGACCACGCCATTGCACTGCAGCCTGGGCAAAAGCAACGAAACTCCCTCTCAAAAAAAAAAAAAAAAAAAAAAGATAGGGCCTGTGAGGAGGTGACCTTAAATAAGGTAATCAAGATGAGGGACTTCCAAGAGGAGTGCTGGCAATTAAGAGAGCTGGGGCCAGGTGGGGTGGCTCACACATGTAATCCAGCACTTTGAGAGGCCAAGGTGGGAGGATCCCTCGAGCCTAGGAGTTCGAGACCAGCCTGGGCAACATAACAAGACCTTGCCTCTATTTATAAATTCAATTTATTATTATTTTTTTTAAAAAAGGGAGAGAACTGCGAGGAAATAAAAAGAGAAAGGGCCAAGGCCAGGTGCACTGGCTCACACCTGTAATCCCAGCACTTTGGGAGGCCGAGGCAGGCGGATCACGAGGTCAGGAGATCGAGACCATCCTGGCTAACACGGTGAAACCCCGTCTCTACTAAAAATACCAACAAAACAAAACAAAACAAAACAAAACAAAAAAAAACTAGCCTGGTATGGTGGCATGCGCCTGTGGTCCCAGCTACTCAGGAGGGTAAGGCAGGAGAATCGCTTGATCCCAGGAGGTAGAAGTTGCAGTGAGCTGAGATCGCGCCACTGCTCTCCAGCCTAGGCGACAGAGCGAGATTCCATCTCAAAAAAAAAAAAAAAAAAAAAAAAGAGAGAGAGAAAAGGCCAAATATTTCAATTCTAAGGTTTGGAATTTTTTTGTTGTTGTTCTTTTTTATTTTAAGGGGAAAATGTTGAAGCAATTTAAAAGTGTACTGCAGGAGAATAAATATAGCGATATTGTTACCAAAAAAATCCAAAAACCAAAAACCCAAAACCCAAGAACAAAACCTTCCCAAGGTGCTGACAAAGCCCCGAATCTCCAGGCTGCAAACATTCTCCTGGCTGCTCATTTGTGAGGATCCAGTGACCTGTGTCCACTGCTGGGAAGCGAAGGCATCTGCTGGTGTGGTGCAGCCATGCTGGGGGCATGGCGAGGCCTGTGGATGCAGTTCTCTGCGCTCTGCCCTGTGCTCTCTCTGACGTCTTCCACATCCCCACCTCTTCACCCTCTCCGGGGCTTTCTTCTCTACCCATCTAGGGACTACAGCCCAGAAAAATGCTACCACACCACACATTGCATTTAGTTGTCACGACTCTCTAGTCCCCATTATTCCAGAGCATCACCTCAATCATTTCTTGATTCTGATTACCTTAAAACTGTTACACCTGTAGTCCCAGCACTTTGGGAGACTGAGGTGGGAGGATTGCTTGAGCCCAGGAGTTCAGGACCATCCTGGGCAACGTAGCAAGACCCGTCCCTACAAAAAAAAAAAATTAAAAATTAGCTGGGTGTGGTGGCATATGCCTGTAGTCCCAGCTACTTGGGAGGCTGACACAGGAGGATCACCTGAGCCCAGGAAGTCGAGGCTGCAGTGGGCTGTGGTCGCACCACTGCACCCCAGCCTGGGTGAGGGAGAGACCCTATCTCAAAAAACCATAAAAAGCTTTTTGTTATTGGGATGGCACTGCTCCAGGGCTTTCCAGAGCTAGGGAATATATGGACATTTACACACATCTGCGTGCACATACACATATACACACCCATACTAATTTCTATGTCTATCTAAACACTTTCTGAAAATCCTGAGTCTACTCCTATACCTCCAGTTCCAATTCGACACCACAAGGGTCTCCCCACCCACATTTTCTCCCTTTCCCGAGCTGTGTCTCGGTTTTCTCTGACACTGAGAAACCTGGCTGTTATCTTTCAAATGTGTACTTATTTGACCAATAGCTGGTGGAAGCAGTTTCTTATCTCTCTCGCCATCTCCTTCCCGTGGCTGATGCCTTCCTAATCCTATCAGGTTCTGCCATGCCAAGCCAGGCCACCTTCTCGTGTGGACACCCTCCCCCACCTGCTGGAGCTCTGATACATGCTCTGGCCTGCTGCGTCTCACTCCCCACACCCGGCAGAGGCCTCTTTGGCTCTGCCTGCCCCTAGAGGCTGTAAGACAGCATTGTTCAGGAAAGGGAGGAAAGGGAATGGGTGTAGGAAAGGAAGAGCGGATCTCCTTTGAAGAATTATCTTTAAAAAAAATTATTTTTTTAGAGACAGGGTCTCACTCTGTTGCCCAGGCTGGGGTGCAGTGGCACAATCCTAGCTCACTGCAGTCTCAAATTCCTGGGCTCAAGCGGTCCTCCTGCCTCAGCCTCCTGAATAGCTGGGACTACAGTGAACATCACCACACCTGGCTGGTTTTTTAATTTTTTCTAGAGATGGGGTTTGCTATGTTGCCCAGGCTAGTCTCGAACTCCTGGGCTCAAAGCATCCTCTCACCTCAGCCTCTCAAAGTGCTGGGATTATAGGTGTGAGCCACCGCCTTTTTTTTTTTTTCTGATTTACTATAATATTTCTAGTAAGCCATTGGCTTAGAAACCAGATTCACTAATTAATTCATTTACCCTTTCATGATACAAAATTTTTTAACTGAGTGAGGCCTTTCCTGAGAATTGAGCACATGAGCTTTGGTGCATGGACCTGGAAATCTCTGCTTCTTGAACTCCTAGGGGCTTCCTTTACTTCATTCACTCCTGGTGCTCAGCAAATTTCTGAATGGGGGAGGTTGGCCAGCCTGGGAGAGGTCACCCACGCCAGGAAGTCTCAGTACCTCTCTATTTATCCTATCACTTGGGAATCCTCTAGGATCTGTTTCAGGGAGTCTCTGGTTAGCCCTGAGACATAAGTGGTGCGGGTGAGACTCCTGGGGCCTATCTCAGAGGTCCTCACACCCCTGAGATTAAATCAGTCAGGAGGCAGGGTGGAGAGAGGAGTGTCCTATCAGGTCTGAGGAGGTTGTCAACTTCCTGGACTTCTTGCTAAGGACTCCTCTTCCCACCCTTCATGGGTAGCTGAGGTCAGGGAATCTGTAGGGACAAGACTTTCTTTTAAATGCTAATCTGCTGACTAACCCTGAGTCTGGGAATGCCTCCAAAATGTCAAGCTGATGTGTTTTTTTATTTTTTGGTTTTGTTTTTTTTGTTTTTTTTTTGAAACGGAGTCTCACTCTTTCATCCAAACTGGGGTGCAGTGGCACGATCTTGGCTCACTGAAACCTCCACCTCCTGGGTTCAAGCAATTTTCCTGCCTCAACCTCCCAAGTAGCTGGGATTACAGGCACGTGCCACCATGCCTGGCTAATTTTTATATTTTTGGTAGAGACAGGGTTTCACCACGTTGGGCAGCCTGGTCTCGAACTCCTGACCTCAGGTGATCTGCCCACCTCGGCCTCCCAAAGCGCTGGGAATACAGGCGTGAGCCACCGTACCAAGACATCCCACAGCACCAGCCTGTGTGTGTCTCGCCAGGCTCAGAGCTGGGAACCTGGAACCCAGGACTGGGTGAGCTCAGAGACATAACTGTGACTGTACTGGAGTCAGTCTTATGCCCAGAGCTAAGCAGAAGCAGGGCCAGCCCAGAGGAGACGATGTTACCGACTCCCACCCCGTCCTGTCTAGCGCTTAGAGTACCTCTGTACTGGCTTGCTTCCTACAGTTGCTCTGGGAGGAATGTGTGCCAGAGACCCTGACCTCTGACCCAGGCATGCAAGGGTCTGCCTTGCCTAGTTGAGCCTGTGCACTCTGTCTCTGCCTCCCTTCAGATAGGGAAAGGAGCTTCAAATTACGGGGTGATGTCATAGCACGGAGTGGAGATGGGGTGGCAGGGAGACAGGGAGGCTCAGGGAAGGAGGCCAGGTATTTCACAGAGGAGTTCTGGGGGAGAAGAAGGAAAACGGCAGAGAAGGGAACAGGAAGGGGTGAAGGAAAGGGGAAAAGTGCCTTCACTGCATGGAAAGGTCCTTCTCACCCACAGTGGGGTGGGATGGAGACTGTAACCTCAAGTACTTTTCTGCAGGGGACAGGCAAGTAACACATATGAAACGTGCTGAGTCAGGGATGCAAGAGGGAGTGTCCCTGTTCCTATGTCCAGGACAGCCACTACTCAACGAACTGCTGCCATAAAAATCCAATGTTGCAGCATCTTCTGATATAAATAATAAAGCAGGCCGGGTGTGGTGACTGACGCCTGTAATCCTACCACTTTCGGAAGCCGAGGTGGGTGGGGGAGGGAAGGGCCGGGGCAGGGGATCTTTTCTTTTTTTTTTTGAAACGGAGTCTTGCTCTGTCACCCAGGCTGGATTGCAGTGACAGGATCTCCGCCCACTGCAAGCTCTGCCTCCTGGGTTCATGCCATTCTCTTGCCTCAGCCTCTTGAGTAGCTGGAACTATAGGCGCCTGCCACCATTTCCAGCTAATTTTTTGTATTTTTAGTAGAGACAGGATTTCACCTTGTTAGCCAGGAAGGTCTCGATCTCCTGACCTCGTGATCCGCCCACCTAGGCCTCCCAAAGTGCTGGGATTACAGGCGTGAGCCACCGTGCCCGGCCAGGAGGGGATCATTTGAGCCTAGGAGTTCAAGACCAGTCTGCAACCTGGCAAGATCCTGTCTCAATTAAAAAAAAAAAAAAACAAAAAAAACAACAACAAACCAAGCCCCAGAAATCGACTGTGATGTGAAATCTCCTTATTTAAATGTTGGCTCTTTAAAAAAATAAAAAGACCAGGTTAGGTGGCTCACATCTGTAATCCCAGCATTTTGGGAGGCTGAGACCAGAGGAACACTTGAACTCAGGAGTTCAAGACCAGCCTGGGCAACACAGTGAGACCCCGTCTCTACAAAACATTTTTTAAAAATCAAAAAATTAGCCAGGTGTGGTGGTGTATGCCTGTAGTCCCAGCTCCTTGGGAGGTTAAGGTGGGAGGATCACTTGAGCCCAGGAGGTTGAGGCTACAGTGAGCCACAATTGCACCACTGCACTCCAGCCTGGATGACAGAGTGAGATTCTGTCTCAAAAATAAATAAATAAATAAATAAATAAATAAATGGGCATGGTAGCTCACACCTGTAATTCCAGCATTTTGGGAGGCTGAGGCAGGGGGATTGCTTGAGCCTGGAAGTTTCAGAGACCAGCCTGGGCAACAAAATGGAACTCAAAAAGTAAAAATCTTGGCTTGTTTGAAAACACACACACACACACACACACACACACACACACACACACACAGCCAAAACAAATGTGTTTCCCATCTCGGGCTTGGGCACTGGGTCACAAGCTTGGACAGTGAAGCTACTTCTAAACCCAGCACAGGGTACAGTGGATGCAGGACATGGGATAAACTCCTGTTAGATTAAGCCCGTCCCTCTGCTTCTGAGGTCTGGCCTGCCTCGCTGTTCTGGTCAGAACCTGTTTTATGCAATTGGAGAGGAGAGGGGTCCCAGGAGTATTAGCCCTAATGTGAGAAATTAGATTACAGGTCTCTGAAAGGGATTCTGCAAACCAATCCTCCTTCCAAGCCTACTCTACCCATACCTAATATTCTTAAGCAGTTATGAATTTTGCAGAGGTCTACAACACTTGACACTCACTCAAGGCAACTGTGAGGAAACTGAGGCTTAAAGGCCACTAGTAAGCAGTGTAAAAAGGACCTGATCATGACAATTATTCTTTGAGTGCCTACCATGCATGTGCTGGGCTCAGGCCCTTCACTCAAACCCTGGCTCGTACTCTCTGAAGGGTCCTGGGTGAGGAAGATGTCAAGAACCCCATACCTCATCACTGACTCCCTGCCGGGGGCATGTGCTGCTCCCAGCCTGAGATGAGTGCTGTTCATTACACGTCATCTCCATGAAGCCTCCCGCATTTGCTCCAGGAAAGGCCCGTTCGCCACCCTGGCGTCATTCACTCTGTGTTGCTGATATTGAGTCTGTTTCCTTCAAGGGGAAACAGGCTACCCAAGGACTGGGGCTGCTGCCTTCATTTCTGTAACCTCCGGGGGGAGCTCTTGTGTGAGCCGCATGATGGATGCTTGCTAACAGCTCTAGGCAGGAGGCAGAGGGAAACTGAGGTCTGCCGAGTCATCCCTGGCCCAGGTACTTCATGCGTGTGCAGTGTTGCTGTGGAATCTTTACCACAACCTCCCATCCCTGTTTTACAGATGAAGAAACAGGCTCAGAAGAGGCAGACGTGTCTAAGATCACACAAGCCTTGACACCATGAGCTAGAAGCTGAGGGTGAGGTCACTTCACATCCCTTCCCTTTAGGTTCTACTCTATGTGGGTAGCGTCCTCGACACAGAAAGCCTGATAAAAGATGGCAAAATTACCGGGCGTGGTGGCTCATGCCTGTAATCCTAGCACTTTGGGGGGCTGAGGCGGATGGATCACTTGAGGTCAGGAGTTCGAGACCAGCCTGACCAACTAGAGGCTGGTCTTTAGTAGAGGGTTGGTGAAACCCTCTACTAAAAATACAAACACTGGCTGGCATCGTGGCGCAAGCCTGTGGTCCCAGCTACTCGGGAGGCTGAGGCAGGAGAATCACTTTAACCCAGGAGGCGGAGGTTGCAGTGAGCTGAGATCGTGCCACTGCACTCCAGCCTGGGCAACAGAGTGAGACTCCGTCTCAAAAAAAAAAAAAAAAAAAAAAAAAAAAGATGGTAAAATTTGGGGGCAGCAGACCAGATGCCTGGACTGATGGTAGGACTGTCCCACAAGGGGTGGACATTAGGTCCTTGAAACAGACAACTCCCTCCCCCAGCAGGGAAGGGAAGGGCCTCAGAGCTTGGTGTCTACTCTGAGCACAGGCAGGTGCTTTGGGAAGCCTACCCCTGGCTCTCACATACACAAAGTTATGCCAGTAGAAATATATGTTTGGGCAATGCCCAGGCAAAAGGGCCATGTTCAGTCCCCAATGTCCAGGCACAAAGGACTCTTCGCCACTCTTCCCTCTCTTGACAGACTGGCAGAAAAGGAGCCTGGGGAACTTGGAAGGGAAGGGGATAAGGCAGGGGAAGGGGCAGATGACAAACCCTGGGCCTCTTGCCCCTGCCCAGAAATGCAACAAAGCAACCCCTGAACTCAACATACAGGTCTGTTCTGGGGCCCCCACCACCCTAGCATCATCCATAATGATAGTTCTCACGTGCTGAGAGGACTTTTGAAGGGCTCACACACCCAGGGCTCACACAATGGTCCCAAGTTCAAATTCTCTGGCCCATCTGCCAGAACACAGGATCCCTCATGGTTCCCTCTGGAGGTTAGGAATGCCCCGCCTGCGCGCTGCCATGGAACTCCTCACAGGGGCTTGCCTGATTTCTGGTCCCATTCCTCTGGGAAGAGGTAGCTGTTGTTCTAGGTGTGATTAACCCCATCACTCCCTAGGCCTGTGAAGGGACTGTGTCAGCTACTGCCAGATCTGCAGGCAGCTGGGTCCACGCTGGATAGCTCCCGCCATTCCAAAACTCTCCCTTCAGCTGGTCGACGTTCTGTCTTTGTAACTTCAAAGAACAAACCTAAGCCCTCTCAGCTGACTGGGCTCTTTGAAGGCAGTGATCACAGATCTAGTGTTCTGATTCTTCCAGACTGGGGCTCCTTTGTTAAAAACAATTTTTAAATTTGTTATTTTTTTGAGACACTCTCTGTCGCCCAGGCTGGAGTGCAGTGGCACGATCTTCGCTCACTGCAGCCTCCGCCTCCCGGGGTTCAAGTGAGTCTCCTGCCTCAGCCTCCCGAGTAGCTGGGATTACAGGCGAGAGCCAACACGCCTAGCATTTTTTTTTTAGTAGAGACAGGGTTTCAATATGTTGGCCAGGCTGGTCTCGAACTCCTGGCCTCCAGTGATCCGCTAACCTTGGCCTCCCAAAGTGCTGGGATTACAGGCATGAGCCACCATGCCCAGCCCAGACTGGGGTTCCTTGACTTAGCAAAGGGTTGGGCAAAAAGATGTGGAGACCCCCTCGCCCCAACCGAATCCCATCATTAGCTCTAAAATCAACAGCCCTAAGGGAGCAGAAGGGGGTCTGCTTAGAGATCCTGGTTCCTTCCATTTCCTTGAAGTCCGAACCAAAGTCAGAGCTGAAGTTTCAGCTAAAATTGAAGCCAGGGCTATTTGCAGAGGCTGCCGCCCTAGTGCGTCCGCTGGTGCTGGCCCAGGTTGGAGCTTTGCGCTAGGGCCCTGCCACACTGCAGGCAGACGCAGGGGTGCTGCTGTGGGCCGCCTAGTGGATGGGCAGGTGGGAGCTGTGGCCGAAGGTCTGGCCACACTCACCACCAAGCATCAGGTTTCCGGACTTTGTGACTGTGCTGGTGCCGCAGCAGATTCCAACTGTGCACAAAACTCTTACTACAAACAAGGCACTTAGAGGCCTTCTCACCCATGTGGAGCGCAGGTGCTGCAACAGGGTGGAGCCAAGGCTGAGACTCTTGCCGCAGTCCCCTCAGCGGTAAGGCTTTTAGCGGTGTGAGCGCGCTGGTGCTGGATCAGGTTGGAGCTGACGCTGAAAGTCTTACCACACTAGGCACAGGCATAGGGCCGAAGCGATGGTCACACTCGGGGCAGGAGTACGGCTTTTCACCGGTGTGTACCCAGTGGTGCTTAACCAGATCAGAGCCACATCGGAAGCTTCTGCCATAACCCGGACAACGGTAAGGCTTGTCACCAGAGGGGCTGCCTTGGTGGTGAATGAAGCCGGGGAGGCAGGCTGTGGTCAGTCCACATTTCCGGCACTCGCAGGTTTTGGGGCTTGTAGACGGTTGCTCTTGGCAAAGGCTTCTTCCTCCCCAGGGCTAGAGCCTGACCATTTTCCGGGCGGGCAGCTGCCCCGACCACACCAGGAAGGGCTGCTCAGGCGGAGCCACCTCGCAATCCAGGGGTGACCTGGGGGCTCCCCGGGACGCGAATGTCCCGCTCCCCCGCCGCCCCGCCCCGTCCGGATTCTCCCTCGCCTCTTCTGGCGCGGCCGACTGCGCTGCGAGTGAAGAACTCCCCGTTTCCTAGATGCCAGCTCCTGAGCTCACGAGCACGTCCAGAGCGGAGGACACTCGGGACACCGGGGTCCAGCTCCGGAAACGGAAAATTCCACAAGCCCGTCACTCTAGGAAGCGGCAGCGAACGTTCTCGGTAGGTTTAACCCTCTTCTTCCTCTGACCGAGCGAGGGCTCCCCGTCTGCGGCGCGGTCAGGACCCCGCACTTTCGGCCCGGCTCGGGGTTCTCGGAGTCCGTCCCAAGGCCGGGCCGCACCACCGCTGGGGGGCAGCGAAGCGAGCCTAGAGGAGAAAAGGCGGTCCCCGCCGAGTGCACGCCGGGGGCGGGGCACGGCACGAAGGCTCCGTGGTCGGACTTCTGGGCTGTTCGGAGGCCCTGGCCCACCTGGAGGGCCCTGGAAGAGTTTCCAGCGCTTCCCGAGGTAGGCGTGAGAAGCTCGACGCGGACCACATCTCCCTCATGCACCGCCCGCACGTCCCAGGATGCGCTGCGATTAAGGTACTGCCGCGCCTCGTGTGCAAGGACAGACTTCCGGGGTCGAGAACTACAACTTCCGACTTGCATCACTGCGGTGGCGCTAAACAGCGTCAGCGAGGCGGTGCCCGACGATTTCCCTGTCTTCCAGTTCCGCTCCCTGGGATCAGCGGCGAGAAGCGGGGCGGAGTCTGAGGCCCGAGCCAAGATGGCGGCTGCGAAGCCAACCCTCACGGACTCGCTCTCGTTCTGCCTCGCGCAGCTCGCGGCGGCGGCCGGGGAGGCTCTGGGTGGGGAAAAGGACCCAGCGACCAACGAGACACCCCTGAGCCGCGCGCTCCTAGCCCTCCGCACGCGCCACATCAAGGCAGCGGGGGGAATCGAGCGCTTCCGGGCACGCGGCGGGCTCCGCCCCCTACTCGCGCTGCTACGGCGAGCGGCTGCAGCGGGTTCCGCCCCGTCCCAGGCAGGCCCCGGCTCCGCCCCCTCGTCGGCCGCGTCGGGAGCTTCTAGCCCCGCCCCCGCGTCGGGCCCCGCCCCCTCCGCTGTGTCGTCGTCTAGTCCTACGCCGCCAGTGCGCCTGCGCAAGACGCTGGACTTGGCGCTCAGCATCCTAGCCGATTGCTGTACGGAAGGGGCGTGCCGGACCGAAGTGCGCAGACTCGGAGGCATACTCCCTTTGGGTAAGTGCTCCGCCCCCGTTTCCTAGAAAGATTAGGTTTGCAACTCCCTTGCTCTCTAGACCCGGGCAGTCTGGAGTTCTTTGTGTCCTATCCCGGAATAACGTGCTTTGTGATGGCGCATCGCTCCTGTTTCTCAATCTGTTGTGCCCCGTGACGTCACTGCACTCTCTATAGATGAGAGAGAGCCCTCCCAGACCAGATAATTGTAGCCATTATCTAGGAATTGGTTGTTGAGGACTTCTTTCGAAGCTGGACTAGCGGAGGCCAAAGAGTTATTTGGTGATTTTTTCAGATGATTCTTACCGTCCAGTTATGATGTTCATAGCAGACATTCAGTGCCCAACTATGTGTCCGGCCCTGTGCAAGGTTCTGAAGCCCCACTGATGAGCTGGAAGGTGTAGTGGTTCAGAAAGGGAGATCTGCAAAAGTCACCTAACCCCTCCGAGGCTAGGATTCCTTGTAAAATGGGGCAATAATAGCTACCTAAAAAAATCAGAGTGGGGAGAAAACGAAGTACAAATATGGCACGAATATGCAAATATTCTAAGCATGATACGTATTTCAAGTTATTAAAAACTAGCATAAGCTGGGTGCAGTGGTACGCGCCTGTAGTTCCAGCTATTTGGGAGGCTGAGGCGGGAGGATCCCTTGAGCCTAGGAGGTTGAGGCTGCAGTGAACAATGACTGCCTGTGAATAGCCACTGCATTCCAGCCTGGGCAACGTAACAAGACCTCGTATCTTAGAAAACCAAACAAATCAGTAGTCGCTTAGGAAGCAGGAAAAAATAAATAAAAATAATTAAAACCAGCACAGTAAGAACAAATCCTAGCAAAACATAAGCTTTTCTGTTTACCAGCTAAATTGGTGCCTCCTAGTGGCAATGTGTGAAAGCAGTTTACATGTCACTACCTGCCTTCCACGAAATTATGCTAGTTTTGATGACATCTTAACTTTTCGGATAAAGGGAAGCATTAATATATTTAAAATTTACATAAAATGTATCTGGACCATATATGTTTGACAAGAGCTTTGGTTATTAAATAACCCCCATCATTCAGCTACTATTTTTCATCTTAAATATCTTCTGAATTTATCTGCTTCTCTCTCTTCCTACTTCCATTGTGTGCCCAGAGACTGGTATCTCTGTGCTGTGTGATGCCAGTAGCTGGGTTGGTTCAAGCTATTGTCTTTTCATGCTTGGACTATTATGACAGCCTTTTGACTCCCCCCTTCCTATTCTTTCCCCATAATGCATTCTCCCTATGGATGTCAGATTGTATCGTGTCACTCCCCTTCATAAAACCCTTGTGTGGCCCCCAGTGCCTTCACATTCAAGTCCTGACCCCTTGGCCTGACATTTGAAGCCTTTCACAGACACTGTATCTTACCTCTGGGCCTTTGGAAAGGCTGCTTCCAAACCTGAAATGCCTTCTCACACCCCCATCCACCGTGCTTCTGGCAAATACCTTCCTGTGTACCCCTCCAGACCCAGCCCGAGTGTTAGCCTCTTTCTTTTTATTTTTTTGAGATGGAGTCTTGCTCTGTCATCCAGGCTGGAGTGCAGTGACACGATCTCAGCTTACTGCAACCTCTGCCTCCTGGGTTCAAGCAATTCTCCTGCCACAGCCTCCCGGGTAGCTGGGATTACAGGCGTGTACCACCATGCCCAGATAATTTTTGTATTTTTAGTAGAGATGGGGTTTGGCCCCGTTGGCCAGGCTGGTCTTGAACTCCTGACCTCAAGTGACCCACCCACCTTGGTCCCCCAAAGTGCTAGGATTACAGGCTTGAGCCACGGTGCCCTGCCGACCATTAGCCTCTTCTGAAAGCCTTCCAGGCCCTCTCAGGCCACATTCTCCAGGTTATTGATGTGAGAGACAGTAAGGGGTAGAACCCTCACAAGCCCAAACTGTCGTTGCAGTGACCATTCTTCAGTGCATGAAGACAGACAGCATCCAGAACCGAACGGCCCGTGCCCTGGGGAACTTAGCCATGGAACCTGAGAGCTGTGGGGACATCCACTGTGCTGGTAAGAGGCTGTGAGGTTGGGGTCTGCTAGGGCTTGGGGCAGAAGAAAGGCTTGAGTGTCTGTCCTTGTTCACCCTCTGTGCTCCCCTTTCCTGCCCTCAGGTGCTGTTCCCCTGCTTGTGGAGAGCCTGACAGCCTGCCAGGACTCGCAGTGCCTACAGAGCGTGGTGCGTGCCCTCCGTAACCTGGCAGACTCACCCCAGCACCGCCTGGCCTTGGCACAGCAGGGAGCAGTGCGTCCGCTGGCCGAGCTCCTGGCCACTGCCCCAGATGCTGCACTGACCTTAGCCCTCGTCCGTGCCCTCCTGGAACTCAGCCGAGGCTGCTCCCGGGCCTGTGCTGAGCAGCTAAGTCTGGGTGGGGGATTGGGCCCACTCGTCAGCCTGGCTTCCCACCCCAAGCGGGCAGTACGCGAGGGAACCATTCTGATCCTCGCCAACCTGTGTGCCCAGGGCCTGATTCGGCCTGCACTGGGCAATGCTGGTGGCGTGGAGGTGCTGGTAGATGAGCTCCGGCAGCGCCGGGATCCTAATGGAGCTAGCCCAACCTCCCAGCAGCCCCTGGTGCGGGCTGTGTGCCTCCTATGTCGTGAGGCCATCAACCGGGCCCGACTGCGGGATGCTGGTGGCTTGGATCTACTGATGGGCCTGCTGCGGGACCCTCGTGCAAGCGCATGGCACCCTCGTATTGTGGCTGCCCTTGTGGGGTTTCTGTATGACACTGGGGCCCTGGGCCGGCTGCAGGCTCTGGGACTTGTGCCTCTCCTGGCTGGGCAGCTGTGTGGTGAGGCTGGTGAGGAGGAAGAAGAGGGAAGAGAAGCTGCTTCCTGGGACTTTCCTGAGGAGAGGACCCCTGAGCGGGCACAGGGTGGAAGCTTCCGGAGCCTCAGGTGAGTCCCTGCCTCAGGGCTTGGGAGGGTGAGCAGTGCAGTGATGTGGGGTTTGTGTCTGTCTTGGTCCTCTTCACTACCTCCACCCCTATTCTGTCTGAATAAGACTTTTATAACCCAGACTCCTGATTCCCACACGACCACCTGCCAGTTCCTATTTAACACACTCCACTCCCCTGAGTCTACCTTTTTTTTTTTCGAGACAGAGTCTCACTCTGTCACCTAGGCTGGAATGCAGTGGTGCCATCTCCACTCACTGCAACCTCTACCTCCTTGGTTCAAGCAGTTCTCCTGCCTCAGCCTCCCGAGTAGCTGGGATTACAGGTGCCGGCCACCACTCCCAGCTAATTTTTGTATTTTTAATAGAGACAAGGTTTCACCATGTTGGCCAGCCTGGTCTCGAACTCCTGACCTCAGGTGATCCACCCGCCTCAGCCTCCTAAAGTCCTGGGATTACAGGCATGAGCCACTGCACTGGCTGGATCTACCTTTTAACCTTGGTTCCACGCCAGCACCTTTGAACTTTGGGCCCCAGACAAGTTCACTGGGAGGTGGGATATACGCTGGTTAAGATGGTGGGCTCTGGAGTCCAAGTTCTTACTCTCTTACCATCACTCATGAGCTGAAGCATCACAGGAAAGCTGAGGAACTCTTTATTTTTTTTTAAACATTAGCGTTGGGGATCTCGCTTTGTTGCCCAGGCTGGTCTTGAACTCTTGGCTTCCAGTGACCCTCCTGGCTCAGCCTCCCAAAGTGTAGGGATTACAGATGTGAGCCACCATGCCCAGCCCCCAGCGCTTCCTATTTCCTTTTTATTTTCTCCATGACCCCTGTACTCTACACTAGCCCCACACTAACATAACTCATGGTACTCTTACTTCTTGTCTGCTTCTTCTCACTGGAACATAAACTCCAGGGGGACAGGCACTTTGTTCAGTGCTTCTACCCAGCACCTAAAGAACGGCTTGGCACGTGACAGGCATCAGTAATTACTGAATGAGGTTTTAGTCGTATCCCCCTCTCACTTCCGTTTCTCCCCTTTCTCCGCCCTCCTTCTCTCCCCTGGCTTTACCTCCCTCCAAGACAGCTTTTAGCTCATGCAGTGGCTCACGCCTGTAATCCTAGCACCTTGGGAGGCCAAGGCAGGAGGATCGCTTGAGCACAGGAGTCCGAGACCAGCCTGGGCAACATAGCGAGACCCATCTCTACAAAACATTTAAAAAATTAGCTGAGTGTGGTGCACACAGCTGTAGTGCCAGCTACTTGGGAGGCTGAGGTGGGAGGATCACTTGAGCTCAGGAGTTCAAGGCTGCAGTGAGCTAGGATCCCACAACTGCATTCCAGCCTGGGCTATAGAGGGATACCACATTTCTTTAAAAAAAAAAAAAAAAAAAAAAAAGACGCCTCACGCCTCTTGGACTCTGCCCCTTAACCTTGGCTCTGGGTTCAGTCTCCTTCCCTTTCTGCCCTCCGCAGGTCGTGGCTGATCTCCGAGGGCTATGCCACAGGCCCTGATGACATCTCCCCCGACTGGTCTCCTGAGCAGTGTCCGCCGGAGCCCATGGAGCCGGCCAGCCCCGCCCCGACCCCGACCTCGCTGCGGGCACCACGCACCCAACGCACTCCGGGCCGCAGCCCCGCCGCCGCCATCGAGGAGCCTTGGGGACGCGAAGGGCCAGCCCTGCTGCTGCTGTCGCGCTTTTCCCAGGCCCCTGACCCAAGTGGGGCACTTGTGACCGGCCCGGCGCTGTACGGCCTGCTGACCTATGTGACCGGCGCACCGGGCCCGCCCAGCCCACGTGCACTGCGCATTCTGTCACGCCTCACCTGCAACCCTGCCTGCCTCGAGGCCTTCGTGCGCAGCTATGGCGCGGCGCTGCTGCGGGCCTGGCTGGTGCTGGGGGTGGCGCCTGACGATTGGCCGGCACCACGTGCCCGGCCCACTCTCCACAGCCGGCACCGAGAGCTGGGTGAGTTCCCATACCCACCCGTCTCCTTGCCCCCATGTGAGTCCCCATCCTCCCCCATGGCTTCCATGGGCCCAGAACCTCACCTTCCCACTCACCTGTCCTCCCCAGCCCGTCCTCCAGACAACCTGTCACCAGAGTGGGGTGGGGAGCAGGGCGTTCCAGTCCCTCCATGGGCCCACAGGCAGAGTTCTGCTGTGTCCTCTGCCCTAGCCCTGGGACCCAGATACCCTAACTCTAGATGCAGCCCCGCGCCCAGGATCTGGGCTGGTCTGTGCTTCTTTCCTGGCTCTGCCATTGGTTCAGCACTGTCCTGACTGCTCCCCACCAGCACGCTGACCTGTGAACCCCAGCCTCACCATCACCCCCAGCACTGCCAGGGACTGCCCTGTCTGCTGTGCCCTGACCACAGGCTGCTTCATGGCGTTACTGCTAGACCAAGGAGCCCTTCTGCTGGCCCTGTCCGGGCATAACAGAAGGCTCGCACTCTTGTCTTCTGGTCACACCTCACTATGTCCCCTCAGCTCCTATCTCTGTATGGCCTGGTTTTTCCCAGGTTATGATTATAGAGCGAGGATTATTACAATATTGGGATAAAGAGTAATTACTACAAACTAATGATTAATGATATTCATATATCTCTAAGATCTATATCTGGTATAACTATTCTTGTTTTATATTGTATTATACTGGAACAGCTCGTGTCCTCCGTCTCTTGCCTCGGCGCCTGGGTGGCTTGCCGCCCACACTTCAGGGGCCCAGACTTACACCCTGACTGTCCCACCTTCTGTCCTTGTCCTGGACCTCAGGTTCCCAGCGTCCCGAGCCCAGCACTGTCTCTTCAGTGCCCTGATTTCTCACCCAGAGGTTTCACCCTCCTTCATCTCACGGGCCCAGAGCCCTGTCTCACTCACCCCACCTGTCTTAGACCCCAGTTCCCAGCCTGACAAGCTTTCCACTCACAGGGGAGAGGCTACTGCAGAACCTGACGGTTCAGGCTGAGTCGCCCTTTGGGGTTGGGGCCCTGACGCACCTGCTGCTCTCTGGGAGCCCTGAGGACCGAGTGGCCTGCGCGCTGACCCTGCCCTTCATCTGCCGGTGAGTGGGAAGTGGGTGCCTTGCGGGGTTGGGGGAGGAGTGCTGTGTTTCCCAGGCCCGTTGCCCACCTTTTGAAAGGCCCTCTCTTCCCTGTAGGAAGCCCTCTCTGTGGCGCCGGCTGCTTCTGGAGCAGGGTGGTCTCCGGCTCCTCCTTGCGGCGCTGACCCGGCCGGCCCCACACCCGCTCTTCCTCTTCTTTGCCGCGGACTCCCTTTCCTGCCTCCAAGACCTGGTGTCTCCCACTGTGAGCCCAGCTGTCCCACAGGCAGTCCCCATGGACCTAGACTCACCTTCCCCTTGCCTCTATGAACCTCTGCTGGGCCCAGCCCCTGTCCCAGCTCCCGACCTGCACTTCCTGCTGGACTCAGGCCTCCAGCTCCCTGCCCAGCGAGCGGCCTCAGCCACCGCCTCCCCTTTCTTCCGGGCCCTGCTGTCAGGCAGCTTTGCAGAAGCCCAGATGGACCTGGTGCCCCTGCGAGGTCTGTCGCCTGGTGCAGCCTGGCCTGTCCTGCATCATTTGCATGGTTGTCGGGGGTGTGGGGCTGCCCTGGGGCCCGTGCCCCCACCAGGCCAGCCCCTGCTGGGTTCAGAGGCCGAGGAGGCACTGGAGGCTGCTGGCCGTTTCCTACTGCCTGGGCTGGAGGAGGAGCTGGAAGAGGCCGTGGGCCGCATCCACCTGGGACCCCAGGGTGGCCCGGAGTCAGTGGGTGAGGTGTTCCGCCTGGGCCGGCCCCGGCTGGCTGCCCACTGTGCCCGCTGGACACTGGGGTCAGAGCAGTGCCCGAGGAAGCGGGGTCTGGCCCTGGTGGGGCTTGTGGAGGCAGCAGGTGAAGAGGCAGGGCCCCTGACGGAGGCTTTGCTGGCTGTGGTGATGGGGATTGAGTTGGGGGCAAGGGTCCCTGCCTAGACTGTTGACGTCCCCTGGGAAGGGGACCCAAGGATGAATTGGCTGTGAAGGATCCTCCCTGAGACTGGCAAGGGAGGAGGCTGAGCAGAAGGAGTCATCATGGAGGAGCGGTGAGAACATGGAACCGGACTCCAAGATGACGATCTAAAGACCCGGGAGCGAGAAGCCAAGGCCAGGTTCTGGGTGTAGGGCCCAGAGAAGCAGAACAGCCCAGAGCCCCAGGTGCCTGGCCTGGCCTAGACCTCTGGAATTGAGATTAAACAATTTGGAGTTGGATACCTGTGTTGTGTGGTGTGTCTGCTTCTGTTTCTTCGCCCACCAAGCAGGGTCTTGTTCAGGTCTTTGTGTCTGGACACAGACCACCCTTGCATGTGACAGTTTAATAAGTACTGGGACAAGGTTGAGTTCCCAGGCTGCTGCTTAGGATGTGGTTTTGGGCCTCAGGGGAAGCCTGCTTCCTGCTGTCAGGGCCTCACTCCTCTGACATAGCAACCCAACTGGACACACAGATCTTGCTTGGGGCTGAAAGGGTTGTGCTGAGGGAATGCTGTTAGTCTGATGATGTGTTGAAGGCCTTTGCATTACTGACTGTTGCCCATCTTGGGCCCCCATTCTTTGGCTCCCTTTTCATCTCCTGGGCCACGTGTCCTACTGCTGTCTGTCTGAGGGAAGACCTGCTGTGGAGGGAATCTCTGAGCCCTGTCTTAGTCATGCCCAGAGACAGACAAAGACCTGTGCTGGCGTTGAGGGGAGGGAAGGGCTCACATTGCTTTGGTCTCCAAGGCAGGGTCTCCATCATCTGGCTTCCAGATCTTTTTTTTTTTTTTTTTTTTTGACTATTATTTTGCTTTAGATTCAGGGGGCACGTGCATGTTTGTTACACGGGTGTATTGTGTACTGGGGAGGATTGGGTTTCTAGTGAACCCATTACCCAAAGAGTGAACACTATACCCACTAGGCAATTTTCCAGCCTTTGCCCCGCACCTACCCGCCCCCCTTTTGGAGTCCCCAGTGTCTGTTTCTATCTTCATGCCCCTGTGTACCCATTGCTTAGTTCCCACTTATAACGGAGAACATGCAGTATTTGGTTTTCTGTGTCTGAGTTAGTTTACTTAGGATAATGGCCTCCAGCTCCATTCATGTTCCTGCAAAGGACGTTATTTCATTTTTTAAGGCTGTGTACTATTCCATGGTGTATATGTACCACATTTTCCTTTTTTTTTTTTAAGAGACAGGGTCTTGCTATGTTGCCCAGGCTGGTCTCAAAATCCTAAGTTCAAGCAGTTCTCCTGCCTCAGACTCCTAAAATGCTGGGATTTATAGGCACGAGCCACTGTGCCAGCCAACATTTTCTTTATTCAGTCACCCATTGATGGATACTTAGGTTGGGTCCATGACTTTGCTATTGTGAATAGTACTGCAATAAACACAATGAGTCCAGCTGTCTTTTACATGATTTCTTTTCCTGTGGGTAGATGCTCGTTAGTGGGATTTCTGAGTCAAATGATAGTTCTAGTTGTAGGTCTTTGAGAAATCTCTATGCTGTTTTCCAGAGAGGTTGAGCTAATTTACATTCCCACCAACAGTGTATAAGTATTCCTCTTTCTCCACATTCATGCCAACATCTGTTGCTCTTTTACTGTTTAATAATTGGCTTGCAGATTTTTGACTCCTCAGTGGCAGCCTGATTTTGGGGAGAGCTGCACTGGGCCTGCCAAGGTTTGCTTCTGGGCAGCTGAGGTTGGCACTTGCTGTCTCTGAGCCTCTGTGAGTGTTGGTCCAGGTCTCTGGTTTTCAGGCTATGCATTAGAACCAAGCAGTGAGCTTTGAAAAACTATTGATGCCTGGGGTCTTTTTGCTCACATTGGACTGGGCATCGGTATTTTATTTTATTTTATTTTATTTTTTGGAATCTTGTTCTGTCACCCAGGCTGGAGTGTGGTGGTACAATATTGACTCATTGCAGCCTCCGCCTCTCTGGTTCAAGCAATTCTCATGCCTCAGCCTCCCAAGTAGCTGGGATTACAGGTGCCACCATGCCCGGCTAACTTTTTTTGTATTTTTAGTAGAAATGGGGTTTCACCATGTTGGCCAGCCTGGTCTCGAACTCCTGACCTCAGGTGATCTGTCTGCCTTGGCCTCCCAAAGTGCTGGGATTACAGGCGTGAGCCACCGCGCCCAGTCAGGCCCTATCTTCAAATATAGTCACACTGAGGGTTGAACTGTGATGTATAAATGTGGGGGAGACACAAACATTCAGTCCATAACACTCCCTTTCCCCCAACCCTAGGCAATCACTAATCTACATCGTATCTCTACAGATGACCTATTCTGGACATGTCATATAAATGGAATCATACAATGTGTGATCTTTCATATCTGGCCTCTTTCATATAGCTTAATGTTATCAAGGTTCATCCACACTGTAGCATCTCATTTCTTTTTATTAGGAATAATACAGTTTCACTTTATGGATTGCTGTGGTTTGAACATGTACCCCAGAGTTCATGTGTTGGAAACTTAACCCCCAATTCAACTGTTGAGAGGTGGGAACTTTAAGAAGTGATTAGGTTATGTGGGCTCTTCCCTCATGAATGGATTAATGGCATTATTGCATGAGTAGGTTAGTTATCAAGGGAGTGGACAGCTGATAGATAAATGGATGGGTTCTGCCCCCACCCCACCCCCTCTCTTGCACTGTCTTGCCCTTCTGCTTTCTGCTGTGGGATGAGGCAGAAAGAAGGCCCTCACCAGATGCAGGGCCCTTGACCTTCGACTTCCCAACCTCTAGAACTGAAAGAAAGATATTTCTATTCTTTATAAATTATCCAGCCTTAGGCATTCTACGATGCAGCACAAAACAGACTAAGACATGGATATGCCACTTTCATTTCTTCAATCATCAGTTGACGGACATTTGGGTTGTTTCCACTCGGGCTATTATGAATAATGCTGCTATGAATACTCATGTACAAGTTTTTTTGTGGAATATGCTTTTATTTCTCTTGGTTACATATCTAGAAGGGAAATTGCTGGATCATATAACTCTATGTTTAAACATGTGAGGAACTGCCAGACCATTTTCCAAAGTTAGTGAACGATTTTACATTCCAACCAGCCATGTGTGAGGGTTCCAATCTCTCCATATCCTCACAAAAACTTGCTAATTACCTCTTTCTTTTCAGCTTTTTTTTTTTTTTTTTTTGAGTCGGAATCTCACTCTGTCACCAGGCTGGAGTGCAGTGGCACAATCTCTGCTCACTGCAACCTCTGCCTCCCGAGTTCAAGTGATTCTCCTGCCTCAGCCTCCCGAGTAGCTGGGATTACAGGTGCCTGCCACCACACCCAGCTAATTTTTGTATTTTTAGTAGAGACGGGGTTTTGCCAAGTTAACCAGGCTGGTCTCCAACTCCAGACCTCAGGTGATCCGCCCGCCTCGGCCTCCCAGAGTGTTGGGATTACAGGCGTGAACCACTGAGCCTGGCCTTTAAAATATTATCATTATTATTTGAGATGGAGTCTCGCTCTGTTGCTCAGGCTGGAGTGCAGTGGCACGATCTCAGCTCACTGCAGCCTCCACCTGCCAGGTTCAAGGGATTCTTCCGCCTCAGCCTCCCAAGTAGCTGGGACTACAGGTGCCCACCACCATGTCTGGCTAATTTTTTTGTGTGTTTTTAGTAGAGACTGTTTTCACCATGTTAGCCAGGCTGGTCTCGAACTCCTGACCTCAGGGGATCCACCCACCTCGGCCTTCCAAAGTGTTAGGATTACAGGTGTGAGCCACTGCTCCTTGCCTAATTACCTGTCTTTTTTGTTATTGCCATCCTAATAGGTATGATGTGGCATCTCATTGTAGTTTTGATTTGCATTTCTCTGGGGACTAATGATGTTGAGGATCTTTTCATGTAATCATTGGCTATTTATATAACTTCTTTGAACTGTCTATTCAGGTCGTTTGCCCATTTTTTCTTCTTTTTCTTTTTTATTCTTGACACAGGGTCTCCTCTGTTGCTCAGGAGTTCAGTGGCACAATCTCAGCTCACTGCAGCCTCTGCCTCCAGGTTTCAAGCAATTCTCCTGTCTCAGCCTCCCAAGTAGCTGGAATTACAGGCTCCCACCACCACGCACAGCTAATTTTGTGTTTTTAGTAGAGATGGGGTTTTGTCATGTTGGCCAGGCTGGTCTCGAACTCCTGACCTCAAGTGACCTGCCCGCCTTGACCTCCCAAAGTGCTAGGATTATAGGTGTGAGCCACCATGCCTGTCTCGCATTTTTAAAAAGCTCCCCAGGTTGTTCCGATTTGCTGCTGGGTTGATACTCACATTCCAGTGCTCAGATCTGTCCAGAAGAGTGGCTGCAGCACAGTTGTCTGTCCATAACTACCTCTATGGCCTCTCGTTTCCACCTCGTTTCTCAGGGTCTCAGTCCAGGGAAGGCCTTGCCACTTTGTGGCTGGAGACTGTGTCTTGCTTTCTGCTCTGAGTTCATCAGTAACTTGGGAAAGGGCTGTTTCAGAGCAGGCCTGGGCCACCTCAGTGCTGAGGAAGGGCTTTGTCTTGCAGGCTGGCTGGGGGTTGGTTGCCTGGGAGTGTTTTCCCCGAATTTGCAAGGGGCTTGCGCCCGGGTTCGAGTTTACGTGTGTCCATGACCAAGTCTTGGAGGGAAGGTCCTAGTGTAGAGTCTGTGGGTGGGTTCACTGTGTCTGTCCCCGTCCCTCAGATTTCTTTGTGTCTGGTATGTATGCCTCTTGGGGCCTCTATTTATCTGTCAGGGTCTCCGATGGGAGGGTCTCCGAACCTGAGGTCTAATTGAGCCTTAGAATATCACTCCTGCTACCAATCCAAAAATTCCGTCTGGGACAAGTCTCCCAGGAATGGCATGGGTGGGAGGGAGGCTCTTGTCTAGGACTCAGGCGCTAGCTTTGAGCGGTGTCTGTTTGGGGGCCTCAGTCCGTGTCTGTAAGTCTCCCTAGGGAGCGGCTCTGGGGCTTGGTCTGGAGAAGCCACTTCTCTCTGGCTCTGGCCTCCTGGGGCTCCCTGCAGCTGAGGCCAAGGCTGGGGTGTGGCCGCCTCCGCGGCAGGCCGGCGGGCTGGGCTCGGGTGGGCCGGGGCGCTCCCTCCTTTCCACGCCCCCACCTCGGGTTCCCCCGTTCATCGCCCCCCCATCCCCATCTCAGCGGGTCCCGGCTTCCTTACATGGTCACGGCCGGGCTTCCAGCTCCCGGACGTCCCCCGCCCCCCGCCCCCACCGGACACGGCCCCCGCCCTGTTCGCCCCGCGCCACCGGCCCGCGCCCCGCCATGGAGGACCTGGGTGAGTGGGGCCGGATCCCCGGGTCCGTGGCCCCTCACCGCTGCCCAGAGCTGCCTCCCCGCCGTCGCTCTCCCGCATCTCCCCATCCCTGTCTTCTTACTTCTGCTTTTCGCCTCTGCCCGCGCCTCCTTTCCAACTCCACGTCCCCCTTCCTGCCTCTCCCTTCCTGCCTTTCCTGGGCCGGCCGCTCCCTCCCTTCTTCCCTCGCTGTGCTCCTCCATCCCAGGCTGCGGCAGATGGAACGGGAGGTGCGGCGCCCGCGGGCGCCCGGGCGCGGGGCTCTGGGGAGGGAGGGGTTAAAGGGGCCTCGGCCCGGGGACCGGGAAAGTAGAGGGCACGGGAAAGTCTGGCATCAAGTTTTGGAGAAAAAAAGCGGGCCTGCCTGCACCAGAGTTTTGGGAGAGGAGGAGTTAAGGGCTCCTGAGCACAGTGAGGGTCAGGTCCTTGAGGCAAGGAAGAGAATAGTAACTCAGGAGTGCCTAGGCGCCCGCGAAGGCTTCAGGGTTTCACGCGGGTGCTCAGAGACGAAGACTGAGGGCAGGACTTCTGGGTTCTGGAAGTGAAAGGGCTCAAAAGACCCGGATCTGGGGATGCAGGGATGGAGAGAGGTGTCTTGTCCGGAAGGGGGACCCAGGTATCTCGTCCTCCCTGCGAAGCCTGGGGCTGGAAGGCTGTGCGCTCCACGGGAGAGAGGGGCTTCCGGCCCCTGGCGGTAGAGGGCGCTGCTCGGTAGGGGTAACTGACGCTGTACCGCAGATAAACAGCCAATCAGAAGGCAGGTCCCAGCGAAGCGCCAGTGAGGAGCCCAGGGCGGGACTCAGGGGCCTGGGAGTGGCCAGGCTGGGCGGGGCCTGTGTAGGTAGAGGGAGGAGTTAACCAGCATGGAAGAGAGAGCGTCCAATCAGAAAGCTGAGGGCCAGGCACTGGGCCAATGGAGCAATTTGGAGGGGAGCCAAATTTGGCTTGGGTGAAGAGCCCATTTTGACTGCATCAGAGAAGATGGGGAGAATAAAATAATCAGGAGGCTGGGTTTGTGCTTGGCTCCAAGCGTGAGCAACTGGGATATTCTGGTCATAAATATTCCTTGCTACCCTTCGAGCAGTGCTCTGCCTGGCTCTGGCCCTGTGACCTCTTCTCTTAATACTGGCTTCTGTCCTTCTCCAGTACTGCCCACTGGGAACCTTATCTTCTGATCTAACCGTGACCCTTGTCTCTCTCCCTGATGGCCTCTTCCTGCAGATGCCCTGCTCTCTGACCTGGAGACTACCACCTCGCACATGCCAAGGTCAGGGGCTCCCAAAGAGCGCCCTGCGGAGCCTCTCACCCCTCCCCCATCCTATGGCCACCAGCCACAGGTGAGATCGGATGTTGGGGACTGGGGCAGCCACTAGGGCCAGGCTCGGCCTGGTCTATGGGGATCTCAGCCTCAGTGGGGCAGAGTGCAGGCCTGTCATCCCACCTGTGCGTCTCCGCTCTGTAGACAGGGTCTGGGGAGTCTTCAGGAGCCTCGGGGGACAAGGACCACCTGTACAGGTGAGGGGCCTGGAAACCAGGGCATGGGGGCCAACTGAGTCTCAGGTGAGGAGGCTTGGATTCCCCACCCCTGAACCCAGGCTCCCACTCTGCTTCCCAGCACGGTATGCAAGCCTCGGTCCCCAAAGCCTGCAGCCCCGGCGGCCCCTCCATTCTCCTCTTCCAGCGGTGTCTTGGGTACCGGGCTCTGTGAGCTAGATCGGTTGCTTCAGGAACTTAATGCCACTCAGTTCAACATCACAGGTACCAGGGTGACTGAGAGAGGCCTTGATGCGATAGGGGCAGGGGAGGGAAGGGTGGGGCAGAGACTAAGAGGAATACACTTCCCAGAGTAGCAGTTAAAGGGACCTAAAGCCTCAAGTGTGAGGGTGCGTTGAGCATGGCCCTATATGTAGCGTCCTCCTCTCCTCTCTCCAGATGAAATCATGTCTCAGTTCCCATCTAGCAAGGTGGCTTCAGGAGAGCAGAAGGAGGACCAGTCTGAAGATAAGAAAAGACCCAGCCTGTGAGTTTGGCGTCGTTGTCAGGGCTGAGAGATGAGTCCTGGATATCTGAGTCACTAGAGGGAGCGTTGCTCTGGGAGGCTCTGAGATGACACAAGCATGTTCTTCACAGCCCTTCCAGCCCGTCTCCTGGCCTCCCAAAGGCTTCTGCCACCTCAGCCACTCTGGAGCTGGATAGACTGATGGCCTCACTCTCTGACTTCCGCGTTCAAAACCATGTGAGTTGGGCAGTGGGCCAGTGTCCATTTGTGGCTCCCCAACCCCTTCTAGACAATTCCACATCTGCTGCTTTGCTGACTCAATTCTCATGTCCTCCCCGCTGCAGCTTCCAGCCTCTGGGCCAACTCAGCCACCGGTGGTGAGCTCCACAAATGAGGGCTCCCCATCCCCACCAGAGCCGACTGGCAAGGGCAGCCTAGACACCATGCTGGGGCTGCTGCAGTCCGACCTCAGCCGCCGGGGTGTTCCCACCCAGGCCAAAGGCCTCTGTGGCTCCTGCAATAAACCTATTGCTGGGCAAGTAAGTGGAGCCTTGTGAGAAGGGAGGCAGAGACCTGTCACAGACCCATCTTTAGTGAGAGCTGGGCTTTATGCTGTTCCCTTTTAGTAAGTTAATCTGGGAAGTGGGTATCATTATTACTTATGTTTTATGGATGAGGAAACTGAAGCTCTGAACCACACAGCAGGTTAGTGGTAGGGTGAAAATTCCAACCATGTTACCATTTATTGTGGTCCTACTGTGTGCCAGGCACTGTGCCAGCTCCTTTACAAACCCTCATCTCATCTGATCTTCACAAAACACTCTGTGGCTCCACCCAATATCTCTCAGGCATCTACAAAGGCTCTCTCTTCCTCCGTCAGAGTCTGGACTGGGTTCACTGGTCCTTGTTTTATTGACTGAGCAGATGTGATTGACAACAGCTGTGCCTAGGGGTTAACCTAGTGCCCCCTGCTAGATCAAGTACCTGACTCCCAGCCCAGAATTGCCCATCTCAGCAAAGGAGGGTGGCATTGTGACTTTTGTGGATCATAGGCACTTTCATCTTCATGAGT
The DNA here is from genome assembly GCF_000001405.40 of Homo sapiens. Lineage (NCBI taxonomy): Eukaryota > Metazoa > Chordata > Mammalia > Primates > Hominidae > Homo > Homo sapiens. The sequence goes on from NC_000016.10 coordinate 31,475,291, forward strand.
CCCTTCGTCCATTAAAATAAATAGATTTTTATGTCTGTGTTGGTGTAAAGATGGGTATGTTATTATTGTGTATTACAGCATTTTCTTCTAGTTCATTTTTTTATTCTGAATTTTTAAAAACGGATTTTTCACTTCCTCCCTCTTATTTATTTTGAGGCAAATTCTCACTCTTGTGACCCAAGCTGGAGTGCAGTGGTGCGATTGTGGCTCACTGCAGCCTCGACCTTCTGGGCTCAAGTGATCCTCCCAGCTCAGCCTCCCGAGTAGCTGGGACTAAAGGCGCCCGCCACCTCGCCCAGCTAATTTTATTTATTTATTGTAGAGATGGGGCTTCGCCATGTTGCCCAGGCTGGTCTCAAACTCCTGGACTCAAGTAATCCTCCCACCTCAGCCTCCCAAATGCTAGGATTAGAGGCACGAGCCACCCAGCCTGATCGTATTTTGATTTTAAAAAAATTAAAACGTTTTTATGGGCCCCTAAATGTATTGTGGGCTCCAGGCGCTGTGCCTGCTGTGCCTCATGTATAGGTCAATCCTGGAGCGCAGCTGGAAGACGGAACACGGGAGCTAGATCTCCATCGCTTACAGGCTGCGTGATCTCGAACACTGGATTCTTTATTCTGATCGCTCAGAGAGGACTCGAAAAACGCCGCGTAAATCTTGCCTCACTGGGCATGTGGTTGTCAGAGCCGCTCTGACCCGCCTCACCTCCCACTCGCAGGTGGTGACGGCTCTGGGCCGCGCCTGGCACCCCGAGCACTTCGTTTGCGGAGGCTGTTCCACCGCCCTGGGAGGCAGCAGCTTCTTCGAGAAGGATGGAGCCCCCTTCTGCCCCGAGTGCTACTTTGAGCGCTTCTCGCCAAGATGTGGCTTCTGCAACCAGCCCATCCGACACGTGAGCCCCGCCCGGCCGCACCGAGCCCGCCCTATCTCACCAGGAGAGCTGTGGGACGGGCCTCCACCGCATGGGTCCCGCCCCACCCGCGATACCCCACTCCACCCCTACCCCTTCCCCTTGGCAATGTCCACGGCCCCTTGGACTCCACTCTTCCTTTCTGACCCCCACGTTCCTAGTTAGATCTTCTCCCCCTCCCCCCACGCATGCCTTAGTCCAGTCACCCGGGTTCCGCGCGGGAGAGGAAGGCGCGAAGGCACGGAGGCCGCGCTGAGTGCCCTCTCCCTCCCTGCAGAAGATGGTGACCGCCTTGGGCACTCACTGGCACCCAGAGCATTTCTGCTGCGTCAGTTGCGGGGAGCCCTTCGGAGATGAGGGTGAGAGTGAACTCGACTCCCATCTTAAAAGCTGCGGGTCCCCTCGACGTCTCGCCCCAGCCCCTCCGACCTCCGGAGTCCTCAGGGCCATGGTTTTCCTTCTGCTCTCTTCTGGCCCTGCCCTCTCCTACACAGACTCCGGACCCGAGCCCTCCCCGCTCTGTCCCGCCATAGACCCGGCTCCTCCTTCCCCAAGGCTCCCTCGGACTGCCCCTCCTTCGGCCCCAGATCTCAGGTCTTGTGGGTCCCCCGTCCCGCCCGCACCCTTTGCTTTCAGCCCACTCGGTTCCCTCTCCTAGGTTTCCACGAGCGCGAGGGCCGCCCCTACTGCCGCCGGGACTTCCTGCAGCTGTTCGCCCCGCGCTGCCAGGGCTGCCAGGGCCCCATCCTGGATAACTACATCTCGGCGCTCAGCGCGCTCTGGCACCCGGACTGTTTCGTCTGCAGGGTGCGAGCTGCGGGGCGGGGCGTTGGAGGGGCGGGTCAAGGGTACAGGGCTGTGGGGCGGGGCCTTGGAGGGGCGGGTCAAGGGTGCAGGGCAGGGGGCGGGCCCTCGGGGGGGCGGGTCACGGGAGGTGCTGCTAGGAACCTCGGGTGGGGCGAGTTTTCCGGGCAGGGTCCCACCGGACGGGATTCTTCGCGTCTAGGGCGGGCTGCGGGGTCCCAGGGCGTTATCCGCTAGTAACGCGCGTTGTCTGGCAGTGGCCGCTGACCTGTCTGTCCTCTTTCGCGGCTTCCCTTCCCCAGGAATGCTTCGCGCCCTTCTCGGGAGGCAGCTTTTTCGAGCACGAGGGCCGCCCGTTGTGCGAGAACCACTTCCACGCACGACGCGGCTCGCTGTGCGCCACGTGTGGCCTCCCTGTGACCGGCCGCTGCGTGTCGGCCCTGGGTCGCCGCTTCCACCCGGACCACTTCACATGCACCTTCTGCCTGCGCCCGCTCACCAAGGGGTCCTTCCAGGAGCGCGCCGGCAAGCCCTACTGCCAGCCCTGCTTCCTGAAGCTCTTCGGCTGACAGCCCGCTCGGCTCGCCCTCTCCCCCGGAGGCCGCGCCCTCCCGGAAAAGCCGGGTCCTCCAGACCCCGAGGCCTTGCTCTCAGAGCGGGAGGCCCCACCCACTGGAGAGCCCCGCCCCTAAGGTACTATGAGTCCTCAGGGGTCAAGTTCAGAAACGGCCCAGCCAGACCTAAACCCACACGCCCACAAAGTGGATTGCACACAGACAAGAACTCCCGTGCGGGCCTCCACTCTATTCCCACCCTTGAGGGAGCCCCCTTACTGGGGGAGGGTCCTTGCAATTCCAGCGAATCGGAGGCCAGGCCAGGACGTCCTTGCTCCCTGCACCCTCACTGTTCTGTGCACTTTTTCTACCTACATAAACACACGCATTCCACCTCTCCCTGGTGCTGTCTCTGAATGCGCGCAGGAGCTTGGCCCTGACTCCCCACCCCCGCGCTGGCTCTGTCCCCGGCCGTCTCTAGGTCACTGCCCTGTGGCCGCAGCGGGACCTGCAGCCTCAGCCCTTGCAGGTAGCCACTCCTGCACTTCCTACTTCAAGTATCAGATGAGCCTGAGGCTGGAAAGTGTGGCGACTCGCGCAGGACTGTACAGATAGTGGCAGAGCCAGGACAAGAGCTCCAACTGGGGCCCCACCGAATATTCCCGCCCTCATTACTCTTTCTTCAGTTCTATATTTTGTTTTGTTTTGTTTTGTCCTAAGAGATGAGGTCTCACTTTGTCGCCCAGGCTGGAGTACAGTGGTGCCATAGCTCACTGCAACCTCGAACTCCTGGTCTTGAGCGATCCTCCCGCCTTGGCCTCCCAAAGTACTGGGATTGCAGGTGTGAGCCACTGTGCCCGCCCTTCCCTTTATTCTTGAAATAAGCGCTTACAGTGGTTCATGCCTGTAATCCTGGCACTGTGGGAGGCCAGGGCGGGTGAATCACTTGAGGCCAGGAGTTTGAGACCAGCCTGGCCAACATGGGGAAACCCCGTCTCTACTACAAATACAAAAATTAGCTGGGTATGGTGGCACACGCTTGTAATCCCAGCTTCTCTGGAGGCTGAGGCAGGAGAATCAATTGAACTTGGGAGGCAGAGGTTGCAGTGAGCCGAGATCACGCCACTGCACTCCAGCCTGGGCAACAGAGCGAGACTCCGTCTCAAAAAAAAAAAAAAAAAAAAAAAAAAGAAAGAAAAGAAAGGAAGAAAGAAAGAGAAAGGAAGAAGGAAGGAAGGAAGGAGAGAGAAAGAACTTAATCTGCTCCCCTCCTGCACTGCCTTTGGTTCCCAGATTTTTTCTCCTATTAAAGGGCCTTGAGGGATGGAGCTCTATTCAGAGTGCCAGCTGTGCTCACCTTTTGGTTCTGGGCACTAAGGTACAGCTTCCCTCTTACTATTGACCCACAACATCTTGGATCACCTGAATGTTTCATGTAGTTACGGCCTCAGCTTAACCCTTTCTCACTCCCACCCCCAGGTGTCCCAGTCAAGGCAGAACAATCAGCGCACTCAGAGCCATTACTTACTGTCCCTGCTGGCCTGTCTGCCACCACCTGAGGCTTCTCCCGGCCTAGCCCTGTGCTGGGTGGTGCTGGGTCCAGAGATGAGTCAGGCTCACTGCCCTGGAGAGCCCCAGGCTGAGGAGGCAGATACCTGGACAGAGGATGACACTTGGTGTGGCCAGGTTGTGACTGAGGGAAGCACTGGGGGCTGTAGAAGCCAGAAGGTGGCTTCTTAACCCAGACTGGGAGTCAAGGGATGCATCCTGGAGTAACTGACACCCAAGACCTGAGCCAAGTCCTAGCAGAGAAGGATGGGGCCAGGGGTTTTCAGGTGTGGAAGATGGAGCCAAGGGTTTCAGGTGTGAAGAAGTTCAGGTTCCATCTGAGTCCCTAAGTCCCAGGGTGGTCCCCTGGGTCTAGACTCTAGGGACCTCTGGTGCTGGAAATGATAGGTCCTCAGAGCCCTTTCCAGCTCATCAGGAAGAGCTAGAAGCCGCAGGGAGCATGTATGGGCACAAGGAAAAGGTGAGGCGTCCATGGCCCCAGCCTCTCCCAGGCCCCCAGATCTCTTCCTCTCTAAGGCTCCTCTCCCATGGTCTTCCCAGGTCTCCTGCTCTTCCCCTTCCACATATTCTCCCCAAAGAATGTACCCCCAACCCCAGCCTGTAATCACCTCCCTATCTTGAGGATGCCCAAATTGGCATTCATTCATTCACCAAATATTTATTGAGCACTCCTGTGCCAGGCTCTGGGGAGACAATGGGGAACCAAGCAGCTATGACCCTTGCTTTCAGGGAGCTGAAGTCTAGTAGCGGAGACAGATGACAGCCAAGTACAAAGGTGACATGCGTGATGAAGGAGCGGTACCTTCCCGACCGCCTAGCTAAAGCCAATGCTTCCCTGGTTTCCGTGCCACGGCCCCTCCCTAGTTCCTTCCTAGCATGCAGTGCTCTTGCAAGTAGGAGTTTTTGTTTTTGTTTTTTTGAGACAGAGTTTCGCTCTGTTGCCCAGGCTGGGGTGCAGTGGTGCCATCTGGGCTCACTGCAACTTCTGCCTCCTGAGGTTGAACCTCTGGGTTCAAGCGATTCTCTTGCCTCAGCCTCCTGAGTAGCTGGGATTACAGGCTTGTGCCACCACTCCTGGCTACTTTTTTTCTGAGATGGAGTTTCGCTCTTGTTGCCCAGGCTGGAGTGCAATGGCGTGATCTCAGCTCACTGCAACCTCTGCCTCCCGGGTTCAAGAGATTCTCCTGCTTCAGCCTCCCGAGTATCTGGGATTAGAGGCATGCACCACCACACCCGGCTAATTTTGTATTTTTAGTAGAGACGGGGTTTCTCCATGTTGGTCGGGCTGATCTCGAACTCCTGACCTCAGGTGATTCACCCGCCTTGGCCTCCCAAAGTGCTGGGATTACAGGCGTGAGCCACTGCACCCAGCCCTAATTTTTATATCTTTAGTAAAGACGGGGTTTCACTTTGTTGGCCAGGCTGGTCTCGAACTCCTGACCTCAGGTGATTCCCCTGCCTCAGCCTCCAAAAATGCTGGGATTACAGGCATGAGCCACCACACCTGGACCTTATTGTTTCTGGCTTCTGTCTGATTCTGCAACCGGAACAGAAGCTCCCGAGAGCAGGCAGTGCATTTGTTTTGCTGACCATTTTCTCCCTGGTGTCTAGAACAGGTCCAGTACATAGCCAGTCTCCATACGTGTTTGTTAATGAAGGAAGGAACCAGGAAGGAAGGAAAGAGAGAGAGTACAATGGATGAAATAGAGAACTAAGTTAGGGGAGGTGGGGAAGAGATTACTTTCACCAGGTAGTAAAATGTAAGGTCTCAGCTGAGAGCCGAACATGGAGAAGGAGCCAGCTGTGCAAGGCGCCAAGGAGAGCATTCCCGGCAGACAGGAAGCAGGTGCAAAGGCCAGGGAGGAGGAGAGAGTCTGATGCCTTGGAAGAAAGAAGGCCACTGTGGCTGGACTGGAGCCAGCAATGGGGAGGCCAAAGAGGAAGGAGATGTCACATCATGAAGGCCTTTGACGGCCGTGGTGAAGGGACCTTATCTGAAATGTCTGTAACACACACGTGTCCTCTGACACTTGGCACTGGATTTCTCTCAGGCACTTTAAACTCATCACCCTCTGAAGCAGACACTGTGGGTGCCCCACCCATATACCTGCATGGCCCACCTTGGAAGTCATATACTGTGACAGTTTCCAGATACCCTGACTTGCAGCTCCTTCTGGAGTTTCTTGTCTGAGGCTGTTCTTGGGAGGAGGGAGTGTGCTCCGTGTTCTCAGCAGGCCTGAAGTGTGTGGACATTTCTGCAGCTTTTAGCCAGTGACAGACACAAATCAGGGAATAGATACCCCAACCACCTGGCCCCTCAAGGAACATTGCTATGGGGTGTTCTTCACAGTGTCTCAGAGTGTCCTTTTTGGGATGAGGCTCCAACTGCTCTTTGTGGTAACCTGACAAATGACACACCCTTACGCCAGGCGTGGTGGCTCACACCTGTAATCCCAGCACTTCGGGAGGCTGAGGCAGTTTGGCTCAGGATTTTGAGACCAGCCTGGGCAACACAGTGAAACCCCATCTGTATAAAAAATACAAAAATTAGCCAAGTGTTGTGGCGTGCCCGTAGTTCCAGCTATTTGGGAAGCTGAGGTGGGAGGATCCCTTGAGCCCAGGAGGTCGAGGCTGCAGTGAGCTGTGATCACACCACTGTACTCCAGCTTTGGTGACACAGCAAGACCCTGTCTCAAAACAAAGAAACACATGCTTTGTTGGTTTTTCTCCTTGTTTCATTTCTCTTCCCTACACCATCACAGTCCATACTGGAATCACCTCCTCAGGAAAGTCGTTGCACACAAATTCTCATCTCAGGGTCTCCTTTTAGAGGAATACAAGCTAAGGAACTCCTTCATCCAAACTCTGTCATATTACACTCAAAGCATTTTTCTCTGTTCCCCATCTCCGGGATGACCATCGCTGCCATAATCAGGCAGGACTTTCCTTCGACTGTCTCCTGACATCCAAGTCTGGTCAATTCTTCTAGAAAGGTAGACATACAGATATTAACCAGCCTCTCCCTTCTTGAATCCAGTCCTGTGCTGAGAAATGAGACTCCAGGGATGAATCAGATCAGTCCTGCTCTTTTTAATTTTTATTTATTTATTTTTTAAGAGATGAGGTCTCACTCCGCTGCCCAGGCTGGTTTCAAACTCCTGAGCTCAAGTGAGCCTCCTGCTGCAGCCTCCCAAAGTGCTAGGATTACAGGCATGAGCCCCCACACCCAGCCAGTCCTACTCTTGAGGAGACACTAGTTTGTTGGGAAGACAGACCTGGACCCAGGCAAGGGCCACACAGTGTGCTCAGAACTACATCAGAAATGTCAGAGAAGTCTTTCTTGAAGAGGCGACACAGGCTGGGTACTGAAAGCTGAGTAGGAGTTGGCCATTTGGGAGACAGGGAAGTGCTCTAAACAGAAGACACAGTTTGTGCAAGGATTTGGTGGGGATAAAATATCTGGTCAAAAAAAGCAAAAAGCAAAAATCTGGGCTGGGTAGGTTAAAGGAGTGGGAAAGGATTTCTGATTTCCTCTAGATTTGGTTTGGAGAAGCAGGGGGAAGGATGAGCGGGAATTGGGGCATGACCAGGATTGGAAATCAGGCTGAAGAGCTTGTACTAAGAGCTATGGAGGGTTCCTGAGGAGGGCGAGTGACCCTGTCAGACTTGGATTTGAAAATGATTCCTCTGGATTAGTTAAATCCAGGGGTGCTAGCTTAGCTAAGGAAGCGATGCATTTTTAGGGAGTAAAAGAGTGATTTTGAGCCTGGAGCACAGGGGAGAGGGCGGATGCTAAGGCCCAGGAAAGAGTGCTCTTGAACTTGGAAGGGCCCAGCTCCCCAAGACCAGCCTTCAGCCTTGATATGACCTGATTCAGCTAAACAAAGCTGGGGAGCGGGAATGAGACCTGGGGGACTTGTCGGCTCAGTGCCCCTGAGGTAACCATTAATCCTTCCCCTGGGGGAATCCAGGGGCTGGTTCCTGGATGGGGCAGATCCTGGGGAGAATGGAGGAGCACACAGAGGCAGGCTCGGCACCAGAGATGGGGGCCCAGAAGGCCCTGATTGACAATCCTGCTGACATCCTAGTCATTGCTGCATATTTCCTGCTGGTCATTGGCGTTGGCTTGTGGGTGAGAAGTTGGGGGGTGTGCTGCTGGTGGCTGCTGGCTTTGGGGGCCTGGGGGAAAAGTCTCAGGGGGACCCTAGGTGGGAGAATGATGCTTGGATCTTTGAAGGAGAAACCTAGGCCTGGGGGCAAGCAGGTCTTTGGAAGTTCTCAGGGAGACCCAGCCAACATTCCTCCCTTGTCTTCCCACTTTGGGACTGTGCTAGCTGAAGGGGTCCGCGGATTTTCATCAGGGTCGACATTCTAAATGGGGTCTCATTCCCCTGGCCACATTGTGGCTGACCAGCAGAAAATATTCAAGGTCCCCAGGAAGGTCAAGCCAAATCCACAAATGATAAATCCTGGGGAGTTGGGATGGAACTAGTGGCTCACACCTGTAATCCCAGCACTTTGGGAGGCCAAGGCAGGGGGATCACTGAGGCCAGGAGTTTGAGACCAGACTGGCCCACATGGTGAAACCGTATCTCTTTTTTATTTAAAAAATTTATTTTAAAAATTATTTACTTTTAAAGAGAGAGGGGTCTCACCATGTTGCCCAGGCTAGTCTTGAACTCTTAGGCTCAAGCAATCCTTCTGCCTCTGCCTCCCAAAGTGCTGGGATTACAGATGTGAGCCACTGTGCCTGGATGAGACCTTGTTTCTTAAAAAGAAAAAAGAAAAAAAAAGAAAGAAAGGAAAAATTAGTCAGGCATGGTGGTGTGTGTGCCTGTAGTCACAACTACTCGGAGGCCAAGGTGGGAAGATTGCTTGAGCCCAGGAGTTCAAGGCTGCAGTGAGCTATGATCATGTCACTGCACTCCAGCCTAGGAGACAGAGCGAGACCTTGTCTCTAAAAAGAAAGACAGATGTGGGGCTGGGTGCGGTGGTTCATGCCTCAGTACTTTGGGAGGCTGAGGCAGGTGAATTGCTTGAAGCCAGGAGTTCAAGGCCAGCCTGGCCAACATGGTGAAACCCTGTCTCTACTAAAATACACACACACACACACACACACACACACACGCACACACACACAAAAAGCTGGGTATAGTGGCGTGTGCCTATAATCCCAGCTACTTTGGAGGCTGAGGCATGAGAATTGCTTGAACCTGGGAGGTGGAGGTTGTAGTGAGCCAAAATCACACCACTGCACTCCAGCCTGGGCAACAAGAGCAAGACTCTGTCTCAAAAAATGAGAAAAAAAAAAAAAGAAAGAAAAAGAAAAAATATGTGAAAAAAACTGGGGGAATAGGACACTGGGATTAGAGCCTGGGTTGCCCTGAGTGTCTGGGAGGAGTTGGGGGTGGGAGTGCAAACGATCAGGGAAACTTGGCTCGTTAATCTTCAGCCAGAAACAAGGCTGAGGAATGTGTTGAGGTGGCTGATGAGGTCCAAGGCTGTGCCCTAAACCCAGGTCTCCCCCGCCTCTGTCTCCCAGTCCATGTGCAGAACCAACAGAGGCACTGTGGGCGGCTACTTCCTGGCAGGACGCAGCATGGTGTGGTGGCCGGTGAGACGGGCTGGGCCGGGAACGGGAGGGGCCTGGAGAAGCAGCCCTGCTCACTCCCTCCTCTGGCCACCCAGGTTGGGGCCTCTCTCTTCGCCAGCAACATCGGCAGTGGCCACTTTGTGGGCCTGGCAGGGACTGGCGCTGCAAGTGGCTTGGCTGTTGCTGGATTCGAGTGGAATGTGAGGCCCTCTTTTTTCCAATAACCCCACCCTCAGTGAGAACACCTGGAAGGGTCACACCTTGGGGAAACTCCAGGAAAGGGGGAATGAGACTGGCAGTGGGACTTCCCAACTGCGGGGTGTGACTGGGCTGGGAGTGGAGGTCATACATCTAGCCAGGAAGCAGAGGGGTGCAGGGGTGACCACTGTTGGTCCTGCTTCTGACTTGCCATGTGAGCCAGCCTGCACCAGCCACTGCCTCTGGGAGCTTCCATTTATTCCTCTCTGAGTGGGGTGAGCAGCCTCAAAGCCAGGGAAGCACCTGCTCAGATGCGCTCCGAAGCTGTGGTCTGTGAGGAATTTGGGGCCAAGTTAAAGCCCTTTGCAGAAGAGAGGAGCAGAGACAAAGCTCTGGGACTGAGGCTCCTGTTGGAGGGGAGATTGGGCTTTGAGCTCAGGGCTTCCTGGAGGAGGAGACTGCTGAGCTGATCCTTGAGGGACACAAGGTTTGGGTGGCTTTGGCTCAGGTCAGTCTGAGGGGTCTATGCTGGGGTTCATATCTAGATGATCATAGGGACAACATTGGGAAAAACGGGCCAGAAGTGATAGCCTGGGGAGACAAGGAGGGCTCCAGTTAAGAGCCCAGGAGGGTGTCAGCTCTGTTCCTTGGTGCCCAGGGCCCCGGGGCCATCACCTGCAGTTGTCCTCTGGGCCCCAGATGTGGCCCTTCCCAGGGCCACTTGCTTGGAGTAGCACCTTCACGAAGAGGTCAGATCCTCAGGGATGAGGGCAAAGCCACCCTCAGCGGCAGTACTGCCCCCCGTAGGCGCTCTTCGTGGTGCTGCTACTGGGCTGGCTGTTTGCACCCGTGTACCTGACAGCGGGGGTCATCACGATGCCACAGTACCTGCGCAAGCGCTTCGGCGGCCGCCGCATCCGCCTCTACCTGTCTGTGCTCTCCCTTTTCCTGTACATCTTCACCAAGATCTCAGTGAGTGCCTGTGGCAGATGCGATTGGGCCCTAGAAGGGTGGGGCTCAAGTGGGGTCTCTAGAGAACCCTAGAGGGCGTGAGACCTAGGAGAAACCACTGCGAGGGTTATGATGATGGAGGCAGAGCCTGCAATGAATGTCTCCGGGGCACCAGCTACAGTGCTGGGACCTGGAAAAATGGAGGGAAGCTTTGAGGCTAGTAGGGCATGGCCTGGGCAGGAGGTGGGCTGGGGACACTGCCCTGGGTCCTGACCTGGCACTTGCTTCTCCCCCAAGGTGGACATGTTCTCCGGAGCTGTATTCATCCAGCAGGCTCTGGGCTGGAACATCTATGCCTCCGTCATCGCGCTTCTGGGCATCACCATGATTTACACGGTGACAGGTGCCAGCAGGGGCTTAGGAAAGGGAGTGGGCCTGGGACACTGCTGCCAGCTGTGGCCAGGGTTTAGGGAGCTGCCAGAGGAAAGCAAGCTGGAGAGGTCTGGAAGGGTGGTGTGGTCCAAGCAGGAGAAGGAACTAAATCTTTGGAGAGCAAAGGCTTCCTCTCTTTCCACTGTCTCTTGGATTTTGACTGGAAGTTCAGAGAGAAAGCCATGCTGGGCTTGAGTGAGGACTTTGAGAAAAGGAAGATTTAGCAGCTCTTGCCTGCCTTGAACACCTGGGAGAGCACACCTGACGAGTCTCCAAGATCTCTGGCAAAACCCAGTATGGTTCATAGGGACCTGGGGTGGGGCCTGAGGTCAGATGCGGACCAGAGTAGGCAGGGCTTGGTGCCAAGGCCCGCTTGAGGGACCCACCTCCAGAAGGAACGGAACTGAGTATAGGACCTTAGACAATCATCCTCTCCTACGATGACGCAGAAAAAACTGGGGCCGGCTGGGAGCGGCTCACGCCTGTAATCCCAGCACTTTGGGAGGCCAAGGCGGGCGGATCACGCGGTCAGGAGTTTGAGACCAGCCTGGCCAACATGGTGAAACCCCGTCTCTACTAAAGATACAAAAAATTAGCTGGACGTGGTGGCCCGCCCCTGTAATCCCAGCTACTCGGGAGGCTGAGGCAGGAGAATTGCTTGAACCGGGCAGGCGGAAGTTGCAGTGAGCTGAGATCCACCATTGCACTCCAGCCTGGGCGACAGGGCAAGACTCCATCTCAAAAACAAAAACAAAAACAAACAAAACTGGGGCCTAGAGGGGGCTGCTAGTGGGGGTCCTGCAAGTAGGCGCCTGGCCCTAAAACTCAGCCACACTCTGCCCGCCAAGCCCTGCTTGTTGGTGCCTGCGTGCATGAGCCCCGAGAACAGGCTATCGTTTTGAAATTTATTCTCCAGGAAGGGGAACTCTTTCAAATTCCCACAAAGACGCCTTATTGCTAAGGCCAGCCTGTAACATAAACAGCTGGGCTGTCCCCTGACCCCGGCCTGTTGCAGGAGGGCTGGCCGCGCTGATGTACACGGACACGGTACAGACCTTCGTCATTCTGGGGGGCGCCTGCATCCTCATGGGTTACGGTAGGGGCTCGCCTACCAGGGAGGGGCGCGGAGGGCATGGTCGCGGAGCTCTCGGCCTGCGCGCGGGGCCGTTGCGCGTCTCCGGTCTGAGGGTCCTAAGGAGGGTCCCCTGACGGCCTTGCCCGGCAGCCTTCCACGAGGTGGGCGGGTATTCGGGTCTCTTCGACAAATACCTGGGAGCAGCGACTTCGCTGACGGTGTCCGAGGATCCAGCCGTGGGAAACATCTCCAGCTTCTGCTATCGACCCCGGCCCGACTCCTACCACCTGCTCCGGCACCCCGTGACCGGGGATCTGCCGTGGCCCGCGCTGCTCCTCGGACTCACAATCGTCTCGGGCTGGTACTGGTGCAGCGACCAGGTGCGGGTATAGGGCTGCGCCTGCAGTGAGGCCGGGGCGGAGCCGAGACGGGCGGAGCCTGAGTCCCTCCCCGCCTTCCCCACAACGGTCTAAGGCGCAGTCTGAGGGGCGGGAACCCCTCGGGTTGGTGCTAAACCAGACAGAAGGCTCCATCTACTCCAAGCGTGCAGCTGAACTTGGGGCACTCACGAGCCAGAGGCGGGGCACAGAGCGGAACGGGGCGCGGGGCGGGGCCGAGGGGAGGCCCGCAAGCGGGCAGCTGAACGCCCCTCCCGTAGGTCATCGTGCAGCGCTGCCTGGCCGGGAAGAGCCTGACCCACATCAAGGCGGGCTGCATCCTGTGTGGGTACCTGAAGCTGACGCCCATGTTTCTCATGGTCATGCCAGGCATGATCAGCCGCATTCTGTACCCAGGTAACATCCCTGCCCCGCCCCTTTCCTGTGCCAGCAACCGGGCGCCCGTCGCCCAGTTCCGTCACCCTCCTAAGACTCGGCAGTTTGGGCCCGGAGTCCCGCCTCCCTCCGGGGGTCGCACGCCTCCTCTGCTAGGATTCCCAGTCCCCACCTCCTGGGATTCCCAGACCAGGCCCCGTCCTAACGGCGCGGTGGCCTCTCTCTGGCAGACGAGGTGGCGTGCGTGGTGCCTGAGGTGTGCAGGCGCGTGTGCGGCACGGAGGTGGGCTGCTCCAACATCGCCTACCCGCGGCTCGTCGTGAAGCTCATGCCCAACGGTAAGGGCAGCCCCGGGCCACAGGCGCAAGCTCGCTGCGGAGCCCGCTGCTGGGAGGGGTCGTCCCTCGCGCAGCTGCAGCCGCCCTGGACCCCCAGTGGCCCCAGCCTCACGGCTGCCGTCGGCCCGCAGGTCTGCGCGGACTCATGCTGGCGGTCATGCTGGCCGCGCTCATGTCCTCGCTGGCCTCCATCTTCAACAGCAGCAGCACGCTCTTCACCATGGACATCTACACGCGCCTGCGGCCACGCGCCGGCGACCGCGAGCTGCTGCTGGTGGGACGGTGCGGCCTGGGCTCCCCTCCTCCCCAACGGATCAGCCCGGGGCGGGGGCTTGCGCACCTGCAGGGGAGCCCAGGGTCCGGGTTCGATCCGACGGCCTCCGCCGCAGGCTCTGGGTGGTGTTCATCGTGGTAGTGTCGGTGGCCTGGCTTCCCGTGGTGCAGGCGGCACAGGGCGGGCAGCTCTTCGATTACATCCAGGCAGTCTCTAGCTACCTGGCACCGCCCGTGTCCGCCGTCTTCGTGCTGGCGCTCTTCGTGCCGCGCGTTAATGAGCAGGTGAGCGGCACGCGCGTGGTGACGGCAGGGCTGGGCTTGCACATCCTCAGCAGGCTGACCTGTTTCCTTCGCAGGGCGCCTTCTGGGGACTCATCGGGGGCCTGCTGATGGGCCTGGCACGCCTGATTCCCGAGTTCTCCTTCGGCTCGGGCAGCTGTGTGCAGCCCTCGGCGTGCCCAGCTTTCCTCTGCGGCGTGCACTACCTCTACTTCGCCATTGTGCTGTTCTTCTGCTCTGGCCTCCTCACCCTCACGGTCTCCCTGTGCACCGCGCCCATCCCCAGAAAGCACGTGAGTGGCCAGGTGCCCCAGGCAAGCACTGTGGGACACAGCACCTACCCTCTGCTTCCTGGAGTGCCCAGCTGGGAGGACCTGAATTTCTCGACTGAGGGTTGGGAATGGGCTGGGGGTCCAGCTGCAGTTGCAATTGCCGAGCAAGAATTTTTATTTAAATACATTTATTTGAACCGGCCTGGGGGAGGCTTGATGTTGATGGGTTGGTGATTAAAGCCTCCCAAAGCCAATCCTTGGCATGGCCTTTGGGACTCAAAACACAGGATCTGACTGGTGGGCACAATACCATCTTGAACGCCCACAAAAAGGTTTGGTTTTGTTGCCAAAGGGCAGGTGGCTCCAGGCAGGGCTGATGGTGGCAGGGTGGGGTGAGGACAGGACAAGAGATCTGGGTGTGGAAGGATGGCCGGGTTTCTGCAGCAGCAGGAGGAAAGGGTGGGAGCACACAGGCACAGAACACTGTGAGCAGGACTGCCAGGCCAGTGTCACAAGCGCTACCATCTGGGTGTAGACAGACCTGAGCTGACAAAGCTGGGGGAGCAAGGCCAACGGCTTTAAACACAAGCTCAGGGGCTTGGGGTTTATCCCGAGGGCACAGGGCAGCCATGTAGGGTGGAGTTGGCATGAGTTAAGCCTGGGCTGGGTGTGTAGACTGGACAGAGGTGGGTAGGGCAGGCAGTGACGAGCTGGTGTGCAAGAGACTTTAGGGCCAGGCATGGGGGGACAGAACTCCCACCTCGTTCGTGCTCCCACCCTCCCCAGCTCCACCGCCTGGTCTTCAGTCTCCGGCATAGCAAGGAGGAACGGGAGGACCTGGATGCTGATGAGCAGCAAGGCTCCTCACTCCCTGTACAGAATGGGTGCCCAGAGAGTGCCATGGAGATGAATGGTAGGGCACCATGCTGGGAGGTGGGGCTGGAGGAGCTGAGTTCCCGCAAACTAACTGCAGGGCCTCAATTTCCCTCAGAGCCCCAGGCCCCGGCACCAAGCCTCTTCCGCCAGTGCCTGCTCTGGTTTTGTGGAATGAGCAGAGGTGGGGTGGGCAGTCCTCCGCCCCTTACCCAGGAGGAGGCAGCGGCAGCAGCCAGGCGGCTGGAGGACATCAGCGAGGACCCGAGCTGGGCCCGTGTGGTCAACCTCAATGCCCTGCTCATGATGGCAGTGGCCGTGTTCCTCTGGGGCTTCTATGCCTAAGACCAACTGCGTTGGACACCATAAGCCACAGCCTCACAGGAAGTGGGGGTGAGGAGCCTGCGGTGCTCCCCAGAAAAGGGGAAGGGGCAGTGGGGTGAGAAGGTCCTGGCTCCCCTTCTCCCGGCCTTCCTCTGCCTGGGGCCCACTGCATCTGATTGGCAGTCACTTCCCATGAGGGCCTGGCCCACCCGCTGCAGTTGCCCTAAGGAAAAATAAAGCTGCCTTTCCCCTGTCCTGCTGTGGCCAAAGTGTCCTTGCTCCAGGTTCCTGCCCTGGGCTTGGGCCTCCGTCTGGGCTGCTCACAAGACCTTCTTTTCGGGAGACAGAAGCCATGTGGCCCTCCACTCATCCACCTCTAGCTGGTGCTTCTCGGTCTTCCAGCCGGCATCCTGCAGTCCTGGGGAGAGATCATGGGGTGCTGCCGGGAATGCTGGGGACAAGGGTAAGGAGAGGCACAGGCTGGGTGCAGGCTTTGTGCACTACTGGGGCTCCCACTGCCTCTGCTGGGTGAGTATGGCATAAAATGAGGCTGAAACCACACCTGGCTGCAGCAAGAATTCGTTGAAATGGCACACAGAAGAGCGCTGGGATGGAACAGGCGCCAGACAAAACGTCCTCATCAGCCAATGTGAGGGCCTCCCTGCTCCATCCTCCCATTTCCTACATGCCAACTGGGATTACACAGACTGTCTACACTGATACCACTTCAAAGACCATTCTAAGCTCTCCGTCCTATAAACAGGGAAACTGAGTAACTGAGTCCCAAACTTAGGATTGCAGAGAGAATCCATCTTTTTTTTTTTTTTGAGATGGGGTCTCTGTCACCCAGGCTGGGGTACAGTGACACAATCTGGACTCACTGCAACCTCTGCCTCCTAGGCTCAAGTGATCCTCCCATCTCAGCCTCCTGACAGTCCCACAGGCGTGCATCACCATGCACAGCTAATTTTTTTATATTTTTGGTAGAGACAGGGTTTCACCATGTTGCCCAGGCTGGCCTTGAACTCCTGAGCTCAAGTATCTGCCCGCCTTGGCCTCCCAAAGTGCTGGGATTACAGGTGTGAGCCACTGTGCCCGACAGTCTTTTTTTTTTTTTTTTTTTTGAGAGAGGGTCTTGCTCTGTCACCCAGGCTGGTACAATCATGGCTCACTGTAGCCTCGACCTCCCCCAGTTCAGGTGATCCTCCCACCTCAGCCTCCTGAGTAGCTGCAACCACAAGAGCAGAACCACACCTGGCTAATTTTTGTGTTTTTTTTGTACAGACAAGGATTTGCCATGTTGCCCAGGCAGGGTCTCAAGCAATCTGCCCACTTAGGCCTCCCAAGGCACTAGAATCATAGGTGTGAGCCTCTGCACCAGGCCCAAGAACCCAAGTCTTTTACCTTTCAGGTGAAAGGGTGGGAGTGGGGGAAGGCGGGGCCCCCAGGGACAAGGCTTCAGGGGCCAAGCAGCCATGGGCTGAGGGATGTTACCTTTCAAGAACTTTGGGAACAGCATGTCCAACACTTCGTGTGTCTCCTTGACGACGACCCAGCTCTCTTTCTTAGGACCTGGGTACGGGGGTGCAGAACCAGAAGCTCTGTGTCCTCCAGCAGGACAGAGTTTGTCCTCTCTCCTCCCCACCCTGAGGCATCAGCAGTCTAAATCTTGAGGCACTTACCTGCCCGCACCCGGTTCCTCAGCTCCTCCAGCTCTGCTGGAAGGGGTCCATCTCCCTGCAGGGCCCCAAGCATCAGCCCATGTGTGGCGGCCCTTAGGATGGTCTTGGGGCCTGCCTTCTGGTTCAGAACTACCTGTACCTGGTCTGGAGGGACCCAGAGACAGACTGGTATCAGGGAAGGGCCACCTCCCAAACCCCTTCTATCCCATCACCCTGCTTCCCCTGTCTGCCCCAAGACCTTGGCCTGGCACGGAAGGCTAGCACCTCACCCTTTCCTTTCCAATTCATCTCCTGTTGCTCCCCAATGTTCGGGCCAAACTGACCAATTTCCAAATACAATTTCCCAGCCGCTCACTGGGCTGGGTCTATTTTGCATTTCTTTAATGGCTAGTGAGAATAAGCACCTTTTCACACTCAACCAGCGGACCAGCACACTCAAGGACTTGTTTACCCAAGAGGCAACCCAGGATGGAGAGAAGGGTGGTTTCCCACGGACAGCAAAGGTCATAGCCTTCCTAAGAGTGCTGCAATGTAGCTTTGCAGTCACATTATTTGATCCTCATAAAAACACCGCAAGGAATAAGGCAGGTACTGTTAGCTCTGTTTTACAAAGCGGTGACATGAATTTCACTGGGGCATTGCAGCTGTAATTTGAACGGTCTAGAGCAACCCCCAGAACAGGCAGCCTCCAAACTGCCCAGAGCTCGGGGCCCTAGGTTGGAGGAATGAGAGGCTGACCTGGGAGGGTGCGTCTTAGGCTGGGAGAATGAGGCACACTCACTTTGTGACTGGTCCCAGCAGAGGAGGTAGGATTCTTGGTGCCCCTCAACCAGCTGCTGCAGCTCAAAGACACTGTGGGGGAGAGGACAGTGCAGTGGGGGTGGAGGACAGCAAAGGCAGGCATGCCCAACCAGCCACTGAACAGCCACCCAGTGAACTGAAATGATCCAGGCTTCACTCAGGTCCCCTCGCTTCCTCTCTCCCTCAGCCATTACCCATACACACCAAATCCATCCTTTCTTCCTGTATCCAGTCATCCAACTTCCCCATCTACCCATCCTTCCTTCACCCATCAAGCACATCTCTTACATCTGCTTCATGTTATACACCCTTTCCTTCCTCACACACCCACACCAACCCCATGTCTGTTCAGCAGCAATGAAGAACCCAGGACAGAGAGGTGGGGCCTTGCCAGGGAGGCCAGTGTGTAATCGGAGTGAGGGGAGTGTGGGTGGCGGTGGTGACGAGCGGGAGACGCTAGGCCACTCACCTGGAGACCAAGCGGTGTAAGGGGACCCCCAGGGATAGAGACGGAGCTGGCCAGAAACCTGTGGGAAGCTGGGGTCAGGATGCCTAGGCAGTGGGAGAGGTTGAGACACAGGACCCGAGACCAGGGGCAGGGTCACCTGTCCACAGCGGCTCCATGCGATTGGCTGCAGTTGGGTCGAGTACCTCTCCCCTCTGAAGGTAGTGCTTCAGGACCAGCCGGAGCCGGCCTTCGTTCAAGGTCTCCATGACCAGGGCTCGGACCGCGCGGTAGTTGGCGTAGATGTGGAGGGCAGTGAGGAAGAAGAAACATCCAAGGCTGAAGCTGGGGTGAGAGAGTGAGGTAGCTGAAGTGGGCAGAGGCCCAGCTGGGGTTCTCCTGCCCACCCTGCTTCCGGCTTACCCAGGGCAACCTGACACCAGAGGGAGCATCAGGAGGCTGACCAAGAGCCCCGCCAGGTTCACCAGCGTCTCCTGGAAAATGGCAGAGGGAGAAGGAGTTGGAAGGTGCCCCTCCAGGCCAGACTGAGTGCCCGAGTGCCTTTCACCTCATCCTCCCTGCTCCACAACCTCCCAGGGCTCCTTACTGCAATGTGGGTAAATTTTTAGTTTTTGGTGGGTGAAATGTCATTTAAAAGATGCCAGCTCGAGGTGGCTCACACCTGTAGTACCAGCACTTTGGGAGGCTGAGGTGGGCAGATCACTTGAGTCCAGGAGCTTGAGACCAGCTTGGGCAACATAGTGGGACCCTATTTCTACAAAAAAATTAAAAATTTGGTGGGGCATAGTGGCTCGCGCCTGTAATCCTAGCAATCTGGGAGGCCGAGGTGGGCAGATTCCCTGAGCTCAGGAGTTCAAGACCAGCTTCGGCAACACGGTGAGACCCATTGCATTTTTGTAAAAATACAAAAAACTAGCCAGGTATGGTGGCGCGTGCCTCTACTCCCAGCTACTCAGGAGGCTGAACTGCTTGAGCCTGGGAGGTGGAGGTTGCAGTGAGCTGAGATCACGCCACTTCACTCCAGCCTGGGCAACAGAGCAAGACTGTCTCCAAAAAAGAAAAAAAAAAAAATTAAGCCATGATTGCACCACTGTACTCCAGCCTGGGAGACACAGTGATACCCTGTCTAAATACATATGTGTATCAGTTGCTTTTTTGCCCAGGTAGGTGCCCTCGGAATACCCTTGAACACATCTTGTCTTGCAAGTCACCAGAACAGACCCACACTCAGGCACTCACTAATGTGTACTTTTTTTTTTTTTTAAAGAGCGAGGGTCTCGCTCTGTCACCCAGGCTGGAGTGCAGTGGTGCAATCATAACTCACAGCCACCTCAAACTCCTGAGCTCAAGTGATCCTACCACCACGCCTCTGCTAATTATTACTGCATTTTTTGGTAAAGATGGGTCTTGCTATATTGCCCAGGCTGATCTTGAACTCCTGGGCTCAAGCAATCCCCACCTCAGCTTCCCAAAGTGCTGGGATAACAGGCATGAGCTGGAATAACTTTTATTTACTGATTTTAAAAAGTTGACTGCTCCCCTCCCACCAAGCTCCTTTGGTATGCAGTAACTGGCAGATAGATTTGCAAAGGGGTCAAGGAACCACCCGGGAAGAAAAGGAACAAGACCCACACCTCTTCCCTTGTGTATCAATGTTAGGAGAACACTCTGATGGCTGGATTGAGATCACTCTAGGGGAAGGGACCCCAGGCTACCTGCCCCCAACTCATCATGAGGGAGGAGTCTGGATTGGTGCCCCTGACTACTGGGCTCCCAGGGAGAGCTGGTCCTGGCATAGAGAGGACCCGAGACTGGAGAGCTCTTCTCAACCAGCCCTCCTGGGAAGGGCATATGCTGTGGGAATAAACGCTGTGGGTGTGGCAGGAAACTGGGGATCAGGGACCTGGGGAGTTCAGGAGCTCCTCTCTCCCAGGTGGGAAGAGTCATTTCCAGTGGCCACATCCAGTGACAGCAAAGCTGCACTGGCAGAAAGCTGGAGTCTGCTGCGGGACTGACACATTCCCAGGTTAGTCCCGGATATGTCCCTGGCTCTGTGGACCGAGGAAGCCCTGGGGTCTTGGGAAAAATGGCTTGGGGTTAGGGGGAGGTCTGGGGACCAGCGAGAGAACAGGAGAGGGACACCAGGCATGGAGCTGGGAGTCCTGCGGTGAGGGACCTGTGCTGTGCTTCCTGCTTGCTCCTTAACAGCCTGTGGACTTAGGTTCAGAAGAGACAATGGGTGGAATAAGCCCGAGCATCCTGAGAGAAGGGACTTCCCCAGGGGCCCCCAGGGAGATGGGACCTCTCCATGCTTTATTTCTTCATCTGTACTAAGGCAACCATGAGCATTTACTGCACATGCCCACTGTGAGAATTTAAAGAGTTCCCAGAACCAAAATACTTGGCACATGGTTAGTGCTTAATAAATATTAGCTTGGGTTAAGATTATTGAGCCAAACAATGGAAGAGAAGGCCAGAAAGTAGGAATGCACAGAACAGCAGTTTCTAAATTGCTTCAGTGTCAAAGAAAACCATCTCACACTTCTGGGACTTCCCTGGGCCTTAATTTCCTCATCTGTAAACTAGGGATAAAGTAGTACCTACCTCAAAGGGTTGGTGTGAGAGTTTGTTTGTTTTTGAGACAGGGTCTTGCTCTGTCACCTGGGCTGGAGTGCAGTGGGGTGATCTTAGCTCACCACAGCCTCCACCTCCTGAGCTCGAGGCTGGGACTACAGGTGTGCACCACCACACCTAGCTGAAGTTTCTTTTATATATTATGTAGAGATGGGGTCTCGCCGGGTTGCCCAGGCTGGTTTCAAACTCCTGGCCTCAAGTGATCCTCCCACCTCAGCCTCCCAAAGTGCTAGGATGACAGGCGTGAGAGTTAAGTGATGCAGTACACGTAAGCACTCAGCACGGGGTTTGTAGAGGTCTAATCCATGCGGAGTTCAGCCTTAGGGGTGTCCCTACCCCAACTCCAGGCTCCCTAGGGTGGGCAAGGGGGCTGGGCCAGCAGGCCTGCTAAACTGCTGAGTGGAGGCCCCAGCCAGTGACCCAGCAACCCCACATGCTGGGTAACTCTGACTTGCCAATTGCCTTGACATGTGGGGCCTCATGTGATCAGAACATCCAGCTTGCACGGTGGGGTCTGAAGAGGGCAAGGCTGAGGGCTTGCTCTCAGCCACACAGGTGGCGGGCAGGGCCTGAGATCAGCTCGGACTTGCCGCCACCAGAGCCCAAACCCCTACTCCTGCCTGGGTGTCTTGAGTCAGCAGGGAGCACCCATACTTCTTCCTGTGTGTTCCTGGGCCCTCCAGGGCACTCAAGTGGCTTCTCTCCCCTTCCCCTCCCCACTCCACGCCCTCCCTCCAGCTCTGGCACTCACCTGGCTGCTGTCCTTGGCTGACACGTCAGCCATGTTGTTCCTCCGAGCCTGGTGCACGGTCAGGGCAGCCCGAGTGGCCCCACCAGCAACACTCACGATGCACTGGGTGGGAGGGGAAGAGAGAAGGTTGGCAGAGACACGTGTCCTGGTAACACAGGCACTCAGACCAGCTGGAGAAAACCTGGCCCCGGCCAAACTCTGAATGCTGTCCTTGGCATCTAGTTCTCACCTTGATGCCCCCTAGGCTCAACTTCCCTGTCCTGTTCTAGGAAACTGGAGTCCCACCTGCCACTATCACCTTGGGGACTGGCCTCACAGAAGCTCAATTTCATTCCCCAAGGTGGAGGCCCAAAGATCATTCTCAGCCCAGAACTCCCAGCCCTCCAGCTCCTGCTTGGGCTATACCCTCCCCATTACTGGCGGGAGGCTCAGGCTGGTTTCCAGCTTCATGCTTACATCTGCCTCCTGTAATTCCTCTACTCTCCTCCTGCCCCAGTTAAAGCTGTCGAAACCTACACTGATGGCCCTGACCTCCCAGGGTACCCAGATCTCTCCCTCTGAGATCGCAGGATAAAGCTAATCAAGGAGGGTCACTGGTCACTCACAATCATCCCGAGTTCATCAAAGCTCTTTTACTTATTACTATTTTTATTTATCCTTAGTTTTTGAATACAGACAGAGTCTCCCTGTGTTGCCCAGGCGGGCCTGGAACTCCTGGGCTCAAGAGATCTTCCCACGCCAACCTCCCAAAGTGCTGGGATTACAGGCGTGAGCCACCGCCCCTGGCTGAGGGCTCTTTTAGATGCCAGACATAGACTTAGGTGCTGTGATACAAGTCAGACCCAGGCCCTGCCCTCATGGAGCATACAGATCAACAGATAATAAACAAATAAACAAGTTAATACGCAGGCAGAGGAAACAGTCTGTTCAAAGGCCAGAGGAACGAGGGACAAAGTGAGGGCGAAGTGGCTGGCAGGGACCTGACCACACGGAGCCTGGCAAGCCTGGTGAAGGTCTTTCCCTAAGAGCAATGGAGCAGCAGAGTGACCTGATTGCTTTCCTCTTTGAAAGGATCACTGGGCTGCTCTGAGAGAGGAGCGGCACGGAGGCTACCTGGGAAGCAACGGTGCTCTCTCAGCAGTGAGAGGTGGTGACAGGAAGATGGAGGAGAGAATGGACTGGAGATTTTGAGGAGGGAAAAATAACAGAACTGAAGGTTCAGCCGAAGGTGACAGATAAGGGGAAGGGGGAAGAGGAGGAGGTGGTGGCAGTGGTGGTGGCGGCAGCATAGATGACAGCCAGGCTGGCTTCTCTTGGTGCAGCTGGAGATGGAGGTTGTGGAGAGGGGAACTCTAGAGAGGGGTCTTAAGAGGGAAGCTCATGGCCCTGTTCCATTCCCTTGTTGGACAGATGAAGAGACTGAAGTCTCAAAGGCAGAGTTTGAAGCAAAAGCCAGATGGCACAACCCTCGGTCCATAGCTACAGCCATGCTTTTCTCTGGGGTTTCCTACCCTGTTTAGGGGTGCTCGTAGCATTTAGGCTTGCAACCAAGGAAGCTAAATGTCCTCTACCACAAGGAACCGTTGCACCCCAAATGCTAGTACTTATGGAGAAACACGGCCCTAACGTGATTTTAAGTTGACACATGGGCCTTGGAATGGGTTTTCCATTTTCTTGAGTTTCTCCTCTGGGCCAGGGACTTAACTCTGACAGGATATGCTCTTTACTGAACCATGCCAGGCCTCAGTGTCCTCATTTGGGTGAGATCAACCTGCAAGGGTTGTGCAGGCAACAGCTTGGCGTGGAGGAAGAGTGTGCTTGAGCCCCGCGTGTCCCCCAGCTCACTGTGCGGTCTGTGCTCCATCTCCACCTCGCCTCCAGACCTTAAGCTGTGCTGTTTCTTTTGCCCGGAACACCCGCCCTGCACCTTAAACTCCATCTTCAGGACCCAGGCTCAGGGGAGCTCTTCCTACACTCCCTGACCAGGCTGGAATCCCCGCCTCAGCCTCTTGCAGGCCCCAACATTTCTCATTTAGAATACCTGTACCTATAATTCCACAAACACTGGTGCAATTATGTGTGGTTTCCTTTCAAAGACGGGGGCCCACATTCTGTGCCAAATATGCAGTAGGCACTCAATAAATACTGTACTGAAAGAACCAAAGGGAAGTCAAGGAAGCTGGTCCCAAAATGTCAACATTGGACAACCCCTTCTAGTTCTCAGCTCGGAGCTCCCTCCCCAGTCCTGTGGCTCTAGACATTGCCTTACACTTTCTGGGGCACTAGATGCTGTCTGGCTGGAGGAGGGTCAGAAAGGATGGTTGGGTTCGAGTAGAAACATCTGAACTTTCTTATTCTTCTTGAAGTGGCAGGTAAACTCACAGAGCCCAGGTAAACTCACACACTACCAAGGCAGGTGTTTTAGGCAGATGGGTGCCCCCACAGGCAGCTACCTTGGCTAGGTTGCTGGTGGAGACGGTCATGGTGAAACAGATTGGGTATACAGGAGCCATAATCTCAAGGAACATGGCTACGTCATTGAGGATGTCCGCAAAAAGCCTGGGGAGGGATCAGAGGTTAGAGGTCAGAGGTAGGAGACTTTCATAATGGAAGACTCCCCTCCCCCGTCCCCGCCCCTCCTCACCTCCACTGCTTGGCATTGCAGTCCAGTTTGCTCCTGTTGGGGAGGAGAGGTTGTTGTAATTTGGACTTAAGGAGAAACACATCCTATGGGCAGTGTGGGGAGTCTTGGACCACAGTAAAGTCTGAAGAGCTCAGGAAAACCCACACCCCCAGACAGACATCTGTCCCCACAGCCGGTCACTGCTACCTAAAATGCCACCATTAGCTGGGAGAACCTTCAGTGACTGACTGATCACCTAGTGTCTCCCGCTTATGAACTCATGATTTACCAAGGAAAAACCCTGATTGTCTTGTGGCTGCTCCCCAGCCTCTGTCTGTCCTTGGAGGGAGGCTCTTCCTGAGTTCCTCTGCCTCTCTCCGTTCTTCTTCTTGCTTTAGAGTGAGGGTACCCAGTGAGCATGTTTTGGACTAGTAAACATCACATTGAGTGTGTAACCCTGCATGTTACAGACAACTAGCCCTCACAGGGGATATGATTTCCCTGGATCACACGCAGAGTTGGGGAAAAGGCTAAGAGAGCCGGGCTCCGACATCCAGGCCTAGGGTACTTCTGTTACACAACACCGTGGACGGCTACCTCACCTGCCCTTTTCGTCAGACAGTGACTCCCTGCCCTGTGCACAAACACTTGGAAACAACTTCTCTAGGGTCCCAGTGGCAGGAGATACTGCAGCCCCAGCCCAGCTCAGGATTTGCAGCATTAGGCCCGAGTCTCAGTATGAGATCTCCTGGAGGGAATGGGAATATTCTTGGGAGAGGTATCAGACACACATAACGAGATCCTGAACACATGGCCTGGTTGAGGGTTCTGCCCAGTGAACTGCCCAATACCATGGAAAGCACAGGCTTCAGGTTCAAATCCCATCTCGCTAGTTATAAGCTGTGTGGTTTGGGCAGGTAACTTCCCTCATGCAGGTATATTTCACATTTATGAAATGTACACATCCAATCCCATCCTACAGAGTTGCTGTAAGGATTAGAGACAACATACAGAGGCTCAGGGGGCACAGTTACAGCTGTTAATGGTAGCTAGTGTTTACTGAGCCATTATGTACGATGCCACGGGCATTAAGCACTTTGCATAGATCATCTCATGGAACCCTTACAGCCACAATTAATGGCAATACTATTACTATCATTACTACCACTACTGGGAAGAGTTGCCAGAGTTGCTGGCCGGGAAGACAAACTCACCCTTTCCACCAGGCAAAGACGATGCGGCCCAGCATGCCAGTTGAATCTGGGGGAAAGAAGGCACAGGTAAGGAGCAAGGAAGAGGTGTGGGAGCTGTGGGGCCTGGCAGACCCTGGCACTGAACTGGCCAATTCACTGAGTCACTGCCTTTGGGAACTCGGTCTGGTACTAGAAGTTGTGGATAGTCATAGCTACATAATGGGGTCAGAAGTGCCTACAAATAGCAGTTCCTCAATATGTCCCCTAGGAGACATGGACAAGAAATGTTCTTTGCAGAATTGTTCATAACAGCAAAAAACCTGGGAATAATGCAAATGTTGACTGACAGAATACATAAATTCTAGTATATTCACCCAGAGGCATTCATTCATAGATGAATACTATTAAACTCTTGCATGAAAATAACTCATGAAGACCACATACAGCACAGTTTGCAAAGCTCTAAAATTAAAACTAAACAATATAGCACTTAGGAATATTTACCTATTTGGTAAAACTATTCAAAAAAGCAGGAAATCTTAAGTGGAAATTCAAAGGTTATTGCTAACCTGTTCTAGCTCTTAGGCTGGGCAGTTGGCTCACAGATGGCTATTATGGGATAAATAAATAAAAGGATTTAGGCTGGGTATGGTGGCTCAGGCCTATAATCCCAGCACTTTGGGATTACAGGGGGTTTGGGCCCAGGGACTGCTTGAGGCCAGGAGTTCAAGACCAGCCTGGGCAACACAGCAAGACCCCATCTCTACAAAAAGTAGGAAAGAAATTAGCCAGGCATGGTGGCATGCCTGTAGTCCCAGCTACTTGGGAGGCTGAGGCGGAAGGATGGCTTGAACTCAGGATCAATGCTGCAGTGAGCTATGATCATGTCACTGCACTCCAGCCTGGATGACAGAGCAAGACCCAGTCTCAGGAAAAAAAAAAAAAAAAAGATTTGAACTGCAGCTGGGGTTGCACGGCAGAGGGACAGGCCTCCTTAGGCTGGGCAGAGTAAGAGAAGTCTCTGGAATCAGTGGGACCTTCGTTTGCACAACAAATGCTTTCTGGCTACCTAACTCTCTCTGCCAGGTACTTCATGACCACAGTGACCAAGATGATCCCAGGGTCAAAATCCAGCCAAAGAGCAGATAACAATCAGTATAGAAAACACTGATTTAGACCAGGAATCACTAAACTGTTTCTACTCCCTGGTTTTGGAAATAAAGTATTACTGGAATGCAGCCATGCCTATTTGTTTACAGATTGTCTATAGCTGTTTTTGCAAGACAATGACAGAACTGAGTTGCTGCAACTAAGATTATAAAGCCTGCAAAGCATTAAGATCTGGCCCTTTACAGAAAAAGTTTGTCAATCTGGACCATCCATTATACAGAGAGCAGCACCCATTAAGCCTGGCAGAAATATTTTAGAACGAGACACCTGGGAGGGACTCATACAGTGGACATGGGAGAGGACAGATACCATGGGGAGAGGATTTGGACTTGTCTGAGCTTGAGGGCACTGACCCTGAGGTGGGGATGTAGGAGAAAGGACACTACGTTATGGGAATGAGGGCTGGGAGCTTCCCACGAAACATAAATGCAATGACACGGGCCAGCCCTCCCATTCTCCACTGAGAGCAGATGCATTCTCCCCTTTCCAGAGCCTTCTTGGGCACTGAGTCATGCTTGCCCACCCTGGACTTGAGGGAAATCAGTAAGCGCTCCAGTGCACACCTGAAATACCTGTGCTTTTTCATCTTCACAATGATCCTGAGACTTTGGGAGGGATCATTCCCCTTCACTAAGGCTCCCATTAAATCGGTGAATAAAATTGAGGTATTTTACAAGAAAATATGGATTTCCAGCTTCTCTGGAAGAACCTGAAGATATGGCCACACTGGGGCTGCCCTCTCTCACGGCCAGCATCAGCTGGGGCTACCTCACTGAAGGAAAGCATGGGTCCAAGCTACTGCCATCTGGCCTGCTTTGTTTCTCCATTTCTGTCCTGACTCTGGAAGTAACACCCAACAAGGTGGATTTACAGGCCTCCCATCCCTCACTTTAACCTCTTCCCTTCAAGTACATTATATTCTCGGCAAAATCATCATTGTGCCAGCCACCACACCTGGCTAACTTTTGTATTTTTAGTAGAGATGGGGTTTCACCATGTTGGCCAGGCCAGTATCAAACTCCTGACCTCAGGTGATCCACCCGCCTCGGCCTTCCGAAGTGTTGGGATTATAGGCGTGAGCCACTGTGCCCAGCTCAGACTCTATTTTTCTTCCCTTTAGCTACACACTTGTATCCACTCAGGTGTATGTCCTCCTTGGGCCACCTGACAGAAAGGGAGCCTATTCTACCTTTCCATGGATCATCAGAGGCATTTACAGGACAAATGATATATATACTCCCTAGCATCTGAGTCACTACTGTCCACTAGAATAGAAAACTCCCACTTGCTTTTTTTTCCTCTTCATTTACAACTGGCCAAGCTGTAAGATCTAGAAACATCTGAGTCCTAATAAGGAATCAGCTGACCACAAATTGTACTTGGCTCCACTTGACATTCTTAGCTGGCAAAAGAGTGTGGTAGTTAAGAGTAGAACACAGGAATAAGTCTGCCTAGGTCAAAATCATGGCCCTAAGTGACCTTGGACAAGTTACTTAAACACACTTTTGTCTCTGTTTTTCCATCTAAAAAATGAATAATGGCAGCTAACTAATATGGCTGCTGCAGAGATCAAGACACATATTACATGTAACCATACAAAATGTGTGGCTTAAGGTAGGTTGCCAAAATATTAGCAACAAGTTTTATTACTATTGCTACTCATGACAACTGGCATCACGTTCCACTGAGACAGGTAACTGAAAATGATCACATCAAAAAATCCCAAGTAAGTTTCTCAGATGAAGCTCTGCACAGAAATTTCCCATGTTTGATGAAAATGAGCTTGTAAAATCCTAATTGAGAGCTTCTTTTACTATCAATAACAAGCCTTTATTTATTTATTTTTTTAGATGGAGTTTCACTCGTTGCCCAGGCTGGAGTGCAATGGCGCAATCTCGGCTCACCACAACCTCCGCCTACTAGGTTCAAGTGATTCTCCTACCTCAGCCTCCTGTGTAGCTGGGATTACAGGTGCACACAACCATGCCTGGCTAATTTTGTATTATTAGTAGAGAGGGGGTTTCTCCATGTTGGTCAGGCTGGTCTCGAACTCCTGACCTCAGGTTATCCGCCTGCCTCAGCCTCCCAAAGTGCTGGGATCATAGGCGTGAGCCACCGCACCTGGCCAATAACAAGCCTTTTAAGTAGATTTTTCATCCTTTTTCTTTGAGACAGGGTCTCAGTCTGTCATCCAGGCTGGACTACAGGTGCCTGCCACCACGCCTGGCCAATTTTTGAGTTTTTTGTTAGAGACGGGGTTAAACCATATTGGCCAGGGTGGTGTCCAACTCCTGACCCCAAGTGATCCACCTGCCTCTGCCTCCCAATGTGCTGGGATTATAGGCGTGAGCCACGGCACCTGGCCTTTCTTTTTTTTTTTCATATCTTAAAGTGATCTTGATTTTTCTTAATAACTTGTCTGAGCTAAAGGTTTAGCGTTCCTTTTTTGTTTCAGACAGGATACTGCTCTGCTGCCCAGGCTGGAGTGCAGTGGCACTATCTCGGTTCAGTGCAACCTCCACTTCCTGGGTTCAAGTGATTTTCCTGCCGCTGCTTCCTGAGTAGCTGGGATTCCAGGCACGTGCCACCATGCCTGGCTAATCTTTGTATTTTTAGTACAGATGGCGTTTTACCATGTTGGCTAGGCTGGTCTTGAGCATCTGACCTCAACTGATCTGCCGACCTTGGCCCCCCATCCCAAAGTGCTGGGATTACAGGGATGAGCCACCATGCCCGGCCAAGGTTAAGCATTCCTAATCCAAAAACCTAAAATCTGAAATGCTCCAAAACCTGCAGCTTTTGGGAGTGCAGACACGATGCCACCAGTAGAAACAGCCGATGGTGAAATAGCACAAACTGTTCTTGTAGGGAAAAGAAAGAGATCAGACTGTTACTGTGTCTATGTAGAAGAGGAGGACATAAGAAACTCCATTTTGATCTGTACTAAGAAAATTGTTTTGCCTTGAGATGCTGTTAATCTGTAACTTTAGCGCCAACCCTATGCTCACAGAAATGTGCTGTATGGAATCAAGGTTTAAGAGATCTAGGGCGGTGCAGGATGTGTCTTGTTAACAATATGTTTACAGGCAGTATGCTTCATAAAAGTCATTGCCATTCTCCATTCTCGATTAACCAGGGGCACAATGCACTGTGGAAAGCCACAGGGACCTCTGCCCAAGAAAGCCTGGATACTGTCCAAGGCTTCCCCCTACTGAGACAGCCTGAGATGTGGCCTCGTGGGAAGGAAAAGACCTGACTGTTCCCCAGCCCGACACCTGTAAAGGGTCTGTGCTGAGGAGGATTAGGAGAGATATGCTGGCGGCAATGCTGCTCTGCTACTCTGCTACACTGAGATGTCTGGGTGGAGAGAAGCATAAGTCTGGCCTACGTGCACATCCGGGCACAGTACCTTCCCTTGAACTTATTTGTGACAGATTCCTTTGCTCGCATGTTTTCCTGCTGACCTTCTCCCCACTATCACCCTGTTCTCCTGCCGCATTCCCCTTGCCGAGATAGTGAAAATAGTAATCAATACTGAGGGAATTCAGAGACCAGTGCTGGTGCTGGTCCTCCGCATGCTGAGTGCCGGTCCCCTGGGCCCACTGTTCTTTCTCTATACTCTGTCTCTGTGTCTTATTTCTTTTCTCAGTCTCTCGTCCCACCTGATGAGAAATACCCACAGTGTGGAAGGGCTGGCCTCCTTCAGTTCTGAATCAAGGCAATCATGGTAACAGTGACAATGAAGAGGATACTGTTACCACTACAGAAAAAGTGCCTATAGACAGCACGGTGAGGATGTGGGAGGGGATTACTGTGGCACTAGAGCAGCATACATTCATAACGGAACAAGAAATCAGGCAGTTTATAGAATCCAAGAGAGACTTCTAAGATAGAAACCACAGTTAATGAGGCAAATGACTCTGGAGGAAACATTTTAAAAAGCCATCCAGCAGAACACTTCCTCATCCCTAGAGGACCCGCTTCCTGTCCTTCAACTGCTTCTAATGTTTCTTCTCACCTTAAAAAAATAAAATATGGTGTCCAGTAACCTTTTCACCAAAACAGCTGAAGACTGACAGCCTGCCGTTTTTGTTGCTGCTGCTATGGTTCAGAAGCTGATACAGGTGTTCTGGTGATCTGCTGTGCTGCTTAGTTACCCTGAACACACAATTTCTCACTGTATTAGTGGTATATCATGTTTTATACTGTTAAGTACTTCTGTGTGAATAGGTATAAGAAAATGACTGCTTCTTGGTAGCATATACATTCAGAGTCAGGAACGATGGGGACGCTAACCAACCAGATTGTCCACGTGTGGCTGAGACAGTGACATCTTTGCTTTCTGATGGATCAATGAACACAAACTTTGTTTCATGCACACCATTGAAAATACTGTATAAAACTGCCTTTAAGGTATGTGTATAAAGTATATATGAAACATAAACGAATTTCATGTTTAGACTTGAGTCTGATCCCCAACAAATCTCATTATATACATGAAGATATTCCAAAATCCAAAAAAAATTCCAAAATCCAAAACACTTCTGGTTGCAAGCATTTTGGATAAGGGATATTCAATCTGTATAGGCAACATGTTGGTGACATCACATGAAAACAAAAACTACTGACCCAAGCTCCAAATGCATTCCAAAAATACGGCCAACAAGCCGGGCGCAGTGGCTCACGCCTATAATCCCAGCACTTTGGGAAGCTGAGGCGAATGGATCACCCGAAGTCAGGAGTTCGAGACCAGCCTGGCCAACATGGTGAAACTCTGTCTCTACTAAAAATACAAAAAATTAGCGGGGCAGGGTGGCACATGCCTGTAATCCCAGCTACTTGGGAAGCTGAGGCAGGAGAATCGCTTGAACCCGGGAGGAGGAGGCTGCAGTGAGCTGAGATTGTGCCACTGCACTCCTGCATCCCAGCCTGGGTGACAGTGAGACTACGAGTCTGGAAAAAAAAAAATAGAGATGGGGGTCTCCCTATGTTGCCCAGGATGCCTCAGCCTCCCAAAGTACGAGGATTAAAGGCGTGAGCCACCGTGCCCGGCCCAGTTTTCTCAGTCTTAATGGTAAAGGTGTAAACAGGAAGCTCCTGTTTTCTCAAAAAAATCCAGAGAGGCTCACAAGGGATGTGGCCAGACTGATGCTACGAATGGAAAGCGCTTTTCCTTAGATCTATTAGGTTGGCTCAAATGTAATTGCGGGTTTTCCATTACCTTTAATGGCAATAACGACAAAGAAACCCCGCAATTACTTTTGCACCAGCCTAATAAATATCCCCTGCGAGCAGTAGTGAAAGACAAAGGACAGTGGCAAAAGCCATGGGGCCTCCTCGTGTAGAACATGTAACAATTTCCCTTTTCTGTTCTATTTCCCTCTCTGGGTGGCATGGTACCAAACTGTATTTTTTTTCCTTAAACAATTTTTTAAAAGCTGTACATATTCAGCAGATAGTCACTCTATTATTTACAGCATCATCTGGTATCCCAGAGCATACACAATACCTTCCATTCTTTCCAGGCTCTCCTCTCTCCTTCTCAGGACCAACTATATCTTTTTTTTCTGGAGCTCACCAATTTCCCCTATCCTGGGCAGCTGGCAGTTTTATTCCATCAATTGCATTCTTATGCAATCTTCCACAAAGAGAATAGGGATAAAGGGGAGGGGACGGGATTTGGGATCCAGATGATTGAGACTCAGAAGTCTGTGTGGGGAATGGAGTGCGGCTGCTAGGCTGGTGAGTGGGATGAGGGTCTTCCAGATGTGGGAAGTAAGACTGGGTTACAAAGCACCACTCTAATCACTGGGGAGACCTGCCTGAATTCTACCTAATGGGGCACGAGTCCATACATATATACACATAAGAGCCCAGCGAAAGCAGGGCTGAAAGCAGCAATACGTGAGGCTCCAGGGGTGCAGCTCACCTTTCACGAGCCAGGTGGCCGTGGCAGCTGAAACAGTGGCTTTTGCGTTCCCCACCCCTATGCCCAGCAAGACTGCCTGGGTGGCTAGGGAGCCGGAGAGGCTGGAAGCAAACGCCTGGAGAAGAAAACAAGTAGGGTGAGAAGCGGGCGTAGGAGCGTGGCGGTCTAAGTGCCTTCATCTGTTCTTGTTCTTGGTGTATGAGGCATGTCAGACCCCCCGCCCCCCGGGCTCCGAGTCTCAGTCACCCGTCCATTATTGGGGAGGGAGGAGTGGCCTGCACTGTCCTCTGCCCCAGACGACCGAGCTGACCTGCACGGAATCCCACAGCTGGTAGGGCAAGTAGTCCGGGCTGACGCTATCAGGGAAGCCCTGAGGCAGGAACACGGCCTGGAGCCCGGAGAGGGGCGGTGAGGGGGCCCCGGAAGCCCCCACTTCGCCCGCATCTCGTCCTTCAGGTTTGACCGTGAAGGCCCTGGAGAGCCCCCACCAGCGCCAGCCCCCGACCTCCCACTGCAGGCTCCCGTCCGCGGCGGCGCGGCAGCCCCGTGCCTCCCCGGAGCCGAACTGCTCGGAACACAGCGGGGTCTCCAAACCCGCGTCGTCAGCCATGCCGAGCTTTTGGATCCCAGCCCCGCCCCTGCCGCACGGTGGACGTGGCAGGCGGCACTTCCGGCTGGGCTACCGCGGCTGCAGAGGGACATCTTTCAAGAACAGGCGCCGGCCTCGGCGTCCGCCGCGCAGTTAGGAAACTGACTGTCGCTCTCTCCGGCCTCGGCGCTGCTTCGGACGCCCCGGCACCGGCCCCCGTTGCTTTGTAGCATTCTGCAGCTGGGCTGCAGGCGCCGTGGGCCTCCGCCAGTTGTGTTCGAGACGCGGTTCGGCCACAGAAGTTTTAGCTTGTGACTTTTGGCAAGTCAGTGGCCCTCTCTGGGCCTCAGGTGCCTTTTTTGCTGTGAGACCAGCGACTGTATTTTTAACCCTGATTTTATCCCTAGATCTACCCAACACATAGTAGGTGCTCAAAAGATATTTATGAGTGAATGAATGCATCATGAGAAGAAATTGGACCAGATGAGGCCCTGTGAAGCTGCTTGGGTCTTTTTTTGTTCTTTTTTTTTTCTCTCTTCTGAGTGTCCCTGGCCTGGACTAGAAATTCTCCATCCTTCGGCCTTCTGCGAGACTGCAGGAACATTACTTTTGAAGGATGCTAAGGAATCCGAGGGATGAAAAAAATCAAGAGATTGCAATGATGTCACAAAACAAGGAAACAAGGCAGGAAGTTCTTGTGTGTTTTTTTGCGGGAGAGAGTCCATGAAATTGGGGGGAGTCCAAAGAGGGAGTGTTTCTGTCCTTGGAACTCACCTTTTCTTCTTTCCATTTCTCCTCTTCTCCTTCCCATCTAGTGCAGCATCTTCACTCCGAAGCAGAAATTTGCCAAAAAAGCATCCTCTTTTTATCAGAAAATAAAATATCCTGGTTTCTTAGCCTGGCATTCTTGGATCCCCACAGTTTGATCCCAACCGACAACTCCTTATTTGAAACTTCAGATTCTCCCAAACCGTCACCTTCCTCGTGGACTTAATCCTGGAAGGCCCTTCTACCCCACTTCGCCTTATCTCACACAAACACAGTCTCTCTCTGACTGAGATAAACTTGAACACTTCTTTTCTTTTCTTTTTTTTTTTCTTTAAATTTCGGGTTTCAAAATACAAATGGCCTAATCACAACATTTCTGTAATGTTGTCTAAATTCAGGTACTGGTTTGAATAGAGGACAAAAATAAAACAAGGTTTGAAGACTAAGTACTTTAAAAACATATTTATTTAAATAGAGGCAGGGCCTCCCTATGTTGCCCAGGCTGCTCTCAAACTCCTGGCCTCAAAAGTGATCCTTGGGCTGGGCGTGGTGGCTCACGCCTGTAATTCCAGCACTTTGGGAAGTCGAGCCAGGTGGATCACTTGAGGTCAGGAGTTTAAGACCAGCCTGGCCAACATGTTGAAACCCCATCTCTACTAAAAATACAAAAATTAGCTGGGCGTGGGGGTGGTGTGGCCATAATCCCAGCTATCCGGGAGGCGGAGGCAAGAAAATCGCTTGAACCGTGCAGTTGTCATTAACTCCGTGTTTGTTATCTCTTTTTTACCAATGGTTTGCCAGTTTCTTCTACAAATACCTGTTGCTACCTATGTGCTCATTGGGATAGTGAGCAAAAACAAACAAGGGTCTTGGTCTTTTGGAACTTATATTAGGGAAGGATATTGATCAAATCATACAAATAAATGCAAAGTTGGAACTATTTCAATTGCTGTAGAGGGGTACATGTTATTTAATATGAGGACTTTTAGAAGGAGAATTGAGCTAATCAGTGGAATCAAGGGAAACTTTTTTTTTTGAGATGGAGTCTCCCTCTGTCACCCAGGCTGGAGTGCAGTGGCACAGTCTTGGCTTACTGCAACCTCCACCTCCTGGGTTCAAGTGATTCACCTGCCTCACCCTCCGGAGTAGCTGGGGTTACAAGCATTCACCACCACACCCAGCTAATTTTTGTATTTTTAGTAGAGACGGGGTTTTGCCATGTTGGCCAGGCTGGTCTTGAACTCCTGGCCTCAACTCATCTGCTTGCCTCGCCTCCCAAAGTGCTGGGATTACAGGCATGAGCCACTGTGCCCGGCCAAGGGAAATTTTTTAACAAAAATTTAAGTTGGGGTCTCTCTGTGTTGCCCAGGCCTCCCGCCTCGGTCTTCCAAAATGCTAGGATTATAGGCATGAGCCGTTGAGGCCAGCTGGGAAACTTTTTTTTTGAGGAAGTGTGTATTTAGCTGAGATCTAGAGTAAGAGTTAACTTGATTATGATGGGAAAATAATTTTCTGGAAAGAAGGAGCAGCATGTCCTGAGTGGGGAGGGAGCATGGTACCTAACATCCAACAAAGGCCGGTGCAGCAGAAGTCTAGAGCACGAGGGGCATGGGGAAAGGGCTGCTAGGGAGTTAGGGGCCAAACTGCAGGACATTGTAGGCCAAGCTCTTCTTCATCCTTAGGGTTAAGATTTATTTTTTATTCTATCAGTCAATCAATCAATCGATCGATGAGACAGGGTCTTGCTCTGTCACCCAGGCTGGAGTGCAGTGGTGCAATCATAGCTCACTGCAGCCTCAAACTCCTGGGCTCAAGTGATCCTCTTGCCTCAGCCTCCCAAGTAGCTGGGACTACAGGCATGCACCACCATGCCTGGCCAACTTTTAAAATTTTCTGTAGAGATGGGATCTCACTATGTTGCCCAGGCTGGTCTCCAACTCCTGGCCTCAAGTGATCCTCCCACCTCGGCCTCCCAAAGCTCTTGAGATTAAAGAATATATTGGTATATGTTGGAGTGGCACTTTAGAGAAGTAGTTGAATAAATTTAATTTTTTTTAAAAGACAGGTTCTCTGTCACCCAGAGAGTGCAGTGGTGTGATCACACTACAGTCTCACTACAGCCTCAACTTCCAGGGTTCAAGTGATCTGCCTCAGCCTCCCGAGTAGCTGAGACCACAGGCGTGTGCCACCATGGCTAGCTAATTTTTGTATTTTATTTTTGTAGAGACAGGGTTTTGCCATGCTGCCTAGGCTGGTCTCAAACTCCTGGGCTCAAGTGATCTGCCCACCTCAGCTTCCCAAAGTGCTGGGCTTATAGGCATGAACTGTGCCTGGCAGAAATTTAATGTTTAATTCTTATTTTCCATTTAGCTTATAACACTGTCAATAAATTATCCTTTCAAAATAATTTTGAGTTTCCTGGCACAGTGAAAGATCAAGCATTGTGTTATATTTGAAAGGTTAGCTTCTGTGAGTGGATAGGACTCTGGGGCATCAGAGGGCCTTACTGTGAATGTAGGTTCTGTCCAGGAAGCTGTCCAGGAAGCTGTGAGATCTTGGGCAAGTTACATATCTCTCTGTCTTTCAGTTTCTTCTTCTGAAAGACGAAATGGTAATGGTAAAATGGAAATAATACTAGTACCTACCACACAGAGTTGGAACGAGAATTAAGAGTCATGTCTTGGCCGGGCGCGGTGGCTCACGCCTGTAATCCCAGCACTTTGGGAGGCCGAGGCGGACGGATCACGAGGTCAAGAGATCAAGACCATCCTGGCCAACATGGTGAAACCCCATGTCTACTAAAAATACAAAAATGAGCCAGGTGTGGTGATATGTGCCTATAGTCCCAGCTACTTGGGAGGCTGAGGCAGGAGAATTGCTTGAACCTGGGAGGTGGGGGTTGCAGTGAGCCGAGATTGCGCCACTGCACTCCAGCCTGGGCGACAGAGCAAGACTCTGTCTAAAAAAAAAACAAAAAACAAAAAAGTCATGTCGTATGTGCAAAACTCTTAAAGTATTTAGCACATAGTACATACTGTTTAAGTGTTGGTTCTTATTCAGAGATAATGTCAAGTGTTCAAATGTGAGGCCCTTGGCTCCAAGTGAGGCAGGTGGCCCTCATGACTAGTGTCACTGTATAATTTATTGTGCAAACCAGGACTTTTGAGAGGGTCATTAAAGGAAGCACTGGTAATAATTGTGTTGGGAAAACAGGTCTGCGGGAAAACAGGTCTGCAGTGAAGCTGTCTCAGGCAAATGGGAATATATGGTCACATTATTTATGAACCCACTGCAGCTCTACTGCTTACCATTGTCCACCTTGACATCTCCTTACTCAGAGACTATGACAGTCCCTGTTCGTTGTAGCATTTACTTAACTCTTAGCCTATGCTGTCTGGAGCCAGTTTGTATTTGCTTTTGTTAGGTACAGATGTCCTGTCTTCCCAAGTGGACTGTAAGTGCCTGAGGGCAAGGACCCATCATACACTTCCCTGTGACCTGAGTGTGCAGATAGGTGGCTTGACAAAGAGATGAGTGATAGTTCCCCTTTCTCTATGGCTGACTGCCACCGTCACTACTTGAAACCCTCATTATGATAGTTACTACTGTTACTGTTTGAGACCTTCACTACGACAGTTACTACTGACTACTTGAGACCTTCACTATGACAGTTACTACTGTTAGTACTTGAGACCGTCATTATGACAGTTGCTGTTACTACTTGAGACCATCAGTACAACAGTTACTATTGTTACTACTTGAGACCATCATTATGACAGTTACTACTGTTACTACTTGAGACCGTCATTATAACAGTTACTGCCATTACTCTTTAACACCCTCATTACAAGACTGAATGAAGGGATGAACATAGACAATGAAAACTTAAAGCAAAAAGGAAGGGTCCAGGGGAAGAAGAAGAGAGCTCCCTGCTTCTAGTGAGCAAAGGCAGCCCTTGAGCTTCCACAGCCCTTCGTATTTGTTGGGTAGCAAGAGCAGGGAGGAGGAGGTAATGATGGGTTGGCTGCTTAACTGATAACAGGTTCATAATATTATTAACAGGCTTCAGATGTACCTAATCGCAAGAAACACTGTGCTTGGGGCATGACTGCCCTCAGCATTCCTTCTGGGTGGCAGACGCAGTTTGTCAGTCTGCCAACATTCTGCATTTATGAGAAACAGTTTGTGGTTTACTCATACAGCCTCCAGTGGTATACTGAGTTGATCATGACCCTCATTCTTTCGGCCTGTAACATTTCTCTCTCATGAGGTCTCTTGAAAGCCTGCGCCTAAATCCTGTCATTTGATAGTGCAACTGTCTCTTGTTATAGTTGGGGAATTGGTTCCAGGACCCTGGAGTATACGCAAACCTGCACACACTCGTCTTGCAGTTGGCTCTGCATATATGTGGCTTTTGCAACCCTCTGTTACTGTATTTGCTTTTTTTTTTTTTTTTAGATGGAGTTTCGCTCTTGTTGCCCAGGCTGGAGTGCAGTGGCACAATCTCAGCTCACTGCAACCTCCGCCTCCTGAGTTCAAGTGATTCTCCTACCTCAGCCTCCCAAGTAGCTGGGATTACGGGCATGTGCCACCATGTCTGGCTAATTTTTGTATTTTTAGTAGAGACGGAGTTTCACCATGTTGGCCAGGCTGGTCTCGAAGTCCTGACCCCACATGATCCACTCGCCTCGGCCTCCCAAAGTGCTGGGATTATAGGCATGAGCCACTGCGCCCGGCCTGCTGTATTTTCTTTCCTTTTCCTTTTATTATTTAACTGAATAAGAAAAAATGTTGGTATCCTTTCTTTTCTTCTTGCTCTGTTCTCCCCTCTCTCCCTCCCTTCCTTCTTTTCCTTTCCTGCCTCCCTCCCTTCCTTCCTTTCCTCCTTCCCTTCTTTTTCCCTTCCTTCCTCCCTCCCTTCCTCCCTTCCTCCCTTCTTCCTTTCCTCTTTTTGGAGATAGTTTCACTCTGTCACCAGGCTGGGTGCAGGGGTGTGACCATGGCTCACTGCAGCCTTGACCTCCTGGGCTCAAGTGATCCTACCATCTCACTGCCTGAGTAGCTAGAATTACAGGTGCATGCTACCACTTCCAGCCATTACTATATTTTTGATCTATATTTGGTTGAAAGAAATCTACATTATAAGTGGACCTGCCCAGTTCAAACCCGTGTTGTTCAAAGATCACCGGTATATCAAGCATGGGGCAGAATACTCCAAGCTCTCAGCCCCTTGACTTTCCCCTAGTTGATTTCGCCCCTTCCAATCCTGCCTCCTGTAGTCACTCTCCACACAGCTTCCAACTCTCTGGTTTACAGCCTCTCAGTGGGCTGGGCACAGTGGCTCATGCCTGTAATCCCAGCACTTTGGGAGGCTGAGGTGAGTGGATCACTTGAGGTCAGGAGTTTGAGACCAGCCTGGCCAACATGGTAAAACCCCATCTCTATTGAAAATATAAAAATTAGCCAGGCGTGGTGGCACTAGCCTGTAATCCCAGCTACTTGGAAGACTGAGGCAGGAGAATCACTTGAACCTGGGGGGCAGAGGTTGCAGTGAGCCGAAATTGTCCCACTGCACTCCAGCCTGGGTGACAGAACGAGACTCTGTCTCAAAAACAACAACAACAAAAACACCTCACAGTGGCTTATCATTACTTTTATGGAAGGAGATTGCAACATTCTCCTCCAAACCCTTCAATGGCTTTTCTTCATACTTGAAAATAAAACCCGAACTTTTTGTCAGAGCAAACAAAACTCTGCAGATCCGGCCCTGCCTGATCTCTTGAACCTCACCCCTGCCACTCATCCTGTCTCTTCCCCTAACGATCATAAGATCCAGGAACACTAATCTATTTCCAGGGCTTTGTGTCAGTGCCTGGCACAAGGTAGGGTCCAAATACCCATTTGTGGAAAGAATAAATTTTTATTTTTTAAAAAATAGAGATGGGGAGGCCGGGTATGGTGGCTCATGTCTGTAATCCCTGCACTTCGGGTGATCGAGGCAGGTGGATCACCACCTGAGGTCAGGAGTTTGAGACCAGCCTGGCCAACATGGTGAAACTCCGTCTCTAATAAAAATACAGAAATTGGCTGGATGTGGTGGTACGCATGCCTGTGGGCCCAGCTACTTGGGAGGCTGAGGCAGGAGAATCACGTGACCTGGGAGGCAGAGGCTGCAGTGAGCCGAGATCATGCCACTGCACTCCAGCCTGGGTGACACAGCCAGACTCCATCTCAAAAAAAAAAAATTATTTCAATGTCAGAATTGTTAGATATATTAAAACACAAGTCTATTATGTAAAAGGAAAACTCAAGGTACGGAAAATTATTCACTGAATTAAGTGTTACTAAGATGAGTATTGAGCCGAAGAATGGCTTTAGGACGTTTTTCAAGGCAGAGTAAATATTATCAAATAATTTACTTAAGAAAACTACTGAAGTCCATGATTTTTGTTCTAATATGAAAACCTAAGGTCATCAAGATACCTTGACCGCTCATCCCCTGACTTCATGGTCTTTTCATCATTCTCAGAGACCAGATGTTTCCTGTCACCACACATCACAGTCTCCATTAGGTACTTTGTATGTCCAGAGCAGGTTAAAGCTTTATATTTAATACTTTTGAAAAAGAATAAGATAATTTAATCAGCTATATCTTATACATTATCACAGGCATGAAGGAATTGTAGAAATGCTTCCACTCATCCTGACAATGTTCTGACTTGTGGAATTGACAGAACAACTAGTGAATTAATTTCCAAATTAAACTACAAAACTTTAAAAAACCCATTATTCCCATTTTACGGGTAAGGAGATCTTAGACAAGAAAGATTAACAAAAACAGATTTTTGGGGCCAGGCATGGTGGCTCAGGCCCATAATCCCTGCACTTTGGGAGGCCGAGGTGGGTGGCTCTCTTGAGGTCAGGAGTTCGAGACCAACCAGGGCAAAATAGTGAAATCATTTTGTATTTCCCTATGAAAAATACAAAAAATATTAGCTAGGCGTGTTGGTGCATGCCTGTAATCCCAGCTACTCAGGCGGGTGAGACACAAGAAACCTTTGAACCTGGTAGGTGGAGGTTGCAGCAAGCTGAGATCGTCCCTCTGTACCCTGGGTGACAGGGCCACACCCTGTCTCAAATAAAACAAAAAAACAACAACAGATTTTTGGCCTCTTGCATCAAAAACCAACAATGACATAAATGAGCCGCAGTTCAGGACTGGCTCATGTTCTTAGAACTTAGCTCCCTCTCTACAACTTAGCCCATGACCCAGCAATTATTTCCTTTCCCCACATGGCCTTGGCACTGGTCAGTTTCTGGCCCAGTGAAGTCCCCTTTCCAGACTAGAGCATTTACCCCACCTCCTGATACACTTCCTTCCCTTGCAGGCGATCCCTCATAGACCAAAATGTAACACACCCACCAGGCGCCTCCCTGTTGCCGGGCTGTGGAACTCAGTGACTGTTAGGACGGCCAGCAAGTGTATGGAGGGAGGCGGCCAGGTCAGAGATATGGGCTCAGGATCCTGTGACCTCACCTCCCCACAGAACTGCAATTATACTTTCACCTGGGGCAGCAATGACAGTACCCACTTGGGGAATTGAAAATATTTTTTGTTGCGGGAAGTCAGGGACCCTGAATGGAGGCACTGGCTGAAGCCATGGCAGAAGAACATAAATTGTGAAGATTTCATGGACATTTATTAGTTCCCCAAATTAATACTTTTATAATTTCTTATGCCTGTCTTTACTGCAATCTCTGAACATAAATTGTGAAGATTTCATGGACACTTATCACTTCCCCAATCAATACCCTCGTGATTTCCTATGCCTGTCTTTACTTTAATCTCTCAATCCCGTCATCTTTGTAAACTGAAGAGGATGTATGTCACCTCAGGACCTTGTGATGATTGTGTTAACTGTACAAATTGTGTGTAGAGCATGTGTGTTTGAACAATATGAAATCTGGGCACCTTGAAAAAAGAACAGGATAACAGCAGTGTTCAGGGAACAAGAGAGATAACCTTAAACTCTGACTGCCAGTGAGCCAGGTGGAACAGAACCACATTTCTCTTCTTTCAAAAGCAAATGGGAGAAATATCACTGAATTCTTTTTCTCAGCAAGGAACATCCCTGAGAAAGAGAATGCGTCCCTGAAGGGAGGCCTCTGAAATGACCACTTTGGGGACAGCTGTCTTTTACGATCATAGTGGAGGGATGAAATAAGCCCCGGTTTCCAGTAGTGCTCCCAGGCTTATTAGGACGAGGAAATTCCTGCCTAATAAATTTTGGTCAGACCGGTTGTCTGCTTTCAAACCCTGTTTCCTAAAAGATGTTATCAATGACAATGCGTGCCTGAAACTTCATTAGCAATTTTAATTTCGCCCCAGTCCTGTGGTCCTGTGATCTTGCCCTGCCTCCATTTGCCTTGTGATATTTTATTACCTTGTGAAGCATGTGATCTCTGTGACCCACACCCTATTCGTACACTCACTCCCCTTTTCAAAATTGCTAATAAAAACTTGCTGGTTTTGTGGCTTGAGGGGCATCACAGAACCTGCTGACTTTTGATGTCTCCCCTGGACACCCAGCTTTAAAATTTCTCTCTTTTGTACTCTTTCCCTTTATTTCTCAGACTGGCTGACACTTAGGGAAAATAGAAAAGAACCTATGTGAAATATCGGGGCTGAATTTCCCCCAGTAATTTTTGAAAAACTTTGTCCCAGTTACAATTACCAAAAACAATGACAACTTCCCTGCAGCACCTCCAGAGAGATGGCAGTGCCTGGAGAGGCTCTGCTTTTCCATGATCCTTTGAGGCAGACAGGGGCTCTCCTGGAGGAAGCAGAAAATGCAGAGTCTGAGCCAGAAGGGGATGACAATGAAGCGCAGTGGGTGCTGGATTCTGTGCCTCCTGGAATGTGTTTTTGCTGAAGCTCTCATTTTCTGTTACTCCCCAAATTCTTCAAATGAACAATCTTTGAATTATAAATAAATGGTAACTTGAGAAGGATTTGTCAACAGATTACAGTGCCAGGAAGAACGTGAGGTTCAATATTGACAAAATAGAGACATCTGTGTAATTCAATGCAAGTTGATATGCACATGTATATTGCATATGTATGTGTGTGTGTGTGTGTGTGTGTGTTTTGAATACATGTTTTATCAAAATGTAACTCAATAGAGTTAGACGCTAAACTGAGCAATATTCATAGAAGAAACAAAGACATTTAACAAGGAATTTCCCCTCCCACACACACAAGCACCAAGTTTATGTAGTTGAGAGGGAAATTCTACTGATAGAATAATCAATAAACTAATGCTACTTAAACTACTCAAGAGTTATAGAGAGGTAAATCTTTCCTAAGATAGTTTTTAGGAAGGGTATATAAAGGTGATACCAGAACCTTGCCTAGATTTAGCCATATAGAATACTATAGACAAATAGGACATATACTTTTTTTTTCTTTTTTTTTT
Source organism: Homo sapiens (assembly GCF_000001405.40). Taxonomy (NCBI): domain Eukaryota; kingdom Metazoa; phylum Chordata; class Mammalia; order Primates; family Hominidae; genus Homo; species Homo sapiens. The sequence continues at coordinate 31,518,597 of NC_000016.10, forward strand.
TTTTTGAGACGGAGTTTTGCTCTTGTTGCCCAGGCCAGAGTACAATGGCACGATCACAGCTCAGCACAACCTCCGCCTCCCGGGTTCAAGTGATTCTCCTGCCTCAGCCTCCCGAGTAGCTAGGATTACAGGCATGCACCACCATGCCCAGCTAATTTTATATTTTTAGTAGAGACAGGGTTTCTCCATGTTGGTCAGGTTGGTCTTGAACTCTTGACCTCAGGTGATCCACCCCCCTTGGCCTCCCAAAGTGCTGGGATTACAGGCGTGAACCACAGTGCCTGGTGACATATACATTTAAGAGTAAAATATTAAATATTAGAAACTATCGCATCAATATGTTAATGCACAATCAATCGCCCTTTATGTTATGAAGGTAAGTATGATTCACTCTTAAGAAATTCATCGATGAAATTAATCACATTAATAGAATGAATGAGAATGTCATGTGACTATGTTCATCAATGCAAAAAAATTGGCAGAATTCTACAGAAAATTATGTTTAATAAATTTAGTAAGAAATTGGTGTAAAAGATTTCTGAAAAACATGAAAATAGACTTATACAAATGAAAAATAATGACACCAAATGTTTGGGTGGGAAAATTCAACAATATTGAGAAGTCAATAATCTTTGAATAAATTTATATGTTGAGTTTGACCCAAATATAATACCATGTACTTGAGTTCTGAAGATTTAAAAAATGTATTGCTATGTAAAGTAAACAAAAAAAATCCATGAACAATTTGAAATAAAAAAAAAAAAGAGTGACTTCCTTTGTCATATATTATTAAAACATGGGGATCTGGCACGGTGGCTCACGCCTGTAATGCCAGCACTTTGGGAGGCTAAGGCAGGCGGACCACCTGAGGTCAAGAGTTTGAGACCACCCTGACCAACATTGTGAAACCCCGTCTCTAACAAAAATACAAAAATTAGCCAGGTCTTGGTGGGCACCTGTAATCCCAGCTACTCAGGAGGCTGAGGCAGGAGAATTGCTTGCACCCGGGAGGCAGAGGTTGCAGTGAGTCGAGATCATGCCACTGCAATCCAGCCTGGGTGACAAAGCAAGACTCCATAGGAAAAAAAAAAATAAATAAATAAAAACCATGGGAATTAAAATAGTGTACTGTTGATTCATGAATAGAAATAGAAATGAGTGGAATACAAATTTTAAAATAGAATAAAATATATGAAAATATTTTACAATTTTAATTACAATAAGACAGCAGTGACAAAAGTAGAAATGTGGATTTGGGGTGTCTCACTGGAGACCACAGCCCATAAATATGTAGCTAAGCCTTTGTCTCCTCATGTGTTTTGTTGCCACAGAGATGGTGTTTCCACAAGTGCAGGGAGGGTATTCAGCCTTTGAATAGAGCAGCTGTGGCTATTGTCTGATGGATAACATTTTTACGGGCACAATACACACTGTAACCTGTTTTAAGAGCCCACAGCCTGTTTTCTGGTGAGCTGAGATGTGGCTGCCTTCAGTAACACTTTATCGCCTGCATCTGACCCACTTTCTCTGGGTACCTTAAAAACAGTCACATACTGTTTTAGTAATTCCTTCAGTTGGTGACTTGCCTGGTGTGAGACTATCTGGGAACCCCTCCTACCCAAGCCCACAGGTGATAACAGTCTGTGAACAGTCCAGGGAGACACCAACTGCTCAGGGATGCTGGAACAGTGTATGAACAGACTATGTATGTTTAAACTTGTACCCATCATTGAGCTTTGGCCAATTGTTCAAACCATGTTCAAATAAGATAAATGCCAATTGTAACCAATGCAGCTGTTTCTGTATCCCACTTCTGTACCATTTTCTGTATGTCACTTTCTTGATTCTGTCCATAAATCCTCTCTGACCACACAGCAGCATGGAGTTTTTCTGAGCCATTCTGGTTAAGGGAGCTGCCTGGTTTGCAAGTCATTCTTTGTTCAATTAAATCCTGTTCAACTTAATTTCCCTAAAGTATTTTTTTATTTTTTACTTATTTTTTTTAAACATTACCAAGGTTAACAAGAGCTTGGAATACCTTAGGTGGGAGGAACATGGTAGGTGATGTTTTTGGGAGGATGAGGTGAGGCCAGAATGGGGTTCAAGGGCCAAAGAGGGACCTGTGTGAGAGGCTGATGAGGGTGCTGTTAGTAACCGGGCCTATTATATGGGAACAAGGTTATTACCCCCATCAAACATGAGAGAAGGGGAAAAGTTCTTAAAACACAAGCAGGAGGTATTTCCCTCCTACTTTTTATATTTCCACAAAGAGCCAAAAGCCAAGTATATGGCTTCTGTCCTTCATTCTCACAGTGTTCAGAGTAGCCAGCCATGTCCAATGAGGAGGGTTCAGGTGCATAGAGCAGTCTTCTAAATACTAATCTACATCTTTTTCCACTACAGCATTTTTATCAAGTCAATTTAAAAAGTTTTGGTTGATTAAGGAAACGTTTTTAAGGCCTGGTGCAGTGGCTCATGTATGTAATCCCAGCACTTTGGGAGGCCAAGGTGGGCGGATCTCTTGAGGTCAGGAGTTGGAGACCAGCCTGGCCAACATGGTGAAACCCCGTCTCCACTAAAAATACAAAAAATAGCCAGGCGTGGTGGCAGGTACCTGTAATCCCAGATACTCAGGAGGCTGAGGCCGGAGAATCGCTTGAACCTGGGAGGTGGAGGTTGCCATGAGCCGAGATCGCGCCACTGCGCTCCAGCCTGGGTGACAGAGCGAGACTACGTCTCAAAACAAACAAACAAAAAACCTTTTAAAGTATATAAACATTAGTTTCAAAATTCTGGTTGGCAAAACAACTATGTCAAGTTCATGAAATATAGGGGAAGTTCCAATGAAGTGTGAGAGCTAGAGTTACTCCCAGAGCGAGCTTCGGGGCTGCTGTCCTGTCCTCAGGGTGCTACAGTCTTTCTAAGCTACATAGGTCACACATGGAGCTGACCTTTCAAACACACAGTTGCTGCTGTGTAAGAGAAATAGGGGACCTTTAACTCTGCTCCTCTGGATGGAAAGAAGGTGTCTCATAGGTCCTATTTTCCATACTAGATGTTAAGTACAGTCGCTATAAGAAGGTCAGTTTCAAATGATTTGCAAAGCACATTTACAAACTCTTTAACCTCAGGAGCATGCCCCTGAATACTACAAATATGGGGGTTGGGGAATCACTTTGAAAGCAAAGGGGGTGAGGCCTTTCTTTTCAGTGACCAAACAGGGTCCCTTGTACAATTCACAGATCCAGCTGCTAGCCCAGCCCGCACCTTAACTGGTTCCTGTGGGAACCCCAGCTCAGTTTGTCTCCAAGATGCCCCCAAATCCTCCAGCCTGGATGCTGCCTCCAGGGTCTACCCTTGTGGGGTTTCCCACTGAGACCCCCCTCACCAGAGCCCAGAAAGAGCCAACCCAAGCTCAGCCGGCAGTGGTTGCTCACTCCGGATGATCTGTCTGCTCTGCTGTCAGTTACACCACTGCTGTCTACTCTCAACCAAGTCTACACCAAGAGACGTCAGCGGCTCATGCCCAATTATGCCTTTCGTAACAACCCCCCTGCATCTCACCTGTCTCCAGCTCCCCACATCCCTTGAAGCTTGGTTTCCTTGATCAGGATTAGGGGTTTTCAGTGTGGCAGGGACTCCTGATAGTCGCAGAATGGCATCTCTGAGGCCAAACCATGTCTGAATTGACACTCCATGTTATCTAACTTTTTCACTCTCCTCTGCTCTGCAGTGTGGGGTGGAGTTCCCCAAAGCAGAAGCAGTTGTGAGAATTCAGCTGTCTCCTACTAATCCAGGTATTTCAGAGACCCCTGTAGGCAGAACACCATGGTCCCGAGATGAGCAGGAAGAACCCTTCCAATGGGTATGCGGTCCTGGGAAGTTTTAGAGAATCAAATTCCAGTTCTTTGAAGTCCATACTCACTCATTCTCAAAATCAACTAGGCCCGGAAACGGTGTCCAGGGGAGTCCCTGCCCCTGGGCCCTTCTCACGTTTCCTTCCTTCTCCCAATTGCCAATCTCACCTGCCTGAAATTTACAAGGGGCGTTGTCCCAGACCACCAGAATAGGGACCCTTCAACAATTCCCTCAATTCTATGCCATCCATCTGATTAGAGGATTTATTTCCAATACAATTGGAATTTCTGTTTCATAAATATTTATTAAAATTTGAAACATTCACTTTGGTAAACCGCATTTTACTAAATATGTGTCTATATATGTTATATATATATATAAATTTCCTCTTGAATATATATGTCAGAGCTGTCTATCCATGTATTTATACAGAGAGAGAGTGAGACAGAGAGACCAACAGAAAGACACAGCACATGAGAGAAGTTGCAAGTAAGTAGAATGGGAGTGAACAAAATACAAGCACAAAAGCATGTGAGTTATCTTAGGATAAAGTTAAGTGGGGATAGTGGAATAGAAATACAAGTTCAAGAAGTAAAAGGCATGTTGTAAAACTCCCAGCTGCTAAGGAAAAACCTGTTTGGTTTTTAAAAAAATATATAGTGGTCAGGGCCAAATCACCACCCCATTAACATTGTGTTGGACACATTCAAAAGAGCGATGTGCGGTTTGTTTAAATGTGTTTGGATCCTGTCACAATTAAAAGCCTTTGCTATGATTTAAATGTATGAGGCAAAAATAAATGTCTACAAAACTTGTGTGGGAGTATACACAAAGATTCTTTAGAAGGATTGGATGAAAGAATTTGAAGACAGTTAAAGGAAAGAATCCCTAGCTGACATTACTTTTCCTCCTGAAACATGCAGTGGGGCTGCCCAGGCCTTTGTCTCCATTTGTTCTATTTACCTGTAGGAAAATAAGACTTGGTTCTCATCATAATTTTAGCAGTCATGACGTACATGGCCTCAAGGGAGTTCCAGAGGATGTTTTAGGCTCCAGGAGCCATTTAAGGGATGTTTCTTTCCAAAGAAAATGTTCATGTCATGAATTTTATTCCACTAACATAATCTGAACATACGGGTCTACCTTTAAATAATGGGCCAGATGACCCCTGTTTATCTAGGAGTGCAGTCTTCTGTCAGGGCAGATGTCCTTTCTACTGTGGAGAATTGCATTTTGAGACCCTATGAGTCTGAGCATATCTGTAAGGGGCTGCTGCTGTCTATTATTAGGGCGGCCTCTTTAGCTTTGGCTCTACACCATGTGGCTTGAAGATTTTCCTTGAATTTGACCTGAGCCCCTGACCCCACCCACATTGCTGGGGAGGAGGGGCCCGTTCTGGACTCTGGCACCTGTAACTCCTGACCCCCGGTCTTGCTTGCAGCGGAAAAGGAGAGGCAGAAGAGGGAGGTGCACACTCAGCCACTCTGGGCATCCTTCCTGGGTGGACTGGGCCCCCTGCAGGGCCTGCTCTCACCTACCCAGGAGCACAGCTGATCTCGGCTGGGTCTCCCTCAGCACACTCAGGATGTGTGGGGCAGGTGTCTGCGAGTCCCCGGGGGACTCAGGTTCCTGGCCAGTCTCACTGCCCCCTGCCCCAGCATTGAGACCCTCATGTGGCTGCAGATGTGGCTGATAGTGCCAATCAAGGGAGCCTCTGTCTTCCCAAACTTAAATTTCCCCTCCCATAACCTATAACTTCAGCCCCCTCCATTTTCTGAGCTAAGCTCCAATTAGTGAAAACAAAGTCAAGTGGGAGTCAGGGGACAGGAAAGTGGCCCAGGGGTGGGGCAGAAGAGGGGGAAGGGACAAGTCTCTCTCGAATGGATCCAGAGTGAGCTCCTCCCTCTTGCGAGTAGCCATGCTGCCAAGACGCTGACCTTCAGATGCGCAAGGCTCATGTCTCCTCCCCAGCCCTGGGACCCTCTGGAGGCTGCAGGTCCTGATTGCTGTGCCAGTCACAGCAGGAACAGGCCCCAAAAACGTCACATCTCCAGGAAATAAGACCAAGGTTCCACCTAACCAGTTCAGCTCTCACCTCCCTCCCAAAATGTTCACAGGGGAAACCATGGGCCAAACTATGTAACATGAAATCTACAACCTTTTTGCCCTGACTCCAACCTGGTACTGCCACGAGCAAGTCAGGGTTTTGCGTTGACTGAGTGGGATTTGGGTCATCAATTCCAATCAGATTTCTGGAGAAGGCTCTTCTTTCCCTGATGATTGAGGTCTTCATTGCAGTCCTCTCGGTGGAAGGAGAGGCCTTCCTGGAAGTCCAAACAGTTCTCTTTTCCTCCCTCTGGCTAATTTCTTGTTCAGCTGAAGCAGAGCCTGCCTCGATGAGGGAGTTCCTATTAGGTTTCTTAATTTTTAAGAGACATCACCAGAAGTGAATTCCTCTGTAAATCAGCAGTGCTTTATTTTTCTGTTGCAGAATGAGTTTGTGATCCTGGTTTTCTACAATTCTTTAGCAAATGTGTTTTTGTAATCTCACGTTCAACCCTTCCTTTATTGATGTATCTAGCATGCTGAAAGGGAATCAGTTTCCCCTGCTATTCTCAAGACACTGGTTGAGGGAGGAGACTTCAATTCTTCACTACATCTCACTAATTTTACTCTGCAATTCATTATAGTCCAGGTAGTTAGATTAGTTCCAACTGTGCCAGGAAATTTTGAGGAATGAACAAAATTAGATTTTTTTTTCCTTTTTTTTTTAAAAGATGGGGTCTCACTATGTTGCCCAGGCTGGTCTTGAACCCTTGGGCTCAGACGATCCTGCCGTCTCTGCCTCTTACAGGCATGAGCCACTGTGCGTGGCTTCAATGTTAGATGTGTTCTTGGCAGCATGGTCTTCTAAGCCATCTGAGGCAGCACCATCTCTTTTGAGTTTCCTGGCATGTACCAGAGACCTTCCTGAAACTTTTCCTTAATGAGCTTTGGAAGGGCATTGGGATCTTGATCTTTCCCATCTGGTAATGAATTATTTTTAAAGAAATATTTAAGAAAAATTATTTAGAAGTGAAAGGATGTAGGAGACAGTCGGCCTGGTGTGATGTGAGAAAGACTGGACCTGGTGGTCATTGCTGGCTTTCAAGCTGGAAAGGGACCAGGAGTGAAAGAATGTGGGTTCTTCTATAGACTAGAAGAGGAAAGAAAAAGAACTCTTTTTCAGAGATTCCAAGGGGAACACAGCCTAGAGGACAACTTAATTTTAGCCTAGTGAGTCTCATTTTAGATTTCTGACCTCTAAGTCTGTAAGATAATAAATTTATTTATTTATTTATTTATTTAGAGACAAGGTCTCACTCTGTCACCCAGGCTGGAGTGCAGTGGCGTGATCTTCGCTCACTGCGGCCTCTTCCTCCTGGGTTCAAGCGATTCTCCTGCCTCAGCCTCCCAAGTAGCTGGGATTACAGGTGCATGCCACCATGTCTGGCTAATTTTTGTATTTTTAGTAGAGAGGGGGTTTCGCCATGTTAGCCAGGATGGTCTCGAACTCCTGACCTCAAGTGATCTGCCTGCCTTGACCTCCCAAAGTGCTGGGATCACAGATGGGAGCCACCGTGCCTGGCCGGTAACACATACTTTCCACCCTATATAAATGAAAACATGTTCACATGGAAACCTGTACACAAATGTTTATAGCAACTCTATTCACACTTGCCCCAAAGTACAAACAATCCAGATGTCCTTCCGTGGCTGAATGAACAAACTACAGTGCATCCATACAATGCAATGTGTCCACTGACACTTGTGACAACTTGGATGGAGCTCAAGAACATCATGCTGACCAAAAAAAGTCAGTCTCAAAGGTTACATACTGTATGATTCCATTTATATGACATCCTGAAAAAGGCTTAACTGTAGTGATGAACAGATAAGTGGTTGCCAGAAGTTATGGGTGAGGGTAGGGGTGGCTACAAAAGGGTAACGTGAAGGAGTGGTTTTTGGGTGACAGAAACATTCTGTATCTTAACTGCGTTTGTAGTTACACAAATCTGTTATAAAATTAATAAACTAGGCCAGATGCGGTAGCTCACACCTGTAATCCCAGCACTTTGGGAGGCCAAGGTGGGTCGATCACTTGAGGTCAGGAGTTCGAGACTAGCCTGGCCAACATGGTGAAACCCCATCTCTACTAAAATACAAAAATTAGCTAGGCGTGGTGATGCACGCCTGTAATCCCAGCTACTTGGGAGGCTGAGGCAGGAGAATCGCCTGAACCTGGGAGGTAAAGTTTGCAGTGAGCTGAGATCGCATCACTGCACTCCAGCCTGGGCCACAGAGGGAGACTCCCTCTCAAAAAAAAAAAATTTAATATACTGTACACCAAAAGGAAGTCAGTTTTGCTGTATATTGATTAAAAAATGCTACAACCAAAAAGGCAAATCAACAAAGCTTTATGAGTGTATAGGCACCTATGAATGTTGGGTTTTGAATGGAAAAAAAAAGTGACAGGAAATATACAATGTTTAATGCTGGTTACTTTGGAGGGGGCAAAAATGATTCAGTTTTTCAGTGTACGTTTTTGTATTGTTTTAATTATTTCAATTAGTATATAGTGATTTTGAAATTTGAGAAACATCTACTGAAAATGGAAAATATCTGGAAAAATATTTAAAAAGAGGAAAAAGAGTATTTCTGCTTTATTGGGTACCTGTTGACAGGGTAGTAAACAAGACAAATCCATCTCCATTCTTTTTTTTCTTTTGAGATGGAGTCTCGCCCTGTCACCCAGGCTGGAGTGCTGTGGTGTGATCTTGGCTCACTGCAACCTCTGCCTCCTGGGTTCAAGCGATTTTCGTGCCTCAGCCTCCCAAGTAGCTGAGACTACAGGTGCCCGCCACCACGCCCGGCTATTTATCTCCATTCTTATGGAGCACAGCGTGGTGGAGTTCAGTCCACACGCTTACAGGTGGCTTATCTGCAAAATGTGTCTAAAAAGAAATTTTATAGGATAAATATTTTGTACATGTTTGAAACAGTGCTTGGCACAAATGAATAAATGTAATGCAAGCTGCTATTAATACATCATCTCCGAATTGGGAGAATCATTGCGATCACATCGTTGTGATTACACAAAAGCCTCTGTCATGTAATAGGGCTCAGTAAACGTCAATTTCCATAGCATTTCGAGCCTGGATACTGAAATATGGGGCAAAAAGCAGGAACATGCCCCTGGTTTGGCTCTTGCCTTCTTGCATTTCCTGGGTTTCCTCATTTATCTTTTTTTTTTTTTTTTTTGGCCTTGTTATCTTTCTACCTTCAGGGAAGCCTCTCCCTTCTTCTCCTCCCTAGAATGACCTATCACCCTCCTTCAGGACCTAGATGCAGGGCGTTTCTATCTTAGGCTGACACTTGACTCCTTGCCTACATCTATAGCTTGGCACAGAGAGATTCACGCACCCTCAAGAGTGTGGGTGAGACATATACAGCCTGTTAGACCTGAAGGTGAGCCCAACCTGGGAAAATCGTGACCTCAGAGCAGGGCAGGATGTGAAAGGTTTTGGAAAGGAGATAGCCCTGCAGGGCAGGAGGGATTTTTAAGGGGAGGAAGTGGGTTGGGGGAAATACCCAGTGAGGAGGGAAACAGATATGTAAATTCTACCCTTTTCTCTACCCAGGCAGATGGCTCTTCTTAAGGCCAATAAGGATCTCATTTCCGCAGGATTGAAGGAGTTCAGCGTTCTGCTGAATCAGCAGGTGAGTCCAAGCTTTCCATTTCAAAGGACTGGCCTGGAGACTGGGGGGTGCCGGGGAAGTGGAGGAAGAGGATAATTGGAGCTGGTGAAGTAATGGTGGAGTTGATGGAAACAACGAGAGACACGGGATACAATGCAGAGGAAAGAGAATGTGAGAGTTGGTGCTGTGGCACTATTCTAGTATTCCCGAATCCCATTGCTGACCACATTCTCCCTTGCCAACTGCCTCTCCGCAACCCCCCAGGTCTTCAATGATCCTCTCGTCTCTGAAGAAGACATGGTGACTGTGGTGGAGGACTGGATGAACTTCTACATCAACTATTACAGGCAGCAGGTGACAGGGGAGCCCCAAGAGCGAGACAAGGCTCTGCAGGAGCTTCGGCAAGAGCTGAACACTCTGGCCAACCCTTTCCTGGCCAAGTACAGGGACTTCCTGAAGTCTCATGAGCTCCCGAGTCACCCACCGCCCTCCTCCTAGCTCAGGGACCCAGCCCCTCCTCTCTGAGAAACTCTGACCTTCATGTCCTTAGGCTGTGCTCCTGCCACTCTACCCTGACACCTCAATAAAGACCAGTGCTGGTTTTGTTGGACTTCCTGGCTTCTCTTTCATGGTCTGTCCTGACATGTGGAGGCACTCGGTCCCTTTCCTTCCGCCCTCCTTCTTAGATATGCTCTTGGAAGCTTAATTCCTTACAGCAGAGGTTAGCAGCCTTGAGTGACCACCGGGCAGCGATTCTAAACTAAAACAGGCTGAACGAGGGCCAGGAAGGCGGGACTAGAGAGAGTGCAGAGCTGCAGGGGAGGGGGTGGCAGAAACAAGAAAGGGGGATAGAAGTCCTCCAGACATTGTCCTGTGACCTGCTTGTCGAGGAGGAAACTGTTGGAAGTCTCCCAGTCTTGTTCATCCTGCGCCAGGTCCACCGCCTCGACTTTTCAATCCCCTGTCCTTAGCCCCAGCTCAAACTACATTCTAGGATCTTCGGACTCTGACTACCGCAAAATACCTCCCCGGAGCCCCAGGCATCGCAGGAATTTAGAGTTGGAAGGGATCCTGGGAACCCTTTAGCGCGCCCCTTATATTTCAGGAGGGGAAGCCACTTCCCTTTGGCTCCAACATCCCTGGGCGCAGATGCCAGGATTGGGAAGCAGAGGAATCCGCCTTCCCCCCACCCCAAGCTTCTCAGATCAATTCCCGGTCTAGCTCCCTTTCTCCCAGACCTCCAGACTCGAAGCCTCTATTTTAGGGCTCTGGGCGGAACCAGGGACGGGCCAGACTCAAGAGCTTTTTAAAAACGAAATGAAGGTGTTAGACCCGCGGCGCAGTCTCCAGGAAAAGCCTCCACGCGCAGAGGGGAGGGCCCTCCGGGGGAGGGTGCGCGGGGCGGGGGCGCGCGGGGGGAGGGGGTTCCCGGGGTGCTGAGCGGGGGCGGGGGTGCGCGGGGCGGGGGCGCGGCTAGGAGGCGCCGCACAGCAATCAGACGCGGCTCAGGGTGCGCGCGGGGAGCTGGAGGGCGCAGTTCTGGACCTTTTCGGTGTTCTCTCTAACGCGGGAAAAGTTTGGGGCCCAGAGGGATTGCTCCTCGTTCCAACCTCCAGCAAGCTTTCCTCTGGGACTTGTGAACCGACTGTTGTTTTGTAGGTCTCTGCAGCCTGGATCAGGGTGGAAAGGGAACCCGCTCAGTGTCCCCAGCGGTGCTTCCAACCCTGGGGTGTGGTCGGCCCTAGATCCAGCTTGGGAGAGTGGCGCCTCCCAGGGAAGCAGGCGGCGAGCTCCTCTGGGTTGGGGTCGGTGGTCCAGGCAGAGTCTGGGGCCTTCTCCACGGCACCTCTCAGGAAATCTCAGTCTGTGAGTGAGGACCAGAGCCCGCTCAGGCGGGACAGTAGTCGGCAGCCTCACCTTTGCAAGAGAGACCTGGCCTGGTGTGTGTGGGTGGAGGAAAGTGAGTGGGGGACGCTAGGAGAGCGCACAGCACAACGCTCCGGTGCCTTATGCAGAATGGCGAAATGTTTGCATGTAACCCACGCACATCTCTTCGTGGACTTCACATCATGGCTAGATTACTTACAATACCGACTACAACGTCAATGCTGTGCAAATAGTTGTTACACTGTATTATTTAGGGAGTAACGACAAGAAAAAAAGCCTGTACATGTTCAGTACAGAGGCAACCATCCATTTTTCTCCCCAAATATTTTCCATCCTTGGTTGGTTGAATCCACAGATGCGGAACCCACAGATACGGAGGGACCACTGTATTTGTCTTTCAGCTTAGCTGAAAAGAATGTTAGAAGCCGCTTTGGCTCAATTCATGAAGAGGAATTTTCCATACCTTTATAACTATCCAGCTATGGGAGCTGCTGAGCTAAGCACTTCTCAGGTGCTCAAAGGAAAATGACCAATTACAGGTGTAAGGTAGAAAAGATTCTCACTGGGAAGTTCAACATTGAAACTCCATTCCGACCATTCCATAAGCTTGTGCAATTGAGAAGCTGCAAAAAATATTTTTAAGACAGAAAAATCTGTTACCTGCACTTTCTGCTCTCATATTACTATCAACGAAGTGACTGGTTATAAATCTACAAGAAGTAAAATTGGGGATATTTTGATTTTTCAGAGACGGTGATATGAACCTGATGGTTCATAATAATAAAAATAAAATAACTAAAGCAGAGAGTGCCCCAAATCCATTACTGTTCCTGAAGGAAAATAAATTAGAATTAGTAAGAATAACCTTCTTTTGCTTAGCAGTATCTGAATTAATACTAGAAATAAGATTGTAAATAAATGGTAAAACATTATAGCCATAACCCTGCCCTTATCCTCACCCTCATATTGAACCTGACCTAGAGCTGACCCTGAACTTGAGCCTCACCTCTAGCTTCATCTTGCCCCTGATCATAATGGACACCTTGCCCTCACAATGACCCTGACTCTCACACTGACATTGCCTCTCATTCTCATTCTTATACTGATCCTGATGCTGAATTGGACCCTAAACTTTACCTGATCCTAATTTTCACCCTGTCTCTGACCCTCAACCTGAATCCTACCCTGACCCTTACCCTGAAATTGACCTTCACTGACCCTTCCCTTAGCATGATGTTGACTCTGACCCTCACTATGACCCTGACCCTTGATCCTCAACTTGACCTAGACAGTGATCATAATTATGACTTTTTTTTTTTTTAAAGAGGCAGGGTCTTGCTCTGTCACCCAGGCTGTAGTGCAGTGGTGCCAGCATGGCTCACAGCAACTTTGACCTCCAGAGCTCAAGCGATCCTCCTACCTCAGCTTCCTGAGTAGCTGGGACCACAGGTGCATGCCACTATGCCTGGCTATTTTTTTTTGTATTTTTTGTAGAGATGGGGTCTCACTATGTTGTCCATGCTGGTCTTGAACCCCTGGCCTCAAGCAAGCCTCCCACCTTAGCCTCCCAAAGCACTGGGACTACAGGTGTGAGCCACTGCACCTGGCCTTTAACCATGACTCTTGACCCTGAAGCATACACTCTCACCTTGACTCTGACCTTGCTCTCGTTCTGACACCACCCCCTCCTTCACACCTGAGCCTTACCCTGGTGCTCACTCTCACCTTGCATCTGACTGTGACACTCACCAGACCCTGATCCTGACTGTCACTTACACACTCTATCTCGTTCTCACCCTGACCCTGATTCTGTACTTGACCCGGACCCTCACTTTTGCCTTCAGTTTTAGCATCACCCTTAATCCCAACCGAACATTGAAGCTAACCCTACAGTGGCACTCAACTTGACCCTCCCCTGGCCTGGAAATCTTAATGTCACCATAACCCTCATCATGACCATAAATCTGACCCTTACCTGACCCTGACTCTGCTGCTTACTTTCCACTGACCCTGACTTGACCCTTATGGTCTCCTTGATCCTGACCTCACCCTGACTCTATAAGGACCCTTATCCATACCTTCACCATGTCCTTGAACCTGCTGTGAATCTGAAACTTATGCTGAGCCTGAACTACACACTCAGCCTGACCCTGGCACTAAGTCTTTCTCACTCTGTGATGAACTCTGACCCTGAAACTGACTCTGACCCTCGCCCTGACCCAGGCTTTGAATGTTTGCCTCACACTCCTTATCCTCACTCTGACACTGACCCCCACTCTGATCCTCACGATGACTCTCAGCTGGACTTTGACCCTGGAACATGACCCTTACCCTCATCAAGACTCAGCAATTTGCTCACACCTGTAGTCCTGGCACTTTGGGAGGCTGAGTTGAGAGGATCACTTGAGGTCAGGCATTTGAGACTAGCCTGGGCAACACAGCAAGACACCCCACCCCCATCTGTACAACAAAATATTCACATTGCATTACAAATGTCTGCTACATCATTGTAGTAAATTCTTTCTTTTTACTCCTATTAGTAGCTGCAACACGTTCTTATGATAAAACTCTGTGCCCAATTCTGACCACTGGAACAAGCTGGACACATCTGGCTTCTTTTTTTTTTTTTTTTTTTTTTTTTTGAGACGGAGTCTTGCTCTGTCATCTAGGCTGGAGTGCAGTGGTGCGACCTCGGCTCACTGCAGCCTCCGCCTCCCAGGTTCAAGCGATTCTCCTGCCTCAGCATCCCAAGTAGCTGGGATTACAGGCACCCACCGCCATGCCTGTCTAATTTTGGTATTTTTAGTAGAGACAAGAGTTTCACCATGTTGGCCAGGCTGGTCTCAAACTCCTGACTTCAGGTGATCCGCCTGCCTCAGCCTCCCAAAGTGTTGGGATTACAGGCATAAGCCACCAAGCCCAGCCACTTCTGGCTTCTTACCAGGGCTGTGACTTGGTGAGACAAAAGAGGAATCAGTGGGAAATTTAAGGAAGCCCTCTCTCGCAGGCTCGTGAAAGTGCAGGGACAGCTCCTGAGAGTGAGGCCTCCTTAAATGTTGTGTCCTGCATGCCTCACTTGCCTTACTCTCCTCTAGGGCCTGCTTCTTGTAGCTCCTAAAGGGTTTTGCCTTCTGGATATTTTTCAGTTCTCCTGCAAATGCAGATGGGCGGCCCATGCCCACTAGTGTTCCAGGCACATCCCAACATGTCCAAGTCCACTTAGAATCCACTGGAATCCCCGATACATTTGTTTGATGCATTTATATATTAATAATGCAGTAGCTCATGCCTGTAATTACAGTACACTGGGAGGCCAAGTTGGGAGGATCACTTGAGTCCAAGAGTCCTAAGAGACCAGCCTGGGCAACATAGAGAAACCCTGTCTCTACAAAAAATACAAAAATTAGCCAGGTGTGGTGGTGCGTGCCTGTGGTCCCAGTGACATGGGAGGCTGAGGTGGGAGGATCACTTGAACCCAGGATTTTTTTTTTTTTTAGATGGAGTCTTGCTCTGTTGCCCAGGCTGGGGTGCAGTCGTGCAATCTCAGCTCACTGCAGCCTCTGCCTCCCAGGCTCAAGTGATTCTCCTGCCTCAGCCTCCCAAGTAGCTGGGACTGCAGGTGCGTACCACCATGCTGGGCTAAAGAGTCCAGGAGTTCTAAGACACCAGCCTGGGCAACACAGGGAAACCCTGTCTCTACAAAAAATACAAAAATTGGCTGGGCGCAGTGGCTCACACCTGTAATCTCAGCACTTTGGGAGGCTGAGGCGGGTGGATCACCAGTTCAGGAGATCGAGACCATCCTGGCCAACATAGTAAAACCCCGTCTCTAGTAAAAATACAAAAAAATTAGCTGGGTGTGGTGGCACGCACCTGTAGTCCCAGCTACTCTGCAGGCTGAGGCAGGAGAATTGCTTGAACCCGGGAGGCGGAGGTTGCGGTGAGCCGTGATCCTGCCACTGCATTCCAGCCTGGGAAACGGAGCGAGACTCCAGCTCAAAAAAAATATATATATATGTGTATATATATATTTTCAAGGTAAGTAATCTAGCTTCTGTAAGCCTCAGTTTCCTATTTTTGTATGTGTGAGGGAATAAACTACTTGATCTTTCTATAGCAAATGTCATGTTTTTGTGAAAGGTTTTCTGAAGGTAGATGAACCAAATTAAAAATTCTGTAGATGTCAGAGGCCCATTTGTCCATGAGCATCCCCTCTCCCAACCTTGAAAATTACTGTATTGATTGGATTTTCCATATAAAACTTCTATTGTAGCCTCCAGAGTTTGTGCACTCATGAGAATTAATTACATTTTTCATGAATTTTTTTTTTTACACTTTCTTCCCTCTTACAACTTAAGAGTTTTTACTGATACCATAAACAAAACAAAACAAACAGGAATGTCACATAATGGAGTTAGTGGCCAAAATTAAAATATAAAAGACTTTAGTGTATAAATTAGGCTGGGCACGGTGGCTCATGCCTGTAATCCCAGCACTTTGGGAGGCTGAGGCAGGTGGATCATCTGAGGTCAGGAGTTCAAGACCAGCCTGGCTAACATGGTGAAACCCTGTCTCTATTAAAAAAAAAACAAAAACAAAAATTAGCCAGGCTTGGTTGCAGGCACCTGTAATCCCAGCCACTTGGGAGGCTGAGGCAGGAGAATCGCTTGAACCCAGGAGGTGGAGGTTGCAGTGAGCTGAGATTGTGTCTTTGCACTCCAGGCTGGGCAACAAGAGCAAAACTCCGTCTCAAAAAAACCCCCAAAAACAAACAAAAAAAGACTTTAGTGTATAAATTGAGTTGACTATAATGACTGTATACTTTTTGTTGACACATTATTCATTACAAATGTTTTGGGAGAGATGTGCTTGCATTTTCAATCTTAAGAGCGCATAGTTTTGTAGTTATAAATTCTATTACTGCTATATTGTTTCTAATACCTTTTACAGAAGCGAAATGTCTTCCTGCCACTAAATAGCATTTACCTGCAAGTGGAGAAGGAATCAAAGCTCATAAAACTGCAATACAAAATTTGTCTTCAGCAATAGGTTTAATTTTATTTTTGTAGATTTATGAACCTAGAAATTTATTGCTGGATATTTAATATATCAAAACAGCAGAACCAGGAGCTTGTATTAAGAAATGTATCAATAGCTGGGCGTGGTTGCTCTGCCTGTTATCCCAGCACTTTGAGAGAACGAGGCGGGGGATCACCTGAGGTCAGGAGTTCAAGACCAGCCTGGCGAACATGGTGAAACCCCGTGTCTACTAAAAATACAAAAATTAGCTGGGTGTATTGGTGGGTGTTTTAAATCCCGGCTACTCAGGAGACTGAGGCAGGAGAATCACTGGAACCCCTGAGGCGGAGGTTGGAGCCGTGAGCTGAGATTGCACCACTACACTCCAGCCTGGGTGACCAAGCATCACTGCACTTCAGCTTGGGCATCTTAAAACAAAACAAAACAAAACAAAAAAAAAAAAGAAAAGAAAAGAAAAAAAGAAAGAAATGGATTGGGAAATTCGTGATTTTCCTGTTTTTTTTTTCTTTTTTTTTTTTTAGTTAGACAAACTGAAGAGGCAAACAATGAGAAGTAACGTGACTTCTCACACAGCTCAGTGAACGTGGGATCTGCTCAGATGCTCTGATTTCTAAGCCCCCCACTCCCCACTCCTAAGTGTTAAGCTATTCTAACGCCAGGATATGTTGGAATTTATTCATCAACAAAAACTGCGGAACAGTTCTAAACAACGAAATATCATGTTAAAAAAAAACCGCTCTGGCTACAATAAGGAAACAGATTGTAGATGCAGATAGCATCAGGGAACCAGTAGAGAGGCTGCTGTGGTGCCTCCAGAAGGTAGTGGGGTGATTTAGATAAGAGGAGTATAAATAATCACGTGAAATTCTCTCCTGGAGCTCCCACCGCTATCTGCCTAAGTTCCACTAAAGAAGTAGAAATGTGACACTGATCGTTTACAGATCATCTTCCTTGAGTTTACCTAAAAGAAGGCAAAACCTTCAAACGTCTGTGTAGCTATCATTGGTAGGAACCGTCATACTCCAGAGCCAAAACACCAAGAGTGTGGACCTGCTCCTCTAGGGCTCTGTTTTACTTATAGGACTCATATTAATTTTTTTCCAACAAAGTTTAAAAGTAAGTCCTGTGTGATATCATCCAGCCATGGAAATTCTGTTATTAAAATCTGAGCCTCGCCGTGCATGGTAGCTCACATCTGTAATCCCAGCACTTTGGGAAGCGGAGGCATGTGGATCATTTGAGGTCAGGAATTCGAGACCAGCCTGATCAACATGGTGAAAACCTGTCTCTACTAAAAATACAAAAATTAGCTGGGCGTGGTGGCTTGTGCCTATAATCCCAGTTACTCAGGAGGCTGAGGCAAAAGTATTGCTTGAGCACAGGAGGCAGAGGTTGCAGTGAGCCCAGAGAGAGGCTCCATATCAATAATAATAATAATAATAATAATAGTAATAACATCTGAGCCTCAAAATCTACAAGGAGGAGGACTTTGCTTCTCAATGTCATTTTTCTAAAGGGAGCCGGGAGCCAAGTGTATGGCTTTCTTCCCTTGTTGCCTGCAGTCCTGAGCGGTTAGTGAGCCTGGCCAGGAAGGACTCAGGTGCCCACATCCTCTTCTAAACACAGCCAGAAGTCCATTAGGGTTGAGAATTATCACGTCATTTTCCATCACAAGATTTTTATCAAATCTATTTAAAAATTTTTGGTTTGATTAAAAAAACCCTTTGAAGTCCAAAAACAAGTTTCAAAAATCTAGTTGGTAAAATACAACGATGTCAAGATTGCAATGGGTAGGCGAAGTCCCAGGATTTGAGAGCAGGAGGAGCGCGTTCCTGGGCTGCGGTCCTGTCCTCTGGCTGTGGCCTTTCCAGGCTCCCAAGGCTGCGCAAAGGCTGCCCACCCAAGGCAAGGTGGGGGCTGCGGGGCCGCTCCTGGACGGAAGCGCGGCCTCCTAGGCCTCGTTTTCTGTTCCTAGATGTGAGTCCAATCCCACTAGGAAGGTCAGGTTCAAAAGGTTTGCCAAAGCAAAGCTGCGAACACTTCCGCCTCAGAAGCACACTCCTGTATAAGAAAAACAAGGGTATGTGTGTGTGTGTGTGTGTGGGGGGGGGGGTATCCATTTGAGAGCAAAGGAGCCAAGACGTGACGTTAGGTGACAATTTAAGTGTACTGTACAATTCACCGACCTCGATGCCTCCCGGCCGCCCTTTAACTGATCTGTGGGAACTCCAGCATGCCCCGGGCCGCGCCCCAGGGCGCCCCCAGAGCCCATCGCCCCAAAGTCCTGCAGCCAGGACGCTGTCACCAGGGCCGGCGCCTCTCAGTTCCCACTCCGCGACTCCCTGGCCAGAGCCCAGGAGCAGCCGGGCCCAGGCCGCGCCCCCGGCGTTTCCCCGCGGAGGTCATGAGGTCCCCACGGCCCAGGCCCCGTCCCCGGACAGCCCCGGGTGCCCCAGGAGCTCCGGCCGCAGCTCACCTGGGACCGGCCTCCCGTGGAGCCACCCCTTGCCCAGCCGCCCCCAAGTTCCCGCAGGAGGAACTGGCGACAGACACGTCCAGCCCGCAGCCGCCGGCCGCACCGGCGCTGCACTAACTGGGACGCGCCCCGGGGCCGCGCTGGCTCGGATCCGCCCAGACCCCCGCTCCTCCATTGCCGCCCAGCGGGGATCGCGGCGCGCTGCCCTCCCTTCCTGGGTTCCCGGGGCTGAGCTTCCTGGGAGGTCCGCACACCCCCAACCGCCCGATGCAAATTAAGGAGATTCCGATTCCAGAGCCTGAGGACACCGCTGGGGGTCATGGGAAGGTCACGCTGTTGATTCTGGTGATGGCTTCAGGAGGTATTCAACTTCATCACATTTTGCACGTTGAATATATGCGGTTATTGGTATTCCATTTTACCTCAATAAAGCTGCTTTAAAAAAATTCTGTACATGTTGTTTGGCAGACTTTGGGAAATAGAGGACTGTACATTTCTAGCCATTAGCATATTGAGTCAGAGGACAAGTCCATGTAAAATAGTTATGTGTATTTCCAAATTACCACCTTAAGTGTTTGAGCTAATTTTTTTTTCTTTCTCCAGTAAGGAACCATGGTATCATTTTTTTCCACTGACTGGCTCAAGGATATTAAGTTTTTTTTTAATTCGTTTTTAAAATTCTTTAATGCTAACCTAGTAGGCAAAAAAGAAAAAAACGATGATCTATTTTTTTCCATGACTTTCATGGTAAGTGAAGGTGAACATCTTTCCATATCTGTGAGGTGGTTTCCCATGACTGTCATTACAAATGACCACAAACTTGGCGGCTTAAAACATCATTAATTTATTATCTTATGGTCTGGGCGGATGGCTCACGCCTGTAATCCCAGCACTTTGGGAGGCAGCGGCAGGCAGATCACCTGAGGCCGGGAGTTCAAGACCAGCCTGGCCAACATGGTGAAACCCCATCTGTACTAAAAATACAAAAATTAGTCAGGTGTGGTGGTGGGTGCCTGTAGTCCCACCTACTCTGGAGGGGGAGGTGGGAAAGTCGTTTGAACTTGGGAGGCGGAGGTTGCAGTTAGCCGAGATCACACCACTGCACTCCAGCCTGGGCGATAGAGCAAGACCTTGTCTCAAAATAAATAAATAAACAAATTTATGATCTTATGGACTTAGAGATCGGAAATCTGAAATGAGACTCACTAGGCTAAAATTAAGTTGTCCTCTAGGCTGTGTCCCCCTTGGAGTCTCTGGAAAAGAGTTCTTTTTCTTTCCTCTTCTAGTCTATAGAAGAACCCACATTCTTTCACTCCTGGTCCCTTTCCAGCTCGAAAGCCAGCAATGACCACCAGGTCCAGTCTTTCTCACATCACATCAGGCCAACTCTCTCCTGCATCCTTTCACTTCTAAGGACCCTTGTGATTTTGCTGCACCTACCAGGATAGTCAAGGATGATCTCCTCATCTCATGGTCAGCTGAATAGAACCGTAATTTAGCCTGTAATCTTGACATGGACAATTAACAAGAACTTTAAGTTGTGAGAACTTTTAATTACAGGGATATTACTCACTTGGAAACGGAGGCTCACAAAGTTGCCAAACCACATGGCCAGTACGTGGGTATATGGAGTGTTAATTCAGACATGGTTTGGCCTCATAGATGCCATTCTGTGACTATCAGGAGTCCCTGCCATACTGAAAACCCCTAATCCTGATCAAGGAAACCAAGCTTCAAGGGATGTGGGGACCTGGAGACAGGTGAGATGCAGGGGGGTTGTTACCAAAGGCATGATCGGGCATGTGCCGCCCATGTCTCTTTGTAGGGTGGAGTTGGCTGAGAGTAGGCAGCAGTGGTGTAACTGATGGCAGAGCAGACAGATCATCCGGGGTGAGCAGCCACTGCCGGCTGAGCTTGGCTTGGCTCTTTCTGGGCTCTGGTGAGGGAGGTCTCAGTAGGAACTCCCACAAGGGTGGACCCTGGAGGCAGCATCCAGGCTGGAGGATTTGGGGACACCCTGAGGATGAGACAGCAGCCCCAAAGCATACTCTAGGAGTAGCTCTGGCTCTGGCACTTTCTTGGAACTTCCTCTATACTTTGTGAACTTTACATAATTGTTTAACTGCTGAGGATAGGCCCCCAAATCTGGCCATAAACTGGCCCCAAAAGTGGCCATAAACAAAATTTCTGCAGCACTGTGACATGTTTGTGATGGCTGTGACACCTATGCTGAAGGTTGTGGGTTTACCGGAATGAGGGCAAGGAACACCTGGTCCACCCAGGGTGGAAAACTGCTTAAAAGCATTCCTAAACCACAAACAATGGCATGAGCGATCTGTGCCTTAAGGACATGTTCCTGCTGCAGATAACTAGCCAGAGCCCATCCCTTTGTTTCGGCCCATCCCTTTATTTCCCGTATGGAATACTTTTAGTTAATCTATAATCTATAGAAACAATGCTTATCACTGGCTTGCTGTCAATAAATATTTGGGTAACTCTCTGTTCAGGGCTCTCAGCTCTGAAGGAGTAAGACCCCTGATTTCCTACTCCACATGCTATATTTCTGGGTGTGTGTCTTTAATTCCTCTAGCGCTGCTGGGTTAGGGTCTCCCTGACCAAGCTGGTATTGGCAAGTGGCACCCAATGTGGGGACTCGAACCCAGGTTGAAGGATCACCGGAGTGAGGGTTGGAGAACGTGGAACTAAGTTGGAGGACACCCGAGTACTCTTAAGCAATCCCCATGGTGAGTAAGAAGGGGAGCTTGGAAGCATCAGAGTAACAATGGGACAAGTGTGGGCTCTGGTTTGTTCCACCTTGGAACACTCATGATGAGGAGGAAGGAAAGTATAATGAAGTAACAGAGGAGATGACAGAGCAGGTTTGTTTGCCAGCTAAAGCTAAAGCAGCAAAGGAGGGAGAGGTTCATCCCTGCCCTTCTGCACCCCCTCATTATTTTGAAGAAAAAGAGTGGCCTGACCCCCCAGATCTTTCTTTTCGGGCAGACACTGGGCAAAAAGTAGTTGCCCCAGTGACTGTTTGAGCAGCACCTTGAGCGACTGCTCTCAGTTCTATTCAGGCAGGAATTCAGAAAGCTAGACAAGAGGGTGATATAGAGGCTTGGCAGTTTCCCTGTTAGAATACACCCCCCAGATCAACAGGGAGATATTACAGCTACATTTGAGTCTTTTCCTTTTAAATTCGGAAAAAGGCATGAGGGGCCAGTCCTGGGCCCTGTTCCAAACTGTGACATTTCCAGCTCAGGCCATTCCCTAACCCCCGTACAATGTCTGTCACCTGCCACAGCCAGGAGTGCCGCAGTAGATTTATGCTGCACAAAAGCTGTGAGCCTTCTGCCTGGGGAACCCCAAAAAAAGTTCCAACAGGGGTCTGTGGACCCTTGCCAGCAGGGATGATAAGATTACTTCTACGCAGGTCTAGTTTAAATTTAAAAGTAGTGCAAGTACAAACAGGAGTCATTGATTCAGATTACAATGAGGAAATTCAAATTGTTATATCTACTTCTGTTCCCTGGAAAGCAGAGCCAGGAGAGTGTATAGCACAACTCCTGATTGTGCCATATGTAGAAATGGGGAAAAGTGAAATTAAATGAGCAGGAGGATTTGGAAGCACAAATAAACAAGGCAAAGCAGCTTATTAGATGGATCAAATTACTGATAAACATCCTACCTATGAAATAACTATCCAGGGAAAGAAATTTAAAGGTTTGATAGATACAGGAGTGGACATTTCAATCATTTCTTTGCAGCACTGGCCATCAATGTGGCCAATTCAACTCGCTAAATTTAACATAGTTGGATTTGGTAAAGCCCCTGAAGTATATCAAAGTAGTTATATTTTGCATTGTGAGGGGCCTGATGGACTACCTGGGACTATTCAACCAATTATAACTTCTGTACCTATAAATTTATGAGGGAGAGATTTATTACAACAATGGGGAGCACAAGTTCTAATTCCAGAGCAATTATACAGCCCTCAAAGTCAACATATGATGCATGAAATGGGGTATGTCCCTGGTATGGGACTAGTAAAAAATTTGCAAGATTTGCAGGAACCGCTTCCAGCAGAAAGACAAAGTTCCCACCAAGGTTTAGGATATCATTTTTGATGGCGGCCATTGTTAAGACTCCAGAACCTATACCTTTAAAATGGTTAACAGATAAGCCAATTTGGATAGAACAACGGCTGCTAAGAGAAACTGGAGGCTTTAGAGGACTTAGTTACTGAACAATTAGGAAAAGGACACATAGCTCCAACATTTTCCCCTTGGAATTCTCCAGTTTTTGTAATTAAGAAAAAATCAGGTAAATGGAGAATTTTAATTGATTTAAGAGCCATTAATTCAGCTATACAACCTGTGAGAGCATTACAGCCAGGATTCCCTTCTTCTGCTATGGTTCCAAAAAATTGGCCTTTAATAGTCATAGATTTAAAAGGCTGTTTCTTTACTATTCCTTTAGCTGAGCAAGACTGTGAATGGTTTGCATTTACGATTCCTGCAGTAAACAACCTGCAGCCTGCTAAGCATTTTCACTAGAAAGTGTTGCCACAAGGCATGTTAAACAGTCCAACAATTTGCCAGACTTATATAGGGCAAGCAACTGAACCTACTTGTAAAAAATTTTCACAGCGTTACATTATTCATTATATGGATGATATACTTTGTGTTGCCACCACTCTAGAAATATTACTCCAATGTTATGATCACTGGATTGGAGCACAGTGTTGGAGCATAGTGTGCCATGGCCACCCTATGTTCAACTGGTCTAAACAAAATGGTCAGATGGTAGAAATGGTAAGAAGTACAGCAAGAGTTCCTATTATATTGAAACATGGCAGTATAGTGGCACCTCAACCTCAGATGATATGGCCCGCTATAGGAGCTAAACATAAGGATTTGTGGAAACTATTAATGGTTCTTAGTAAGATCAAAATTTGGGAAAGAATAAAAAAGGATCTAGAAGGACACTCTACAAATTTGTCTTTGGATATTGCAAAATTAAAAGAACAAATATTTAAAGCATCCCAGGCACACCTGACCGTAATGCCAGGAACTGCAGTGCTTGAAGGAGCTGCAGACGGATTAGCAGCTATTAACCCATTAAAATAGATAAAGACACTTGGAGGCTCTGTGATTTCAATGGTGATTGTGCTTTTAATCTGTGTTGTTTGTTTTTGTGTAGTCTGCAGATGTGGATCCCGACTCCTGTGAGAAGTAGCTCACCGTGATAAAGCCACCTTTGCTTTTATTGCCCTGCAAAAACAAGAAGGGGGACATGCTGGGGATATCCCCCAAATCTGGCCATAAACTGGCCCCAAAAGTGGCCATAAACAAAATCTGCAGCACTGTGATTTGTTTGCGATGGCCATGACACCCATGCTGAAGGTTGTGGGTTCACCGGAATGAGGGCAAGGAACACCTGGCCCACCCAGGGTGGAAAACCTCTTAAAGGCATTCCTAAACCACAAACAATGGCAGGAGTGATCTGTGCCTTAAGGACATGTTCCTGCTGCAGATAACTAGCCAGAGCCTATCCCTTTGTTTCAGCCCATCCCTTTGTTTCCCATAAGGAATACTTTTAGTTAATCTATAATCTATAGAAACAATGTTTATCACTGGCTTGCTGTCAATAAATATTTGGGTAACTCTCTGTTCAGGGCTCTCAGCTCTGAAGGCTGTGAGTCCCCTGATTTCCCACTCCACATGCTATATTTCTGTGTGTGTGTCTTTAATTCATCTAACCCCACTGGGTTAGGGTCTCCCCCGACTGAGCTGGTCTTGGCATTTAACCAACCAGAATTTTGAAAGTAATGTTTATATATTTAAAAAGTTTTTTAAAATCAAACCCAATTTTAAAAATTAACTTGATAAAAATTTTGTGATGGAGAAAGATGTAGATGATTTTTAAACCTAATTTGTTTTGGTCAGTATTTAGAAGACTGCTGTGTGCACTTGAGCCCCTTCTTCACTGGACATTGCTGGTTATTCTGGACACTATGAGAATGAAGGATAGAAGCCATGTACTTGGCTATTGGCTCTTGTGGAAATGTAAAAAAATGTGAGGGAAATACCTCCTGCTTTTCCTCTTCTCTTATGTTTCGTAGGGGTAATAACCCTGTCCCCATATAACAGGCACAGTTACCAATAGCGACCTCATCAGCCTCACAGACGGGTCCCTTTCTGGCCCTCAAACCCCATTCTGGCCTCACCTCATCCTCCCAACAATGTCACCTACCATGTTCCTCCCACCTAAGGTATTCCAAGCTCATGTTCATTGTGGTCATGTTTTTTAAAAAAACTTTAGGCAAATTAAGTTGAACAGGATTTAATTGAGCAAAGAATGACTTGCAAACCAGGCAGCTCCCTTAACCAGAATAGGTTCAGAGAGACTCCATGCTGCTGTGTGGTTGGAGAGGATTTATGGACAGAATCAAGAAAGTGACATACAGAAAAAAGTACAGAAGTGAGCTGCAGAAACAGCTGCATTGGGTATAGCTTGGCATTTATCTTATTTGAACATGATGTGAACAATTGGCCGTCTTTGATTGGCCAAAGCTCAATGATTGGTACAAGAGCAGGCCATAGTCTATCTATACATCCAGGTAAGTTACAGTTAACTAGGTAGAGAGAAACTTTTAGGCCAAACTTAAAATATATAAGAAGACAGGTTTAGGCTAAACTTAATTTAACAATCTCCTCTTTTGGTCAAACTCTCAATTTTGTGTGTGACCAAAACTTAGGGCTTTAGTGCTACTCTGAGTCACTATCATGTTGGGCTTCTGGTCTCAGCAAATACATTCATAGATTGTGTTGTTTTCATGATTGTAAAAAGTAAAGTAGAGGTTCCTCTTCAAAGATTTTCCTCCCCATTTAATTAGGAATAAATAGTAACTTCCCTTAGAAGCAAAATTTATTCAAAGACCTGTGCTAACATTCTTAAATATCTGCTAGCCATGATAAAGAAATCAATGTACTTTGTGTTCTTAGCTCCCACAATTTAGCCTAAATATTTGCCCTGGCATGCTTATACTGGTTCAAGCAAGCATTAAGTCATAGCCTGTTCCTCTTCCTTATTTGAAGGTGTTTTTACCTTTCTTAGTATTCCACAAGTTACTCCCTCCTTCCTTTGTTCTCCTCTGCCTTTGACTCTTTTAAAAAGTTCTAAATTGCTAGCCAATTGGGACAAATACAGAATGTAAGGCCCCATTCCAGCCAGTGGAAACCAGGCACAGCAGTAGGGTGGACACGTCAGGTTATAAATAACCCTGTGTCCTTTGTTCAGTGTACTCTCTTGGCAAAACTGCTGGCAAGTGTAACCTTTCTGCAGGAAGTAAAAATGGCCTTGCTGAGTAAATTAAATTTATGTTCAAGTGCTATTTCTTTATAGCACCAGGGAACAAGCATTTCAAACAATGAGCATACATTTCTTTGAGTTTTTGTCATTCCAGTCAAAGAGATCATTTGCCATTCCATAGATGGCTGCAAACAAACATTTAATACTTTTGAGAGAATACAGAATACTTGGGAGATTACTGTTGTGAGTATCCGGAGGATAATACCAAGAGTTTGGAGTATGCTCCTTAGCCAGGGTCCAAACCAAACCAATTAAAATAAAATAGATCAAGGAGTGAGCTAGATAGAGTACTTGTTTTAACCCAGCAGGCTGTTTGTTAATTCCCTACAACTAAATCTCTCTAATACCTATGTATTCAACCATGTGCAGATTCTTCCACGTTCAGCCATTAGGTCATCTAGAGTTATTCTATTATCTAGCACAACTATAGCAACGGAACTTGAAGAAGACTGCTGTACAACCAAAGCCTTTGCAGTAGAAGCTGCTACAGAGCCCACTATGAGGGACAAATGTCTAATCATTGCCTCATTTATATTTACTCCAAACTATAGAAAAAGAGACCTAAGAAATGATGCCCATCGACAAGCGTGAAGGCCTCCTGGCAATATTCTCTTCACCCTATGCTGTAGGTTAAGAGGAGTGAACCAATGTTCTGTCTCTGGCTGATTATGGAGCAACAAAACTACCATTAAAATTCCTCATCCACATTGGCCCTTCATCTTTTATCCCTCAAGGCATAAGGTTGGCCATTATAAAATTGGCTTCAAAATACCCCACAAATAGGCTGGGTGTGGTGGCTCAGGCCTGTAATCCCAGCACTTTGGGAGGCTGAGGCAGGTGAATCACCTGAGGTCAGGAGTTTGAGACCAGCCTGGCCAACATGGTGAAACCCTATCTCTACTGAAAATACAAAAAATTAGCTGGGTGTGGTGGTAGGCGCCTGTAATTCCAGCTACTTGGGAGGTTGAGGCAGGAGAATTGCTTGAACCCAGATGGCAGAGGTTGCAGTGAGCCGAGATCACACCACTGCAACTCCAGCCTGGGCAACAGAGTAAGACTCTGTCTCAAAAACAAAACAAGGCTGAGCGTGGTGGCTCACGTCTGTAATCCCAGCACTTTGGGAGGCCGAGGCTGTCGGATCGCAAGGTCAGGAGTTCGAGACTAGCCTGACCAACATGGTGAAACCCCGTCTCTACTAAAAATACAAAAATTAGCTGGGCATGGTGGTGTGCCCCTGTAATCCCAGGTGCTTGGAAGGGTGAGGCCAGAGAATCGCTTGAAACTGGGAGGGTAGAGGTTGCAGTGAGCCAAGATCGCGCCACTGCACTCCACCCTGGGTGACAGGGTGGACTCTATCTCAAAAAAAGAGAAAACACAACAGAAAACAAAATGTCCCACAAATAGCCGGGCACGGTGGCTCACGCCTGTAATCCCAGCACTTTGGGAGGCTGAGGTGGGCGGATCATGAGGTCAGGAGATCGAGACCATCCTGGCTAACATGGTGAAACCCCGTCTCTACTAAAAATACAAAAAAATTAGCTGGGCGTGGTGGCGGGCGCCTGTAGTCCCAGCTACTCGGGAGGCTGAGGCAGGAGAATGGCGTGAACCCGGGAGGCGGAGCTTGCAGTGAGCCGAGATGCGCCACTGCACTCCAGACTGGGCCAGAGCGAGACTCTGTCTCAAAAAAAAAAAAAAAAAAAAAGAAAATGTCTAAGTTGGAAACAACGGTAAGTGGACAATAGTGGATTTTATTTGCAAAAGTGAAACAGAGTTTATGTTTCCACGCAGGGTTCTCTCACTTTGAATGTAATTATCAGACACTGAAAAATGACAAATGGCCTCCAGGGATTTTTCAATAGGCATGATCTTCTTATCTCAGATCATAGTTGGATTCCTGGGGAATTTCTTTCTTCTTTACCACTATAGTTTCCTTTGTTTCACCAGAGGTATGTTATGGTCCACAGATCTGATTCTCAAGCACCTGACCATAGCCAACTCCTAGGTTATACTCTAAAGGAATCCCACAAACAATGGCTGCTTTTGGGTCGAAAGATTCCCTCAGTGATATTGGATGCAAACTTGTGTTTTATGTTCACAGAGTGGGCAGGGCTGTGTGCGTTGGCAATGCCTGCCTCCTGAGTGTCTTCCAGGTCATCACCATCAGCCCCAGCGAATTCAGGTGGGCACAGCTTAAACTACATGCTCCCAGATACATCAGGTCCTTCAACATCCTGGTCCTGTGCTGGATTCTGAACACGCTGGTAAATATTACTGTTCCTCTACATGTGACTGGCAAGTGGAACAGCATAAATAGCACAAAGACAAATGATTATAAGTATTGTTCTGGAAGAGGTAGGAGCAGAATTCTACAGTCATTACATATTGTCTTGTTATCATCCCTTGATGTTTTGTGTTTGGGGCTCATGGCCTTGGCCAGTGGCTCCATGGTTTTTATCCTGCACAGGCTCAAGCAGCAGGTCCAGCACATTCATGGGACCAACCTCTCCCCCAGATCCTCCCCTGAGTCCAGAGTCACCCAAAGCATCCTGGTCCTGGTGAGCACCTTGTGTTATTTTACTCGCTCTCCTCCATCTTTACACGTCTTTTTCCTAATCCCAGTTGGTGGCTGTTGAACACCTTGGCACTGATCACTGCCTGTTTTCCCACGGTCAGCCCCTTTGTGCTCATGAGCAGCCATCCCAGAATAGCCAGGCTGGGCTCTGCTTGCTGTGGAAGGAATCCACAGTTGCCTAAGCTGATCAGATAGTTCTCCGATTTATGTGGATTGTCTTCTTTCTGTACAATGAATGGCCATTTGTTGATTTCTTCCTGCAGAAGGTTAAGCACCACAATTGGCAGTCAATTGCAAAGTGTGTGTAAGACTCAGAATCTGTCTTTGCCCTTCAAGGATTTTTCATGTATCATAAACGACAGTTACAGATGAAATGTTTTGCAAAGGGCATTCATAATTTTCATTTTGTTAATGTTGCAATGGAGAAGTTTAGAGGCAAATTATTCATTAAATGTGGGCCTCTAATAATTTGTAACAGTGCAATTTTAACCAATTAGTAAAAAATGTCATGGAATTAACTGGGCACAGCAGTGTAAGAAAAGTTTAATGAAGTAAAGAAGCTTTAAGTGATGATCAATGAAGAAAGTGAGAAGAAAGTCATAGTTCACGCCATTTTTTGTTTTGAATTAATCTTCATTTTTTTCCCATTTTCAAGTTGTAGAATTTTCTTTTTGTCCTTGATGATTATACTTTATTTTAATGAGACTAGTTTTTGATTATTTAAAAATAATTCTGTCCTTCTATAAATTTTCTGATGTGTAGATCCTATGTTCATGCTTCTTATACGAAGATTTTCTCTCTTTTGGTTTTGAAGGAGCATTCTCTGCTCCTTCACCTGAACTTTCAGCCTTTTAATCCAGACTAATTGTATCAAAATTGGTATTTATCCCACATATTCTGTTGTTTATATGTTTTTTTGTAACTTACGCTTAATATTTTGAGTTTCAAATTTTTGCTATTTATATGATTCTACTGTTGTTTCTTCTATTTTTGAATAAAATCTAGATGCATACTTTTCTAAAAGGTAAGAAGGAAAAATAGCAGTTCTACCACCAGGCCTGGGATGGAGTTGGAGGGAAAATAATGTATCAGATCCTTCAGGATGTTAAAGATCAGGTTTTGTCATTTTACCTTAAATTCATTTTTTCTTTAATGAATGCAACCTTTTTTTTTTAAAATTGCAAGTCTAGTCGAATAGACCAAATGTTCCTACTTCTAAAATAAGCTACAAGTAATCTTTTTCTATGAAAATGCTGTGAGTTGGTGCCACAGCTAAACTTTCTCTAATAGCAGCAGTATCATCAGCCCATGGCAGCAAAGAAATGCTAATTTCTGGCATCCCAGGGGCTGCTATCGAAGCAACTTCATAAAGCATGCAGATATCTATTCTGCTGAAGTTTCAAACAAATAAAAATGATCATTGTGCTTGTGGGTTTCGTACCTTTCAATATACACATAAATGATGGCAAATTAACAAATAATAGCAGGTCCTTGATTTCCAATAAAATCACAAGGCAGAGGGTTGGCAGTGAAAAGAAAAATGTTTAGAATGGAAAAAAGTTACAAAATGGTGTTGGCATTCACAAAAAAGATCATGCGGAGATCAGATCCATATTGACTAAACATTGAAAATTCAGCTACAATCCAAAGAACCCTGTCCGAGTCCAAAGGCATGCATGCCAGCTGATGGAAATGCGGGACATTATCTGACAGTATCTTCTCCAGAGCAGAACAGTAACATCTCACTGGAATAATCACAAAAGGGTGAATGAGCTTCCATCATACCTCTTTTTTGTAATTCAAAATAAAAGAAACACAAGCATAGCGTCAGAGGCGTTCAAACCAGAGTGACTCCATTTTGAGTGAGGGCTAGGAAAATGAGGCTGGCCTCTACATGTTCATGGTTAAGGGAACCAATAATGTTTACTAAACAGATCCAGACTTGGGAGTGTCTGGATATGCTGATATTTGGAGAACAAAGGCATTCCTAATTTTGCTTTAAAGATAATAATATTGATTCTTGCAAAATATAGTAATTAAGAAAATTAATCCTTTATCACAAGTCCTTGTAGCAGAGCACATCTCCCCAAGATCTTTTTTTATCCTGTATATATACAAACATTGTACCTGGGGCTGACACCTTCCTCCTCTTACTCTCAGAAACGCCCTGCTTGGTCTAAGGAGTAGCTGTCGTTTTACCATAATAAACCTCCTTAATAAACTTGCTTTCTTAATAAACTTGCTTTTGCTTTACACTGTGGACTCACCCTGAATTCTTTCTTGTGTGATATCCAAGAAACCTCTCTTGGGGTCTGGATCGGGACCCCTTTCCCGTAACAACAGGACAAAATAAATTACAGAAGATTGGACAGAGAAAATACAGAAATTCACAATAACGGCTGGGTGCGGTGGCTCACGCCTGTAATCTCAGCACTTTGGGAGGCTGAGGCAGGCAGATCACTTGAGGTCAGGAGTTTGAGACCAGCCTGGCCAACATGGCGAAAACCCGTCTCTACTAAAATACAAAAATTAGTCAGGTGATGTGGTGGGCATCTGTAATCCCAGCTACTCGGAAGGCTGAGACAGAAGAATCGCTTGAACCTGGGAAGTGGAGGTTGCAGTGAGTCAAGATCATACCACTGCACTCCAGCCTGGGCAACAGAGCAAGACTCCGTCTCAAAAAAAAAAAAAAAAAAAGAAAATTCAGATTGTTTCCTTTCTTTGCTTCTGGTTTTACAGAGACTCCTTTCTGAACCACCAGGGAGGTATAAAAATTGTCTTGACCCAGGGCCTATAGCCAGTAGTCAGTCCTCATCAATGGAGTCACACATTCTGCTACTTCTGGTTTGAGAACATTCCATGTTATGCATTCAGATGACTCTGCAGACTCACTGTCAGTAGTTATTGTTTGCAGATTTCTTCTCATTTGAGCTGAGGCTTCACTCAAAAATTCACACACTGAAAACTGGCCCTCTGGTCGCCTTGTCTGGGCCTCCCCCTTTGCCGCAGCCCCTCTCTGCCTGGCTCTGCGCTCCTGCCCCCCAGGCCTGCAGCTGCGCTCCCCACCCAGGCTTGCATGGCGGGTGGCATTTTACCTTAAATTCTAAAAAGAAAGTTAGTTCTGTGAAATCTGTGAATTTTTTGTGGGAGGAGAGTGGTCCATTTCAAATATTTTAAGGTAAAAATGGACGCAGTGGTCTGGGTGGAGCGAAATGAGCACAGGACTGTGGAAAGAGATTTTCATTAGAATTCGACTCACAGCCGATGAATATGAGACTCATCAAGAAAACTGCCTAATTTTCGGGACACTGTGAGGGTAGACTATGCTGTATTAGCAATAATCCCAATTAGCCTGTTCAGAAGAAATAAGCATCAGGGTGACCTCTGGGAAGTGAATCTGGTGGAACCAGTCACCGTCGGTGGAGGAGCCGACGCCAGGGACCCTGGGGAGGCTTATGCTTCCCTTTTTCTAGGGAGTTGGTGGTAATTGCTGCCTTGAAATATTCAAGGGAGCCAATTTGAAACAATCATAATACAAATGGGCTAACCATGTGGTTGAAGTGAAAAATTTCCACAGATATTTTCTTATTATTGTTAGGTAAAGCAGGTAAAATGTCTTGAAAATTCAAATATTTGAAAAATACAATGCAGAAGTTTGGTCCAATGGACATATATGGAACCTGGGCTATGTGTTGCATTACTCAGCAATATAGAACGATTGAAATAATGCAATCACAGAGGGAGGCTTAAAGAATGTAAAATATTTTAATCATAGAGATTAACCTTGCCACTATTAAATAATAATATTTTGAAATAGTTTATGAAGCAATTTAAAATACTAAACCTAAAAACTAAGCAATATTCCTAATTAATATTTAGAACTTTTCAGATGAAAAGACAATAAAAATTCTTCATATTCAAGTTGTGCACTGTATTTGTTCAAAAGTAGAGAAAATTAGATGGCTGCAAATTCAAATGCTACAATAGAAGATGCCTGACAATATGTGTTTTTGATGTCAAACTCTGAAATTAAATTAAAAAAAGAAGCTTCACCTTGGTCAGGAGAGGTGGCTCATGCCTGTAATACCAGCACTTTTAGAGGCTGAGGTGGGCGGATTACCTAAGGTCAGGAGTTTGAGACCAGCCTGGCCAACAGCGTGAAACATCTCTACTAAAAATACAAAAATTAGCCAGGCATGGTGGTATGTGCCTGTAATCCCAGCCACTTGGGAGGCTGAGACAGGAGAATCGCTTGAATCTGGGAAGCGGAGGTTGCAGTGAGCCCAGATCGCACCACTGCTCTCCAGCCTGGCTGACAGAGCAAGACACTGTCTCAAAAAAATAAAAGCTTAGCCTAAATAATGTGTTATCATAAAGTATAATGTAAGTAAAAAATTTAGAATAAGTATTACATGGGATATAATAAAATAAAATTAATGATAAAATAGAGCTTACTGCAATGTTAATAAAAATGTGAAAAGATATATTTAATATTAAAAAATAAACAGTATTTAAAACTTCATGGAGATTTTTAAAAAGTCTACATTCTAAGACAAACAACTTTACACTAATAAATTAGAAAACTTAGAGGAAAAAGTGATTTCTGTTAAATAATAAGATACCTAATACATACATTATGTCAAAACTTTAAGCAAGTGTAAGTCATGGATTTGCATGTATAATTAATATACAGGTACAGAAAATGATTGAGAAGGGTTCATTTCAAAAATACAGGACACGCCAATGAGAGAATCAGCTCATATCATGACATGAAAAATTAAATGAGATAACAGCGTTCATTGAGTAAATCACTTCATGCCTTTGTAATTTTTATAAGTAAATTAACTTAGAAAAATATTTTACCAGAGAATGTTTTAATTATTGGTGATAAGAACACATGAGGATATAAGAATACAACATAAATGGCCAATGAGCACGTGAAAAGTTATTCATTAGGGAAATTCAAATCAAAACCACAATGAAGTGTTAGTTCACACCCACTAGGATGGCCATACTCAAGAAGACAGAGAAACAGAACTAATAGAATGAATATCTACATCTACATCTATATATCAAGGTTTACATATTTTTTCACCCACGTGC
Organism: Homo sapiens; assembly: GCF_000001405.40. Taxonomy (NCBI): domain Eukaryota; kingdom Metazoa; phylum Chordata; class Mammalia; order Primates; family Hominidae; genus Homo; species Homo sapiens. Next base: position 31,552,646 of record NC_000016.10, read on the forward strand.
GCATGGGTGTGAGTGTGTGTGTGTATGGAATAAAGCTATTTACAGTAGTGTCTCAGCAGAAGGCCTTCCCCAGCCCCCTCCAGGCTCTGGATTAGAGAACCTTTTTTTTTTTTTGAGATGGATTTTCTTTCTTGTTGCCCAGGCTGGAGTGCAATGGCGTGGTCTCGGCTCACTGCAACTTCCGCTTCCCGAGTTCAAGCAATTCTCCTGCTTCAGCCTCCCAAGTAGCTGGGATTACAGGCACCTGCCACCATGCCCGGCTAATTTTTTTTGTATTTTTAGTAGAGACGGGGTTTCACCACATTAGCCAGGCTGGTCTTGAACTCCCAACCTCAGATGACCCGCCAGCCTCGGCCTCCCAAAGTGCTGGGATTACAGGCGTGAGCCACTGCGCCCAGCTTAGAGAACCCTTTGCTCCTGCACTCACTCCAGTCCAGCACTGGTCCTTGTTCACAGTGTGGTGCACCTGCCTTTCACCTAGGGAAATGGAATACATTACCTCATCAACACCTCTTTGTCAATCTCTTGTCTCTGCTCTGCAGACTTTTGAGCCATGATCTGAAGAGTGAACGTGATGGGTCACTGGGTTTCTGACAACCCAACACCAGGTTCTGCTCAGGACAGGCCAGACCCACATGATATCACCCCCACTGTGCGAACACACATAGGGAGGTGGGGTGTGACTGTCCAGGTGGGATTAGGGTGGTGGCCAGACATTGATTGGCCTGCTCTTGGCTGCCAGTGTTACCTTTGAGTACTTCCTGAACATGGCCAAAGGTGATGGTGTTGAGGGCTGACCCGATGTCAGCAGCTTCAGAAAAACCTATCATTCAGGATTTTCTGGTGCCAGAACTATAGGAAATTGGGATCAGCAGGATAACACTAGATAACATCTAGTTCTCTTTAGTATCTTCAGCCAAGTGAGCTGGGGAGAGACTGTTTCTAGAATGTGGGTGCTTGGTTTCCAGTGTTCCAAGTTCTGTTGGGGTCTATTGTCAAGGAAGTGAGGTCACTCTTTGGGGTCCCTTACCTGGGGCTACTCCTGAAGGGATCTTCTATTGCCCTCAGCACTCCTGGTTCTCAAACCTTCAAGCAACACCGCTGGGTGTCCCGCATTTCTGACTTGAAGGCAGCAGATAATGGGAATTCTCAGCCTCTATAGTTACATGAGCCAATTTCTTAAAATGAATAAACATTTATTGAGTATTAATATCTATACTTCAATAAATTGCATGTATGTATTTAAAGTAAGTTAAAATAATTTATTAATTCAATGATTTGAGTTATTTAAATTTAAACAATTTAAATTGGTTTTGTTTCTCTGGAACACCCTGTCCGAGAGGTCATGTCATAATCACCTGAATAATCTGCAGGTGCAGGAATCACTTTGATCAACGATACTCAACCATGATGGATTGTTTAGCAGAAGACAGACTGACACATTTGACTCTGCAAAGTCTGGGAAACTCTCTTCTTTATCATATGTCTCCCTTTTCCTCACTGGGTGCAAGTTAAGGTGCACAGATTTGATTCTCATGCACCTGATTATACCCAACTCTTTGGTCATTCCCTCTAAAAAAATCTGGAAGACCATGACATCTTTGGTTTGAACAACTTCAAGGATTTTTCACGTGAACTTCTATTCTTCCTTCAGAGACTGGGCAGGGGTGTTCCTCCTGGCAGCACTTGCCTCCTGAGTGTCTTCCAGGCCATCACTATTTCCCCAGGGACTCCAGTAGGGCAGAGCTTAGAATAATATTTCCCAAGCTCATTGGACACTTGATTCTCTGGTGCTGGATCCTAAACACACTAACAAATAATTTTCTTCTTTATGTGTCTGGCTATAACTCAATGCAGCCATCACAAGGAAAACAGATAATGGCTACTGTTATGCTGTGATGCATGTCAAAATCCCCCACTCCCTGTGTGCAGTGCTGTTCTGATTCCTTGATGTTTTGGATTTGGGAATCACGGCTTGGGCCAGAGGCTCCATGATTTTCATCCTGCACCGGCACAAGCTGAAGGTCCAACACATTCATAGGACCCACTGGCTGTTCAGGTCTTCCCCTGAGTCCAGAGTCACCTAAGCCATCCTGGTCCTGGGGAGCATCTATGTATGCTTTTATATTGTCTTTTCCTTTTGTCAATTTTTGGCTCTTTTTAATCCTCTTGGGCAGTGGCTGGTGAACATTTCTGCCCTGAGTGCTCTGTGTTCCCCAACTCTCAGACTTTTTGTTTCCATCAGCTGTGACTCTGTTGTCTCCAGGTTCTGATTTGCCTGACACAGAATACAAAATCCACTAATTTTATCATATATATGTATGTTGTGTATTTTTGCACAATGTTCAGTTGTTTACTCATCCCCAAAGAATTATAAGCACAGTTGTGAAACTGACGTTACAAGGGATTGGTGATACATACAGAAAAACACCTACATATGTCTAACTGTGTGGGGATAATCAGACTATGTTTGTTATTCATCAAGCAATAATATTGGAAAATTATTCTTTAAGAAATGTAAAAATAATATTAGTTATAACAATGTTAAACTACTTTAACCGTATTGTCTTTTTTATCTGAGGTATCACCATCCTCACTGATTAATTGGTTAAAATCATATATAATGTATCTTTACTTTTTCTACTTTAATTTTAATTGTTTAAAATAACATATATCTTCTAATTTTTCTACTCCTTCAAGAGATGTAACTAAAACATAAATATATAAAAAAATTATGTTTATGTTTAGTTGTATCTCTTGAAGGAATATCCAATTGAATATAGTCAAATAACATTTGACTTTGACAGGAATAATTTAGCTATTTATGTTTAATATTTTAAAGGCTATATTTGGCATTGGATATACCAACTTTCTGTATTCTTCTGAATACCCATCATCTTTTCTGATTCTTCCAATTTTAACGTCTTCTATGTTATATATAGATTTTTAAAAATCACAGTTAACATCTGTTATTTAGGAGTTATATACAAGCATATCTTAGTTTTTAACACAGAGGTTACAGCAGACTTTGAAATATTAATCATGGTATAAAGTTATTTAATACTTTCAACCTCCACTTTGACAACATTAAGGCATTAAATTACTAATCAAGCCAGGTGAGGTGGCTCACGCTTGTAATCCCAGCACTTTGGGAGGCCGAGGCAGGAGGATTGCTTGAGCTAGGGAGTTTGAGACCAGCCTGGGCAACATAGTGAGCCCTAGTTTCTACAAAAAATTAAAAACTTAGCCAGGCATGGTGCCACATGCCTGAAGTCCCAGCTACTCAGGAGGCTGAGGTAGGAGGATCACTTGAGCCCAGGAGGCCAAGGCTCTGTGTTTGCTCTGTGTGTTTTCACTCTGTCGCCTAGGCTGGAGTCAAGTCACACCACTTGACTCCAGCCTAGGCGACAGAGTGAAACCCTGTCTCAAAACAACAACAACAAAAATCACTAATCCATTTATGTTCTCTCTTTGTGTTTTAATTGATATGTATTTTTTAAAAAAGTTGGAATACTTGCACAGGCCATAAGTGCACAACTAAATGAAATTTTAACAAACTGAACCCAACTCTGTATGCATGTCTTAGGTTGCAAAACAGAACATCGTCAGACCCCAGCCACCTCCTTGTGCCCTTCCCAGTCACTACCTCTAGGAGTAACCATGACTCTGACTCCTAACAGTATAGCTCACCTGTACTTTCACCTGTTTTGTAGCTTATATATGAAATCATATAGCGTAACTTATTTTGTATGTAGATTTTGAATTCCACATGTTTGGAAACTTATCTGTATGTTATTGTGGTTCATTCATTAGGTAGGTGATAGAATTATTAGGTTGGTTGAGGTTTTTGCCCTCTAAAGTAATGGCATCATCTGAACATCAAGCAATGAACTTAATCATGCCACTGTAAATGCATATGAGTAGTATTCATGATGGGGCTATTAGGAACACTAGTTGTTTTTTTGTCTTCCATGTCGGAAATAGCAAAATAGTTCATAGAGATGGACACTGAGCTTTTATTCGAGCAGGAACATGACAGTTCACCAGAGAAGCATAGATAACTTCAGATCCTGGGGAAGGGAAGGTGGGCAAGCAGCTTGGGTGGTGGCATTCATCTGAGAAAAGTGAGTGAATCCCTAGTATGTGAAAGGGACAGAGAGTCTCAGTAACTCACGTTTTCAACGGGGATATGTGGAACTCAGGACATGGAAGAGCATCTTGCTTCTCCCAAGCCCTGGAGCGAATTTGGGGAGAGGCTGGGAGACTCTGAGAGGGAAAGGCACTGGGAAAAGCTGCAGACATTTTCCCAGACCCAGGACCAAGAGGAGGATGCCATTTTCAATTCTGGCTCATGTCAAGGCAGTCATTGTTTGGTGGCTGGGCAGCAGCAGCTGCCACAGGTATTTAGGTCTCTGGTGAGAAAGATTAAAGCACTTGTTCTGGAGGAGGAGAAGGACCCCCATAGGCAGAATTGAGCAGCAAGTGTGGTGTGTACTTCCGCTATAGGCACCGGAATCGGTCTTTCTTTCATTACAGGACTGGAAAGGGAGGAGATTTGCTGAAGCCATGGTTGCTCTCAGGTGGTGATATTTATGGCCAGAGGTGGCTTTGCAACCTGGGACCAGTCTACGTATGGCATTTCTGGGCGCCCCAGCCTGCCCCCTTTGTCAGTCAGGGGAGTGAGCCCAACTGGTTCTGAGGATGGGGAGGGAGACAGATCCCACTCCTGCTCACCTGGATCGGGAGCATGGGCCACCACTTCCTTCCTGTGCGAAGAGCTTGGTGCAGAGGCATCTCCTCTGCTCTTGGCCGAGGCATGTCTGCAGGCATCTGGTGCACCCTCTCACCTGGATTTTGAGTTCTGGGCTGCCTGTCCGTTCCCATGCAGAGAACATGATGCAGCAGCACTCTCTCTGCTCATACACGGACTTGTCTCTTGGCTTCCGGCATACTCACTCTCCCAGATTAGGAGCTTGAGCCACCTCTCCTTTCCTTGAAAAGGTCTTGTTGCAGTGTTGGTTTCTCTGCTCCTTGCCCAGGCATATTTCCAGGCATTTGGTGCACCCTCTTGCCTAGGTTAGGAGCCTGAGCTGCCCCTCCCTTCCTGGGCAGGGATGTTTTTTCTTTCCTTTCTTTTCTTTTTCTTTCTTTTCTTTTGTTTCTTTTCTTTTCTTTCTTTCCCTTCCCTTCCCTTTCTTTCTTCTGTTCTTTTCTTTTTTTTTGTGAGACAGAGTCTCACTCTTTCACCCAGGCTGGAGTGCAGTGGCACGATCTCGGCTCACTGCAACCTCCGCCTCCCGGATTCAAGCGATTCTCCTGCCTCAGCCTCCTGAGTAGTTGGGATTACAGGCACACGCCACCATACCCAGCTAATTTTTCTATTTTTATTCTTTGGGATTTTGAACTCATAGCAACCGTAACACTACTAGTTACACTGATTTCTACGTCAGCTTTGAGCTTGCTTAAAGTCAGGGGCTCCTGCCAAACTTAGGGCTGGGACCTTTCCTGAAAGTTACTATATTTCCTGAAATATAGCTTTATATTTCAATTTTGAGATGGGTCAATTTGGACTCTATAAATGATCTCAGAATGCCACTTGGTAAATAGAAATAACATAATCAAGAAGGAAATTGGACTGGAACAGAAACAGCTCTAAAGGAAAAACTGGGATTCATCTTTGGTGGGAATTTTTTGCCCCCCTCCATTGTCCAAAGCAATGCTGCTGGCTCTATGGGACCCTCCCCCACAACACACAATTCACTGAGTATTTACTAAATGCCTAGTCCTAGTTTTCTAATGGGTCGGGGAAAAATGACACTTCATGGTTCCACTGGGCTGCTGTGGGTGTTTAACCTCAGTGCCAGCCATGTGGAACTTGAAGCAGGAGTGGTCACTCCACTCAGTGGTCAGAACTCAAGAGTTTTGTGTCATTGACTACTTTCTAGCTTTTGGTCTTCCGTATTGAAAACTACAGACTATTTGAATGAGGACATCATCTTTGGGGCTGCAAACTGAAAACAATCACTTGAATTCAGGAGGCAGCGGTTGCAGTGAGCAGAGATAGCGCCATTACACTCCAGCCTGGGTGACAGCATAAGACTCCATCTCAAAAAAAAAAAAAAAAAAAAAAAGAAAAAGAGAAAAAAAAGACAGAATCCAAATGCTGGTGAGGATGTGGAGAAAAGGGAATCCTTGTACACTGTTGGTGGAAATGTAAATTAGTACAGCCACTATGGAGAACAGTTTGGAGGATCCTCAAAAAACTAAAAATAGAGCTACTTTATGATCCAGCAACCCTACTCCTAGGAATATACCCCAAAGAAAGGAAATCAGTATATTGATTAAAAACTCTCCATAAACTAGGTATCAAAGGAACATGCCTCAAAACAATAAGAGCCATCCATGAAAAACCCACAGCCAACATCATAGTCAATGGGCAAATGCTGGAAGCATTCCCCTGGAAAACAAGCACGAAACAAGGATGTCCACTTTCACCACTCCTATTCAACATAGTATTGAAAGTCCTAGACAGAGCAATCAGGCAAGAGAAGGAAACAAAGGGCATTCAAATAGGAAGAGAAGAAGTCAAACTATCCCTGTTTGCAGATGACATAATTCTATACCTAGATAACCCCATGGTCTCGCCCAAAAGCTCCTTCAGCTGATAGATAACTTCAGCAAAGTTTCAGAATACAAAATCAACATATAAAAATCACTAGCATTTCTGTACACCAACAGCAGACAAGCTGAAAGCCAAATCAGGAAGGCAATCCCATTCACAATCACCACAAAAAGAATAGAATACTTAGGAATACAGCTCACCAGGAAGGTGAAAGACCCCTACAATGAGAATTACGAAACACTGCTCAAATAAATCAGTGATGACACAAACAAATGGAAAAACATTCCATGCTCATGGATAGGAAGAATCAATATCATTAAAATGGCTAGACTGCCCAAAAGCAATGTACAGATTCAATGCTATTCCTACCAAACTACCAATGAAATTCTTCACAGAACTAGAAAAACTATTTAAAAATTCATATGGAACCAAAAGAGTGCCTGAATAGCCAAGGTAATCCTAAGCAAAAAGAACAAAGCTGGAGGCATCATGCTACCTGACTTCAAACTATACTACAGGGCTACAGTAACCAAAACAGCATGGAACTGGTAAAAAAAAAAACAGGCACATAGTCCAATGGAACATAATAGAGAGGCCAGAAATAAGGCCATACAGCAACAACCATCTGATCTTTGACAAAGCTGACAAAAACAAGCAATGGGGAAAAGAATCCCTATTCAATAAATTGTGCTGGGATAACTGGCTAGCCATATGCAGAAGATTGAAGCTGGACCCCTTTCTTATACCATATACAAAAATCAATTCACAATAGACTAAAGACTTAAATGTAAAACCAAAAACTATAAAATATCCTGGAAGACATCCTAGACGATACCATCCTAGACATAAGAATGGGCAAATCTTTCATGACAGACACCAAAAGCAATCGCAATAAAAGCACAAATTGACAAATGGTATCTAATTAAACTTAAGAGTTTCTGCACAGCAAAAGAAACTATCAACAGAGTAAACAGACAACTACAGAATGAGAGAAAGTTTTTGCAAACTATGCATCTGACAAAGGTCTCCTATCCACAAGGAACTTAAATTTACAAGAGAAAAACAAACAACCTCATTAAAAAGTGAGCAAAGGACATGAACACACACTTTTCAAAATAAGACATAAATGTGGCCAACAAGTATCTGAAAAAAGCTCAATATTACTGATCACTAGAGAAATGCAAATCAAAACCAGAATGAGATTAACACCTCACACCAGTCCGAATGGCTATTATTAAGTCAAAACAGGCCGGGCGCGGTGGCTCATGCCTGTAAACCCAGCACTTTGGGAGGCCGAGGCGGGCGGATCACTAGGTCAGGAGATCGAGACCATCCTGGCTAACACGGTGAAACTCCGTCTCTACTGAAAATACAAAAAATTAGCCGGGCGTGGTGGTAGGTGCCTGTAGTCCCAGCTACTCTGGAGGCTGAGGCAGGAGAATGGCGTGAACCTGGGAGGCGGAGCTTGCAGTGAGCCTAGATCGTGCCACTGCACTCCAGCATGGGTGACAGAGTGAGACTCCGTCTCAAAAAAACAAACAAAAAATTCAAAACATAACAGATGCTTGTGAGGTTGTGAAGAAAAGGGGACACTTACACACTGTTGTTGGGAGTGTAAGTTAGTTCAGCGATTGTGGAAAGTAGTATGGTGATTCCTCAAAGACTGAAAAACAGAAATACCATTAGACCCAGTAATCCCATTACTGGATATATACCCAGAGGAATATAAATCATTCTACCATAAAGATACATGCATGTGAATGTTCATTGCACACTATTCACAATAGCAAAGACATGAAATCAACCTAATTGCCAATCAGTGACAGAGTGGATAAAGAAAATGTGGTACATATACACCATGGAATGCTATGCAGCCATAAGAAACAAGATCATGTCTTTCACAGAAACATGGATGGAGCTGGCACTGCTACACTGTTGGTGAGAGTGTAAATTAGTTCAACGATTGTGGAAAGTAGTATGGTGATTCCTCAAAGACTGAAAAACAGAAATACCATTAGACCTAGTAATCCCATTACTGGATATATCCTAGAGGAATATAAATCATTCTGCCATACATACATGTGAATGTTCATTGCAGCACTATTCACAATAGCAAAGACATGGAATCAACCTAAATGAGTGACAGACTGGATAAAGAAAATGTGGTACATATACACCATGGAATGCGACGCAGCCACAAGAAACAACAAGATCATGTCTTTCACAGAAACATGGATAGAGCTGGCAGCTATTATCCTTAGCAAACTAATACAGGAACAGAAAACCAAATACCATGTGTTCTTACTTATAAGTGAAAGCTAAATGATGAGAACACACAGACACAAAAAAGGGAACAAGAGACACTGGGGCCTACTTGAGGGTGGAGATTGGGAGGAGGGAGAGGAGCAGAAAAAGTAACTATTCGGTACTAGGCTTAATACCTGGGTGATGAAAAAATCTGTACAACAAACCCCTGTGACATGAGTCTACCTAAGTAAAAAACCTTCAACCTATGTAGCAAACCTTCACATGTACCCCTGAACCTAAAGTAAAAGTTAAGAAAGAGAAAAACAGAAAATTAAATAGAGGGACTATACCAAATGTGATGAGAATGTAGGGGAAATGGAACCCTCGTACAGTCTTCATGGGAATGTGTAATGATGCCACCCCTTTCCAAAACAGTTTAGTGGTTGTTCCCTTTTTTGAACATTAAACTCCGAAGTATTTACTTAAGAGATATTGTAATATATGTCTATTCAGCAACTTGTATATGAATATTCATGCCAGTTTTATTTGTAATAGACAAAAACTAGAAACAATTCACATGGTCTCCAACTAGCGAATAAATAAACAAGCTCTAGAATACAATTTTGCATCGAAAGGCGATGAACTGTTGATACCTGCTACAGTGGGACTTGATTTTATGCTGTGTGATTCTATTTATATAGAATTGTGGAAAGTGAAAATCAATCTATTGTTACTGGAAGCGGTGGTTGCTTAGAGAGCGCTTAGGGTTGGAAGGAGTGCAAAGGAAGAATTGCAATGGGGGGTAATCATGATAAAATGTTTGGGGGGAATCGATATACTCATTGTCTTGACTGTGTTGATGATTCCCCAGGTATACACATACATCAAAACAAAATAAACCTTCTAGATATGTGCAGCTTATTGAAAGTTAATTATACTTTAATAAAGCTTTTTAAAAAATAAGCTCAATTGAAGCCTATGAAATGGAAGATTAAAATTAGGCAGATAATATAATCCAGGTTGAAGAATAAATAAATATGATCAACAAGCGCTTAATACATTCTGACAGTTTTAGAACAAAGAAAATGAAACAATGGCATGATTTTATCATTTCGTCGAATTGAAAAAATACCAACATTTCTCCATAGAGAATGTTGTTGAAGGTTAGTAGATATCAGTCCTTTATTACTGACTCAGGATGGGAAAGTAAAGAGCTACAGCCTTTTTTGACTTAAAGGGGGAAGAGCTACATATATATTCATTTTGCTATACTTTGCAATATACAAACACATATGAATCATTACCCTAATATTTTCTGATTACAAAGAAATGTGTGACTGTTATAAAACATCCAAAAACATCAAATGTCTAACATGAAGTACAAAATTTGTCAGTAGTTTTAGACTCAAATGAAACATTTTCCACTTTGAGGATATTGTTCAAACTCCTTTCCCAAGACTGTCCCTGGTTTTGTCATGTATTAACACAGTGTGTCTAAAATTGCCTGAGAAGTAGCAGGTCTTTGTTCTCACTCTCATAGCTGTGTCCTCTGTTGAATAGGGTCTGGGTGCCCCCAGCTAAAGCCTCATTTGATCCACTATCAGGCTCCTTTATCTCCTCTCCAGGGTAAGGGTGGGTCCATTTTCTTCCTAGGAGGAGCTCTGAGCTTCTCCATTCAGGGCCGGATCCTAGGGACCAGGGAGTGTGGCTGGGATGAGCCAGCCCTCAGTGGGAAAGACATAGGCCATCTGGGCGGCCACGGCACAGGTTTGTACCATAGCACAGAGTCCCCCTGGAGCCAGGGTGAGCTCAGACAGCTGCTCCCAGGTCAGCAGAGAATAGGCCTACTGTTCCCACACCTGGGCTGTGTTGTGATAAATGGCTTCAGATGGAGTGTGCAGAGAGGTCACCAGGCTTTTCTGAAGTGGCAGTGGGTGGTCTCCTAGAGACTGAGATCTGGGCCGCTTGCTGTGCCCGGTGTGGGCCTCTGGGGGTCCCCCACAGCAGGCATCATGGGTCTCCTCATTTCACTGATGTGTACAGTGTCAGAGAGGCCTTTGGTTTCTTTTCCAAAGTCAAGCAGTCCTTTTGCACTTTCGGCTCATGTCCTTGATGCTGTCCTGAAGAGGAAGCATGTGAGTGAGAGACTTACCAGAACAGCTCCCATGGATGCTCATTCCCAGAATGTCCCCATGCACCTTCAGGTGAACCCCACTTGTCTTTCCTCCTCCTTCCCTGCCCCCTCTGTCTCCCTAAGCAAGGGAGGCTAAATCCCTTCTGGGACCCCAAATGCTTTCTGGATGTCAGGATCTCTAAAATCCTCTCAGCCACTGAGAAACCCCTTTCCTGCCCAAACTCAGTATAAACAACCTGCTAATCTGCCCTTTGGAACAAAAAAGGAAGATCCTACCTGCTCTATCTTGGCAGCTGTCCATGGAATGGATTTCTCTCTTCCTAGAGTTCCCCCATCTGAGCTGGACTCTGATTCTGTGGATAAAATGGGAGTTTGAGTGACTGCCTCCAACTGAACACCTTAGGCACTCTAGTCCATCCTGGACACACCAGAGCTGAGGTAGCCACCAAAACTCGGTTCTTCTCTGTTCTCCAGAGTCCAAGAATTATAAGAACCTGGATGCCAAAGAGCTCCCAGTTCCCTTCCCAGAGGAGACTGTGTTTACCCATCCACTATCTCTTCTCACCTTGAAAGAATCACATCTTACATAGTTTAGCAGTGCTGCTTCTGACTTTGAGCTTAGTTTCCTTGGAATTCTCTTCCTCATTTGAATTGGGCTCTGATCTCAGTGCAAAAGAAAGTTTAGGTGACTCATCTCTTCCTAGGCATAGAGTCCCAAAGTCTATACCTAACCGATATTTGTGGGTCATTCTCTCAATCAAGGCTGTTCAGCCAGTGTCAAGTGTGAATGGGAAGCACAGAGTTCCGGGGGATCATCACCATATTTCTGAAATCCCTGTGATGACTGTAAGTCATTTCCCGTTTCTAATCTCAAAATGAAACCCCACCAAAGACACAGATCAGTATCCCTAATTCTACCCCTCCTACCAGACTCCATAGGAACAGCCCAAAGGCCTTACCTTGCCTTGCATGTGGCTCTTACTGGAATGAGAAGACAGTGTCTTATCTTTTCTTCTGATGGTCTTTCCTCCTTATCCAAGCCCCTTTCTGTAAAGGAGACCTGTTGGAAAGAAGGTGGGTCAATGGGGCATTGGATGGAGGGGCAGTGGGAGTCTGGTCTTCAGTTCCCCATCCCATGGTGAAGCTTCAGTGAAAGGTGATCTCTCTCTCTCTCTCTCACACATGCCCAGAATCAGGTGCAGGTTGTTCTTGTGAACCTGTTTTTCTAAGCCCTTAAGCTGGACATGGCTCACTCCTACTGGCTGAAGAGATTTCTCCCTCCTGCCACTCATCATGGCCTCAATAAGAAATTTTTCCATCATGAACACCTTGGGGACCTAGACACAGATAAGGTCTAGATGCAGAGCCCCGTCACCATGTTAAGAAGCAGGAATTCAAAGCTGGGGGCACAGGAAGAGGAATGCAAGAAACTTATCCCTATCTGATTTGTGCCCCAATTCCCACCTAGAAGTATTTAAGATCCTGCCCCGAATTCAAGATGCAGAATTAGACAGACCACATATTGACATGTGTATATATATTTTGCACATGAAGAAAATTATATATAGTGTTAAAATTGTGCGCATAGATGTTATATTTCTCAAATGCTTGGATATGACAAATATCAAGTTATAGTTCATATATTAGATATATGCATATGTGGTAAGATAATAATGCAGAGAAAAAGTAAACACCAAATAAAATATCCTTTCCTAGCTTGAAAGTGGGGGAGATGATTAGGTAAAATGTGACCGCATTGGACTGATTAGATCACATGTAAAGCTAACCCAATCAACTGAATTCTTGAGGCAGCAAAAAGTCCAGCTGAAGAGCAAAACTTTCCCTTTACCTCATTCTCCCTCAGTCACCCTGGGAGCCCCACTATACTCTGTAGAGTCTGCTCGGCATCTGTGATCTAAGCTGATCCATTCAGCTGGATTATCATCATCAACCTTGCACGCTTTGGTTCTTTCTCTTTGTGTTTCTGTTTACAATAAGTTGTGGATATGACTTTGCATTATGAATTTCCAGACACCTAATGGGCCACTTGTCTGTTTCTGTCCTGAAAAACCAATACCCAAATCCAAAAATATATCCTCACAAGAACCTCTGAAAGCCACCTGTGATTGCTGCTAACTCATTGACCTCCCTGCTCCTCAACCCACAGAGAACATGCAATAACTGCCAGATTTTAGGACACATGGCCAGGATCAGGAGGTGCCCAGTGAAGTGCTGTGGTGGGACCCTGTCCCCAAACCCATGGGCTTAAATAAAAAGCAGACACTGAAACCAAGAAAGCCCCAGCAACTTCTGACTCCAGGACCCTTTACTAAGACTGACAGAAGGAACAAAGCAAAAATGAGATATCTGAAGGGTTCAAATAATCCTTGAACATTGGAATCTTTGGACATCACAATTCCAGTGTCTCCTCCTTTACTTTTTGTCCACAGCCTTCTCCTGGCATGAATAGAGAAACTTAATAAAAATACACAAAGGGCTCAGTATACTCCCAAATTCCTCAACTCAGAAGCCCATTCTATTCCTGAAGGATCATTGCAGGCAGGTGTATGGGGCTATCTTGAAACTGCATATACAGGCCAAACAGCAATAGAGTCCAAATTGAAGTACATCCTGATTATACATTAAAGAAAAACACAGAGGCTGCCTGGAGTTGGAAGTTGGATCTGAAATGAGACCAGGAGAATCCTTGGTAAAGTCTGCAAGACCTTTAATGCTTCTTTCACTCCAAAACACAAGCAAGGACCGTGTCCTTTTTCCCATCCGCCAGGTGGGGACAGGAAGTTGAGACATATACAGACACTAAACATGGTTTGTTCTGCAGCAAGAAGATTTTCAGAGAAAGATGCTTCGCATAACTTACTCAGGAAACTTGAAGCATCAGCAAAACTTAAGTGTAATGAGATAATCTTATTACTCTGAGGGTATTTCCCCCCGTTTCCTGCTCAATTGCTCTTCATTTGACTTGCTTTCCTTCTATGAACATTATCTCAAAAACCCAGGATAACCAAAAGGGTTCCTCACATATATGTACTTTTCTTTTTCCTTTGTTTTGTTTTGCTATTATTTATATGCCCACCACAAACATGCTAGTGTGGGCATTTCTACACACATTTTCAAGCAGTGTTATCAGATGCATTTCAGGAGGTAGAATCCTGCATGCAAGAACATGCATCTTTCCACTCAATACATATTTGCTAATTGTGCCTTAAAAGGTCATTGGCCCTTTATACTCTCTATAAACATGTAAAAAACCGTGTGTGTATATGTATGTATGTATGTTCACTCATGCACTCATTTATTTATTTATTTAGAAACAGGGTCTCACTCTCTGTTACCCAGGCTGGAGTGCATGATCATAGCTCATTGTAGCCTCAAACTCCTGAGCTTAAGGTATCCTTCTGCCTCAGCTTCCCAACATGCTGAGAATACAGGCATGAGCCACCATGCCTGGCTAGTATGTTTTTACTTATCATGAAAAGATTAGTAGGAAGCATTTAATTTTCCTAACTGATGGTCACACAAAACTTTTTTTTTTGTAATTTATTTTCCTGTGACCACCATTGAGGTTAGATGCATCTTTACGTGGGAAATGGCCATTTGTATTTCTTTTACCATAAAATGTTTTCATAGGTCCTGTGCCTTTTAAAATTGAGTTTGTGTTTTACTCTTCATTGTCAGAGGTTCTTAACATATTTGGATGTCACCTGTTCCATATGATGTTAGTAGGCTGATGCCTGTCCACAATCCAAGAATAGATCTGTCCTAGATCTTTGTTCTCAAAAGTCATCCAGTTGTCAAGAAACCTGAGATGTGATCCTTCCACATGGCAAAGGTTCCCATCAAGACATGAACTAGGCTGCCGATTACCTCATGGCCAGGAAAAGCATGGGGGATGGATTTATTGATTGGCCCCACGTTGCATCCAAGCACTTTGGCCAGGGCCCAATACATTGCCAAAATGACAGTCAACAGGCCTAAAGTTTACTCTCATGATGTTCTCCAGCCTGCCATCAAAATACTTTTCTTTTTCTGGCCACTTCTTCAACCTCTGACACATTAATAATATTCCCATATGATTCATATGCACATTAATAATTGTTAAGTTGGGGAATTTTATTCTTTTTTTTCCTTTGAAGGGTAAAAATTTTATTTTTGAGGAACTTCTTACTGCACATTTTCCAAGAGAGTCACATAAGAAAGCAAAAATGTTATCCTCCCCTCATCCTAGAAATAAATAAGGACATAATTTTTTTTTTAATCATGACACTTGGAGGCTTAGCGCCAGCATCCAAAATGAACAAAAACGGAAAAAAAAGCATTTATTTTATATTTCAGATTTCTTTGGTTGGGGTTCTCCCCATGCGGTATTAATATTACTTGTTTCAATATCTATTACCCAAACAGTAAAAACCAGGAAAAAAATATAAACCTAGCGCTTGCTGAAACTGGGGAGGCTGCTCTCTTGTCTTCTGTGCAGGAATTCCCAGGTTCTCAGTTTGCTGGAAAAATTTGTTGACATTTTCTTTTTGTAGTTGTTTCTTAAAGAATAACAGCAAACATTCCAATGTCCAAATCTTGGTTCGTCTTCCACTTTATTGCTTGGATGTTTCTTTGGTGTTGGTAAGGCTGTGGCCTGCTTTTTGCTTTGTTTCTGAACGGTCATTAATTCTTTAGGTCACCCTGCCGATGGTGAAGGTGCCTGGGGAGCCTGGTGTTACTCAGCACTGCTCTGCTCGGTGGATGGAGCAGGGTTCTCAGTTGGTGCTTCACCTGCCGTGGCCTCTTTGCCATCTTGTGAAGGAGCGTTAGGAGAACGTGGGCGACGCCGGTAATTGTAGGGACGCCGGTATCCACGGCGAACAGGCGGCTGGTTTGGACCACTGGAGGCTTGCTGATTTTCTTTATCTTCAGCCTCTCCAACTGCTGGGGCAGGTCGTGGGCGAGGAGGTCCCCTGCTATGGTACCTTGGGCGGTAAGTTGGATTTCGATGAAATGGTCCCTGAAGTTGTGCTCCTTCTGGGACTCCATCCTTCAGCTCTCCAATCTCAACAGCCTGTATTCTGTTGGGATGGGGTAAGACCGGTGAGCGACGGTCAAACGTCTGTCCCACGTGGTAAGGCGGGAACCGCTGCTGCCTGTACTGGGGGCGATACTGGGGGCGGCGCAGCCGATTCCGGGCCCCAGAGAACTGCCTATCAGTGGTAGGGGGGTCAAATCCTTCACTGCTGCCGCTCCCTTCTTCCTCCTCCTCCCAGCGTAATCCCGGGGAGGGCCATGGCGCCTTCCATAGTAGCCACGTCTGTAACGGCGCCAATCAGCGCGTAACGACTGCCCTCCACAGGAACTCCACCCCGGCCAGTCACACTGGCTGCTTCTGCACCCTTCTCTCCTTAAACCACATCAAACTCTACAGTTTCTCCATCTCCTACACTGCGCAGATATTTCTGTGGGTTATTCTTCTTGATGGCAGTCTGATGTATAAATAGATCTTCTTTGGTGTCATTTCGATTTATAAATCCATATCCATTTCTGACGTTGAACCATTTGACAGTGCCAAGGACTTTGGTGGCGAGAACTTTTTTCTCCGCGTCTTCGCTGTCGGCGGCGGTGGCTAAAGAGGCGGCGGCCGCGGTGCCCGTGGCTGCGGGGGCCCCGTCCCCACCCGGGTTTCCTGCGACGAGGGCGGCGGGCGCCGGGGCCGCGGCTTGGGGTGCACCGCTGCCCACCCGGCTCTTGGTCGCGGGGTCCTGGGGAGCCGCGGCGGCCGCCACCGCAGGAGCCTGCTGGAGGGTGGTGGTGATGATGGTGGCCTCGCCCGCCTCGCTCATGCCTCCTCCTCCTCTGCTCTCGCTCATGCGCCTCGGTGGCGGTTGGTCGGCGGTTAGTGCGGCTGGTGGTCGCCGCGGCCGGGGCTCGCTCTCGGGGAGGCCGGGGCTGATCTCGCGGCGCAGGCGGCGGCGGCAGAGGTGGGGTCGCGCAGCGGAGGCAGCTCGAGCTTCGGGATGCGCGCTCGCTTCTTGGGCTCCTCGCTCGATCTTACTGCCCCCTTTTTTCTCTCCCTCCCTCCCTTCCTTCCTCCCTCCCTCCCTCCCTCCCTCCCTCCCTTCCTTCCTTTCCTTTCTTTTCGTCTTTTTTTTCTTTCCTTTTCTTTCAGAGTCTCGCTCTGTCACCCAGGCTGGAGTGCAGTGGCACGATCTCGGCTCACTGCAGCCTCCATCTCCTGGGTTCCAGCGATTCTCCTGCCTCAGCCTCTTGGGTAGCTGAGATTACAGGCATGCGCCACCACACCAAGGCTAATTTTTGTATTTTTAGTGGAGACGCGATTTCACCCTGTTAACCAGGCTAATCTTGAACTCCTGACCTCAGGTGATCCGGCCGCCTCGGCCTCCCAAAGTGCTGGGATTACAGGCGTGAGCCACTGCGCCTGGCCAGGAATTTTATTCTTAGAGGGAGGTTTATATAGGTGTACTGTTTTCTCAAAAGGGTACGGTTAAGATTCTATCTTTAATGTATGTACATTTTGTCTCACAAAAAAACCCTAAAATGTGGCTCACGCCTGTAATCCCAGCACTTTGGGAGGCCAAGGTGGGCAGATCACCTGAGGTGGAGTTCAAGACCAGCCTGACCAACATGGAGAAACCCAGTCTATACTAAAAATACAAAATTAGGCGGGTGTGGTGGCGCATGCCTGCAATCCCAGCTACTCGGGAGGCTGAGGCAGGAAAATCGCTTGAACTCGGGAGGTGGAGGTTGTGGTGAGCCGAGATGGCGCCATTGCCTGGGCAACAAGGGTGAAACTCTGTCTCAAAAACAAACAAACAAACAACCCCTAGAATAATAAAACAGTTGTGAGGGGTGAGGAGTGGGTTGAAATATAGATGAAACAAAAATGGCACATGATTGGTACCTGTGGAGGCTGGGTGACAGGTTTATTACATTACTTTGTGTATTTTCTATATGCTTGAAACGTTATTAGCCAAGAATTGTGTATCCTGCCAGAATAAGCTTCGTAAATGAAGAGGAAAGTTTTTCCTAGACGAGGAAATGCTGAGTGAATTTGTCAACACTGTATCAGTACAACAGGAAATGCTCAAAGTGGTCTTAAACATGGAAATGAAAGCTCAATATTCACCATCACCAAAAACACGTGTAAATATAAAACTCACTTTGTGTGTTTACACAAAACAATCACACAAAGGAGGAAGAGAAAGGAATCAAATGTCAATGCAACATAATTTCATGAAACCACAATGACAAAACAAGAAGAAAGAATTTATAAAACAGCTTGAAAACAATCAATAATATGACAGAAACAAAGCCTCACATATCAATATTGACCTTGAATGTAGATGGATTAAAATCCCCCACTTAAAAAATGCAGATTGGCAGAATTGATTAAAAACATTATTCAACTATATGCTGCCTATAAGAAATTCACCTGTAAAGACATATACATTGAATGCAGAGGGGTGGAAAAAGATATTCCACACAAACAGAAACAAAACCAAGAGATGTAGATATATGTATATCAGATAAAATATACTTAAATACAAAAAGGTAATAAAAGACAAAGAAGTTCATTATATAATGATAAAGAGATCATTTGAGAGCAAGAAGATATAACAATTGTCAGCAAGAGAATATAGCAATTCTAAATATATATGTACCCAACTTTGGAACACCTAAAACAAATCCTACCAGACCGAAAGAAAGAATTTGACGCCAATACAATAATAGTAGGGGACTGTAACACCCTACTCACAGCACTAGACAGATCACCAAGAGAGAACATCAATAGAAACGTTGGACTTAAATTGGACTTTAGACCAAAGGAAATTCGGAGACTTATAGAACATTCTAACATTCTATCCAACAACTATAGAATATACATCCTTTTCATCAGCACATGGAACATTTTCCAAGATAGACAACATGCTAGGCCACAAAACAAGTCCTAAAAAATTTAAAACAATCAAATTATCTCAGATCATAGTGGAATAAAGCTAGAAATCAATGTCAAGAGAAACTTTGGAAGCTACATAAATATATGAAAATTTAAAGCATACTCCTGACAAATCACTGGGTTGATAGCAAAAATTAAGACAGAAATTATTTTTTGAAATAAATGAAAAAAAAAACATACCAAAAGCTGTGAGATATAGCAAAAATGGTGCTAAGAATGAAGTTTATAGCATTAAATATCTACATGAAAAAGGGAGAGAGATCACAAATTAACATCTTAACATTACATCTTCAGTTACTATTAATAGAAAAAGAATAAACCAAACCCAAAGTTAGCAGAAGAAAAGAAATAACAAAGATCAGGGCAGAACTAAAGGAAATAGAGATCAAAAAATACAAAGGATCAATGAAACAAAAAGTTGGTTCTTTTAAAAGAAAATTGATAAACCTCTAGCTAGAATAACCAGAAAAGATCCAAATAAACATAATCAGAAATGAAAAAGGAGACATTACAACTGATACCACAGAAATGCAAAAGATCCTCAGAGACTATCATGAAAGACTGTACACGCACAAACCAAGAGGAAATTGATAAATTCCTGGAAATGCTCAAACTATTAAGACTGAACCAGAAAGAAGTACAACTCCTGAACAACCAATAATGAGTAGCAAGATTGAATTAGTGAAAACAAACAAACAAACAAACAAACAGACAAAAAACCCCAAAGCCAAAACCTCCCCACCCTCACCAAACTTCCAATAACAGCAACAAAAAGCTCAGGACCAGATGGATTCACAGCTGAATTCTACCAAACACACAAAAGGAATTAATATCAATCCTCCTGAAACTATTCCAAAAAATCAAGGAGAAGGGAATTCTCCCTAACTCATTCTACAAGGCCAGTGTCACCCTGATACCAAAATCAGACAAGGACACACAAACTACAGACCAATATACTTCAACAGATGCAAAAATCCTCAACAAAATACTAGAAAATCAAATCCAATAGCACATAAAAAAGATAATGCACTGTGATCAGGTGGGACTCATACCAGAGATGCAAGGATAGTTCAATATACACAATTCAATAAACGTGACACATCACATAAACAGAATTAAGGATAAAAATGGTATGATTATCTCAACAGATGCCGAAAAAGCCTTTGATAAAATTCAGCATCGCTTCATTTAAAAATCCACAAGAAACCAGTTATAAAAGCAACATACCTCAACATAATAAAGCCCATATACAAGAAACTCACAGCCAACATCATACTGTTGAAAGTCGAAAGCATTTCCCATAAGAACTGGAAGATGACAAAAATGCCCACTGTCACCACTGTTACTCAACATAGTACTGGAAGTCCTTGCCAGCACAATCAGGCAAGAGAAAGAAAGAAAAGGCATGTAAACTGAAAAAGAGGAAGTAGAATTTTTCCTGTTCACTGATGATATGATCTTATATTTAGGAAACCCTAAAGACTCCACCAAAAAACTCTCAGATTTGATCAATAAATTCAGTAAAGTTTCAGGATATGAAATTAATGTACAGAAATCAATACTGATTCTATACACCAATAATGATCTAGCTGAGGAACAAAGCAAGAAGGCAATCCTAGTTACAACAGCTACAAAAAATAAAATACCCAGGACTATATTTAACTGAGGAGGTAAAAGATCTCTATAAGGAGAACTACAAAACACTAGTGAAAAAAAAAAAACCAAATTCCATAAACAAAGAAAATATGGCATATGCTCGTGAATTGGAAGAACCAATATTTTCACAGTGGCCATACTGGCCAAATAAATCTATAGATTCAATGCAATTCCTATCCAATTACCAATGTCCTTTTATTCAGAATTAGAAAAGAATTCCTAAAATTCATATGGAACGAAAAAAAGATCCTGATATGGAACCGAAATAGCCAAAGAAGTTCTAACCAAAAAGAACAACACCAGAGACTTCACATTATCCAACTTCAAATTATACTATGGGGCTATAGTAATCAAAACAACGTGGTACTGGTATAAAAATAGACATAGATCAGTGGAACATAATAAAGAGCCGTGAAACAAAGTCACATCCAATGAACCATCCGAACAACCAATCTTTGACAAAGTCAACAAAAATGTACACTGGGGAAATGACTCCCTCCCTATTCAATAATGGTGGTGGGAAAATTGAATAGCCATATGCAGAAGAATAAAACTGGACCTAGACCTCTGACCATATAGAAAAATTAACTCAAGATGGATTAAAGATCTAAACATAAGTCCTGAAACTATAAAAATTCTGGAAGAAAGAAAACCTAGGACAAACTCTTCTAGACATTGGCCTAGGCAAAGAATTTATGACAAAGTCCTCAAAAGTAAACATAACAAAAACAGAAGTAGACTCAATTAAACTAAAAAGATTCTGCACAGCAAAAGAAATAACAAAGTAAACAGACAACCTACAGAACAGAAGAAAATATTTGCAAACTATGCATATGACAAAGGGCTGACATCCAGAATTTATAAGGAACTCAACTCAACAAGAGGAAAACAAGTGACCCCGTTAAAAAGTTGGCAAAGGACATAACAGAGAGAGATTTTCCAAAACAACATATGCCAGTGGCCAATAAACATATGAAAAGATCCTAAACATCATTAATCATCAGAGAAATACAAATGAAAACCACAATGAGATACCATCTTACATGAGTCAGAATGGCTATTATTAAAATGTCTAAAAGCAACAGATGTTGGTGAGGCTACAGGGAGAAGGGAATGCTTATACACTGTTGGTGGGAATATAAATTAGTACCTTTATGGAAAACAGTATGGAGAGTTCTCAAAGAACTAAAAATAGAACTACCATTAGCTGCAGCAATCCCACTACTAGGTATATAGTCAAAGGGAGATAAATCACTATATTAAAAATATATCTGCATTCTTATGTTTATTTACAGCACTATTCACAATAGTCAAGATATGAAAGCAACCTAAGTGTTCATCAACAGATGAATGTATAAATAATGTGGTACATGTACACAATGGGCTATTCAGCTGTAAAATAATAAGATTCTCTCATCTGCAACAATATGGATGGAACTGGAAGTCATCACATTATGTAAAATAAGCCAGGTGCAGAAAGACAAACTTGGCAGGTTCTCACTTATTTGTGGCAGCTAAAAATTAAAACAATTGAACTCATGGAGATAGAGAGTAGAATGGTGTTTACCAGAGGCTGAGAATGATATGCACCCCGAGCCCATAATCCACTGATGGTTACCAGTGGGTGGGAGAGTGGGGATAATTGATGCATACAAAAAAAATAGAAAGAATAAGATATAGTATTTGCTAGCACAACAGGGTGACTATAGTAAAAAATAACATAATTGCACATTTAAAAATAACTAAAAGAGTATAGTTGAGTTGTTTATAACATAAGGAAGAAATGCTTGGGGTGATGAATCCCCATTTACCCCTATATGATTATTACACATTGTATGTCTGTATCAAAATATTTCATATACCTCATAGACATATAACACCTACTATGTTACACCGAAAAAATAAAAATAAAAAAATTAAAATGTGGTACACATATACCACAAAATACTCAACCATTAAAAAAAAAAGAAATCATGTCTTTTGCAGCAACAAGGATGAAACTGGAAGCTATTTTCCTTAGTGAAATAACTCAAGAAGAGAACATTCAATACTGTTTGATCTCATAAGTAGGGGCTAAACAATGGGTTCTCATTGACTTATAGAGTGAAATAAGTCACTGGAGTCCACGAAAGATTGGAGGGCGGAAGTAGGGTGAGGGGTGAAAAACAACTGGGAAGAAATTTCACTGTTCGGGTGATGGGTACACTAAAAGCCCAGACATCACCACTATGCAATGTATGCATGTAAGAAACTGGCACTTGTGGCTGGGTGCGGTGGCTCATGCCTGTAATCCCAGCACTTTGGGCGGTCAAGGCGGGCGGATCATAAGATCAGGAGATCGAGACCATCCTGGCCAACATGGTGAAACCCTGTCTCTGCTAAAAATACAAAAACGTAGCTGGGCGTTGTGGTGGGTGCCTGTAGTCCCAGCTACTCAGGAGGCTGAGGCAGGAGAATGGCGTGAACCTGAGAGGCGGATCTTGCAGTGAGCCGAGATCGCGCCACTGCACTCCAGCCTGGGTGACAGAGCAAGACTCCGTCTCAGAAAAAAAAGAGAAGAAAAAAAGAAACAAACAAAAAAAGAAACTGACACTTGTGGCTGGCTCATGCCTGTAATCCCAGCACTTTGGGAGGCCGTGGTGGGTGGATTACCTGAGGTCAGGAGTTCGAGACCAGCCTGACCAATATGGTAAAACCCAATCTCTACTAAAAATAGAAAAATTAGCTGGGCATAGTGGCGTGTGCCTGTAGTCCCAGGCTGAGACAGGAGAATCACTTGAACTCAGGAGGTGGAGGTTGCAGTGAGCTGAGATCGCATCACTGCACTCCAGCCTGTGTGATAGAGTGAGACTCCATCTCAAAAAAAAAAAAAAAAAAAGAAAAGAAATCGGCACTTGTGTCCCCTAAATATACGTAAAAAAACAATTTTCTAAAAATGTCCTGTATTAAAACATTTGTATGAAATGACAAGGTTGATTTACAATGTTAACTTTTAAGATCTTAGTTACCTTTGGGGAGGAGGAAAGCAGGTTAGAGGCACTGCAGTGAACAAGGGAGCTGGCAAATAGCAAAGGGAACAGGATCACCACCCTGCTATGCGGATTTAGCTATAGCATTAACAAACTGTTTAGTTCGCTCACATATGTGCCCTTGCAGCATCCCACATACACCTGGACACATGCATAAGACAGCTGCCCCTGTTTTAGACCACATTAAACACCTGCCAGTAAACGTGGGTCAAAAGTATACACTAACATGTGTAGATACTGCCATGGAATTGCTGCAGGCCTTCCCTTGCAAAAGGCCAAACCAAACGGCCACAATTAATGGCTTGGATTGAGGTCAGTGTCACATACGGATGGCCTTGATACATTGATTGTGACCAAGGCATGCATTTTACCAGACATGATGTCCAAGATTGGGTCATGTAAAACCCAAGTAGCAGGGTTGATTGAGTGGAAAAGTGGTATTTGAAATCACAATTGTGAGCACACTCACAATTCAATACCTTGCATGGGCAAACTGTGAGTCAATTAAACCTCTTTCTTTTATAAATTATGCAGTCTCCAGTATTTTTTCATAGCAGCATGAGAATGGACTGATACAGCAAATTGGTACCACAGAGTGGGGTGCTGCTATAAGAATACCCCAAAATGTGGAAGCGACTTTGGAACTGGGTAACAGGTAGAGGTTGGAACACTTTGGAGGGCTCAGAAGACAGGAAAATGTGGGAAACTTTGGAACTTCCTAGAAACTTGGAGGGCTCAGAAGACAGGAAAATGTGAGAAAGTTTGGAACTTCCTAGAGACTTGGAGGCCTCAGAAGGCAGAAAGATGTGGGAAAGTTTGGAACTTCCTAGAAAATTGTTGAATGGCTTTGACCAAAATGCTGATAGTAATATGGACAGTGAGGTCCAGGCTGAGGTGGTCTCAGATAGGGATGAGAAACTTGCTGGGAGCTGCAGTAAAGGCCACTTGTGCTATGCAAAAGTGGCATTTTGCCCATGCCCTACAGATTTGTAAAACTTTGAACTTGGGAGAGATGATTTAGAGTATCTGGTGGAAGAAATTCCTAAGTGGCAAAGCATTCAAGAGAAAGCAGAGCACAAAGTTTGAAAAATTTGCAGCCTGGTGATGTAACAGAAAAAAAAAAGCCCATTTTCCGGGGAGAAATTCAAGCCTCCTGCAGAAATTTGCATAAGCAATGAGGAGCTGAGTGTTAATCACAAGACAAAGGGGAAAATGTCTTCAGGGCAAGTCAGAGACCTTCATGGCAGCCCCTCCCATCACAGGCCTGGAGGCCTAAGAGGAAAAAATGGTTTTGTGGGCTGGGCCCAGGGCCCCCCTACTGTGTGCAGCCTAGCAACTTGGTGCCCTGCATCCTAGCTACTCCAGCAGTGGCTAAAAAGGGACAAAGTACAGCTTGAGCTGTGGCTTCAGAGGGTGCAAGCCCCAAGCCTTGGCAGTTTCCATATGTTGTTGAGCCTGCAGTTGCACAGAAGTCAAGAATTGAGGTTTGAGAACTTCCACCTAGACTTCAGAGGATGTATGGAAACACATGGATGTCCAGACTGAAGTTTGCTGCAGGGGTAGAGCCCTCATGGAGAACTTCTGCTAGGGCAGTGTGGGAGGAAAATGTGGAGTCAGAGCCCCCACACAGAGTTCCTACTGGGACACTGCCTAGTGGAGCTGTGAGAACAGGGCCACCATCCTGTACCCCAGAAATGGTAGATCCACGGACAGCTTGCACCCTGCACCTGGAAAAACCGCAGGCACTCAATGACAGCCTGTGAAAGCAGCAAGGAGTGGGGGGCTGTACCCTGAAAAGCCAAAGGGGTAGAGCTGCCCAAGGCCATAGGAACTCACCTCTTGCATCAGTGTGAGCTGGATATGAGACATGGAGTCAAAGGAGATCATTTTGAGCTTTCAGATTTGACTGCCCTACTGGATTTTGGACTCACATGGGGCCTGTATCTCCTTCATTTTGGCCAACTTTTTCCACTTGAAATGGGTGTATTTACTCAATGCCTGTACCCCTATTATATCTAGGAAGTAACTAACTTGCTTTTGAATTTACAGGCTTACAGGTGGAAGGGACTTGCCTTGTCTCAGATGAGACTTTGACTTGGACTTTTGAGTTAATGCTGGAATGAGTTAAGACTTTGGGGAACTGTTGGGAGGGCATGATTGTGTTTTGAAATGTGAGGACATGAGATTTGGGATGGGCCAGGGCATAATGATGTGGTTTGGCTGTGTCCCCACCCAAATCTCATCTTGAATTGTAGTTCCCATAATCCCCATGTGTCAGGGGAGCAACAAGTGGGAGCCAATTGAATCATGGAGTCAGTTACCTCCATGCTGTTTTCATGATAGAGAGTGAGTTCTCACCAGATCTGATGGTTTTATAAGGATCTTTCCCCCCTTCATTCTGCACTTCTTTTTCCTGCCATCATGTGTGGAAGGATGTGTTTGCTTCCTTTTCCACCATGATTGTAAGTATTGTGAGGCCTCCCCAGCCCTGTGGAACTGAGTCAACTAAACCTGTTTCCTTTATAAATTACCCAGTCTTGGGCAGTTTTTATAGCAGCATGAGAATGAACCAATACATTTTAATAGACACTTTCTATTGTAATTTAGAGTGTTCAGAAAATATGATATCGGGGGAACCTGCCTCCAATAGTCACGTAGGTTCTTTTCTATTTTTCCTAAGTGTTGGCCGGTCTGAGAAATAAAGGGACAGAGTACAAAAGAGAGAAATTTTAAAGCTGGGTGTCCGGGGGAGACATCACGTATCGGCAGGTTCCATGATACCCCCTGAGCCATAAAACCAGCAAGTTTTTATTAATGATTTTCAAAAGGGGAGGGAGTGTACGAATAGGGTGTGGGTCACAGTGATCACATGCTTCACAAGGTAATAAGATATCACAAGGCAAATGGAGGCAGGGCGAGATCACAGGACCACAGGACTGCGGCAAAATTAAAATTGCTAATGAAGTTTCGGGCATGCATTGTCATTGATAACATCTTATCAGGAGCCAGGGTTTGAGAGCAGACAACCGGTCTGACCAAAATTTATTAAGTGGGAATTTCCTCGTCCTAATAAGCCTGGGAGTGCTACAGGAGACTGGGGCTTATTTCATCCCTACAGCTTCGACCATAAAAGATGGCCACCCCCTGAAGCGGCCATTTCAGAGGCCTACCCTCAGGGACACATTCTCTTTCTCAGGGATGTTCCTTGCTGAGAAAAAGAATTCAGTGATATTTCTCCCATTTGCTTTTGAAAGAAGAGAAATATGGCTCTGTTCCGCCCAGCTCACTGGCAATCAGAGTTTAAGGTTATCTGTCTTGTTCCCTGAACATTGCTGTTATCCTGTTCTTTTTTCAAGGTGCCCAGATTTCATATTGTTCAAGCACACATGCTCTACAAACAATTTGTGCAGTTAACGCAATCATCACAAGGTCCTGAGGTGACATACATCCTTCTCAGCTTAACTCATTTCAGCATTAACTAAAAAGTCCAAAGTCTTATCCAAGACAAGGCAAGTGCCTTCTGCCCATGAAACTGTAAAATCAAAAGCCAGTTAGTTATTTCCTAGATACAATGGGGTTACAGGCATTGGGTAAATACAGTCATTCCAAATGGGAGAAATTGGCCACAACAAAGGGGCTACCGGCCCCATGCAAGTTCAATATCCAGCAGGGCAGTCAAATCTTAAAGCTCAAAAATGATCTCTTTTGACTCCATGTCTCACATCCAGGTCATGATGATGCAAGAGGTGGGTTTCCATGGTCTTGGGCAGGTCTGCCTCTGTGGCTTTTCAGGGTACAGCCTTCCTACCAGCTGCTTTCACAGGCTGGTGTTGAGTGTCTGTGGTTTTTCTAGGTGAACAGTGCAAGCTGTTGGTGGTTCTACCATTCTGGGGCCTGGAGGGCAGTGGCCCTCTTCTCACAGCTCCACTAGGTGGTGCCACAGTAGGGACTCTGCCTGGGGGCTCTGAACCCACATTTCCCTTCTGCACTGCCATAGCAGAGGTTCTCCAGGAGAGCCCCAACCCTGCAGCAAACGTCTGCCTGGACATCCATGTGTTTCCATACATCCTCTGAAATCTAGGCAGAGGTTCTCAAACCTCAATTCTTGACTTCTGTGCACCTGCAGCTCAACACCACGTGGAGCTGCCAAGGCTTGGGGCTTGCACCTTCTGGAGCCATGGTCTAAGCTGTACCTTGGCCCCTTTTAGTCAGCCAAGTGGCTGGAGTGGCTGGGACTTAGGGCACCAAGTCCCTAGATTCACCACAGTAGGAGGACCCTGGGCCCAGCTTACAAAATAATTTTTTTCTCCTAGACCTCCAGGCGTGTGATGGGAGGAGCTGCTGTGAAGACCTCTGAAATGTCCTGGAGATATTTTCCCCATTGTCTTTGGGGTTAACATTCACCTCCTTGTTACTTATGAAAATTTCTGCAGCTGGCTTGAATTTCTCCTCAGAAAATGGGATTTTCTTTTCTATTGCATTGTCAGGCTGCGATTTTCTGAACTTTTATAGTCTCCTTTTCTTATAAAACTGAATGCCTTTAACAGCACCCAAGTCACATCTTTAATGCTTTGCTGCTTAGAAATTTCTTCTGCCATATACCCTAACTAATCTCTCTCAAGTTTGAAATTCTGGAGATCTCTGCAGCAGGAGCAAAATGTCACCAGTCTCTTTGGTAAAACATAACAAGAGTCACCCTTGCTCCAGTTCCCAAAAAGTTCCTTATTTCCATGTGAGACCACCTCAGCCTGGACTTTATTGTCCATATTGCTGCCAGCATTTTGGGCAAAGCCACTCAATAAATCTCTAGGAAGTTCCAAACTTTCCCACATTTTTCTGTCTTCTTCTGAGCCCTCCAAATTGTTCCAACCTCTGCCTGTTACCCAGTTCCAAAGTCGCTTTTATATTTTGGGGTATCTTTTCAGCAGTGCCCCACTCCTGGTACCAATTTACTGTATTAGTCCATTTTCACACTGCTGATAAAGACATACTCGAGACTTGGCAATTTACAAGAGAAAGAGGTTTAATGGACTTACAGTTCCACATGGCTGAGGAGGCCTCACAATCATGGCAGAAGGCAAGGGGGAGCAAGTCACATCTTACATGAATGGTGGCTGGCAAAGAAAGAGAGCATGTGCAGGGAAACTCCCATTTTTAAAATCATCAGATCTCATGAGACTTATTCACTATTACAAGAACAGTACGGGAAAGACCTGCCCCCATGATTCAATTATGTCCCACTGGATCCCTCCCACAACATATAGGAATTATGGGAGCTACAAGATGAGATTTGGATGGAGACATACAGCCAAACCACGTCAGTTGGGGTAGACAACCCTGTGCTGTCAGTCATATAAATGTATATCACATACAATTATATACAGCATATAATACTTGATAATGATAATAAATGACTATGTTATTAATTTATGTGTTTACTATACAACTTACAGCCCCATAAGCTCCATTCATGGTAAGTGCTCTATAAAGGTGTACCATTTTTTATCTTTCATATAGTATTTTTTGCTGTACCTTCTCTATGTTTAGGTATCTTCAGATACATAAATACTTACCATTGTGTTTCAACTGCCTACAGCATTCAGTAGAGTAACATGCTGCACAGACTTGTAGCATAGGAGCAATAAGCTATACCATATAGCCTAGGTATGCAATAGAGTTTACCATCTAGGTTTGTGTAAGTACAGTTTATACTGTTTGCAAAGTGATGAAATGCCTAACAACACATATCTCAGAACACATCCCCATTGATAAATAATACATGACTCTATATAAAGTCATATCAGAAGACAAAATATTAATTAAAAGTCTTCCACATCAAAAATCTCTGAATCAAAAGCTTTTAATGATAAATCTTATCAACATCTAATAAAATATTCATGCTAATTCTTCAAAATGACTTCCAAAAATAGAAGCAACACTCCCCAATTTACTCTATGAGGCCAGGAGTGCCATAATACCAAAGCTGGACAAAAGTGTTGCAAGAAGACTATAGAGAAAAATCCCTAATGACTACAGACACAGAAATCCTTATTAAATACTAGGAAACTTATTCCAGGAACATAATAAACATGATTATATACCATAGCCAAGTGAGATTTTATTTTCATAAATGCAATGTTAGCTTAACATCTAAAAGTCAATTAAGATAATACACAATATTACTTGAATACATGACAAAAAGAACATTTCGATAGACACAGAAAAACACTTGACAAAAATCCAACATACATTGTGATAAAAAAAAAAACACAGAACGCTACTAATAGAAAAAAAGTGAGTTCTGCTAAAAGCCATCTATAAAAACCTACAACTAGCATTATACTTGATGGTGAAAGACTGAGTACTTTACTGATAAGTTTGGGAATAGGACCATAATTTCCACTTTTAACCCTCTATCCAACACTGTACTCCAGCCAGGGAAATTGTACTGGAAAGTAAAATAAAATTGTCCAGTTTGAATAAAAAAAGTAGAACTGTGTTTCATTGCACACAACGTAATCTTCTATATAAAAATTTGTCAGGAATTTACTAAAACTCACTAGAACTAAGAAATTCATCCATGTCACAAGATACAAGATCAACATGTAAATTGAATTGTATTTTTATATACTAGCAAACAACTATCTGAAAATTGAATAAAGGAAACAATTCCATTTATAATAGATCAAAAAGAAAGAATATTCATGGATAATTTTTTAAATTAAATTTATGTTCCAGGATACATGTGCAGGACGTGCAGATTTGTTGCATAGCTAAATGTGTGCCATAGTGGTTTGCTGCACCTCTCAACCCATCACCTAGATATTAAGCCCCACCTGCATTAGCTATTTATCCTGAACCTTTCCCTCCCCCCAGCCCCCCAACAGGCCCTAGTG
Organism: Homo sapiens; assembly: GCF_000001405.40. Lineage (NCBI taxonomy): Eukaryota > Metazoa > Chordata > Mammalia > Primates > Hominidae > Homo > Homo sapiens. Next base: position 31,583,214 of record NC_000016.10, read on the forward strand.
TTTGTTGTTTCCCTCTCTGTGTCCATGTATTCTCACTGTTCAGCTCCCACTTGTAAGTGAGAACATGTGGTGTTTGGTTATCTGTTCCTGTTTTAGTTTGCTGGACATGGATAATGGCTTGCAGCTCCATCCACGTCCCTGCCAACAATATAATCTCATTCCTTTTTATGGCTGCATAGTATTACATGGTGTGTATGTACAACATTTTCTTTATCCACCCTATCATTGGTGGGCATTTGGATTGACTCCATGTTTTTGCTATTGGGAATAGTGCTGTAATGAACATATGCATGGATGTATCTTTATAATAGAATGATTTATATTCCTTTGGGTATATACCCACTAATGGGATTGCTGGGTGAAATGGTATTTCTGGTTCTAGGTCTTTGAGGAATTGCCACACTGTCTTCCATAATGGTTGAACTAATTTACATTCCCACCAACAGTGTAAAAGCGTTCCTATTTTTCCACAGCCTTGGCAGCATCTGTTGTTTCTTGACTTTTTAATAATCACCATTTTGACTGGCATGGCATGGTATTGCATTGTGGTTTTGATTTGCATTTCTCTAATGATCAGTGATGAGAATGTTTGTTGCTTTTTAAAATGTTTGTTGGCTGAAAAAGTCATCTTTTGAGAAGTATCTGTTGATGTCTTTTGTCCACTTTTTAATGGGATTGCTCTTTTCTTGTAAATTTGTTTAACTTCCTTGTAGATCCTGGCTACTAGACCTTGTCAGATGGATAGATTGCAAAAATTTTCTCCCATTCTGTAGGTTGTCTGTTCACTCTGATAATAGTTTCTTTCACTGTGCATAAACTCTTTAGTTTAATGAGATCCCATTTGTCAAGTTTTGCTTTTGTTGCAATTGCTTTTAATATTTTCATCGTAAAATCTTTGCCTGTGCCTATGTCCTGAATGGTATTGCCTAGATTTTCTTCTAGGGTTTTTATAATTTTTGGTTTATATTTAAGTCTTTAATCCATCTTGAGTTAATTTTTATATAAGGTGTAAGGAAGAGGTCCAGTTTCAATTTTCTGCATATGGCTAGCCAGTTTTCCCAGCACTATTTATTAAATAGGGAATCCTATCCCCATTGCTTGTTTTTGTCAGGTTTGTCAAAGATCAGATGGTTGTAGATGTGGGGTCAATTTCCGAGGTCTCTATTCTGTTCCACTGGTCTATATGTCTGTTTTAGTATCAGTACCACACTCTTTTGGTTTCTGTAACCTTGTTGTATAGTTTTAAATCTGGTAACATGATGACTCCAGCTTTGTTCTTTTTGCTTAGGATTGTCTTGGCAATACAGGCTCTTTTTTGGTTCCATGTGAATTTTAAAGCAGTTTTTTTTTTTAATTCTGTGAAGAATGTCAATGGTAGTTTAATGGAAATAGCATTGAATCTATAAATTACTTTGGGTGGAATGGCCTTTTTCATTATACTGATTCTTCTAGCCATGAGCATGGAATGTTTTTCCATTTCCTTGTGTCCTCTCTGATTTCTTTGAGCAGTGGTTTGTAGTTCTCCTTGAAGAGGTCCTTCACTTCCCTCGTTAGCTGTATTCCTAAGTATTTTATTCTCTTTGTAGCAATTGTGAACGGGAGTTAATTCATTATTTGGCTCCCTGCTTGTCTCTTGTTTGTGTATAGGAATGCTTGTAATTTTTGCACATTGATTTTGTATCCTGAGTCTTTGCCGAAGTTGCTTATCAGCTCAAGAAGCTTTTGGGCTGAGATGATGGGGTTTTCTAGATATAGGATCATGTCATCAGCAAACAGAGATGGCTTGACTTCCTCTCTTTTTATTCAAATACACTTTATTTCCTTATCTTGCCTGATTGCCCTGGCCAGAACTTCCAATACTATGTTGAATAGGAGTGGTGAGAGAGGGCATCCTTGTTTTTTGCTGGTTTTCAAGGGGAATGCTTCCAGCTTTTGCCCATTCAGTATGATCTTAGCTGTGGGTTTGTCATAAATGGCTCTTATTATTTTGAGGTATGCTCCATCAATACTTACTTTACTGAGACTTTTTAACATGAAGGGATGTTGAATATTATCGAAGGCCTTTTCTGCATCTATTGAGATAATCACTTGGTTTTTGCCTTTAGTTTTGTTTATGTGATGAATTATGTTTATTGATTTGCATATGTTGAACCAGCCTTGCATCCTAGGGATGAAGCCGACTTGATCATGGTGAATAAGCTTTTTGATGTGCAGCTGAATTTGGTTTGCCATGTTTTATTGAGGATTTTTGCATCAATAGTCATCAGGGATATTGGCCTGAAGTTTCTTGCTTTTGTTTTCATTGTATTTCTGCCAGGTTTTGATATCCAGATGATGCTGGCCTCAGAAAATGAGTTAGGAAAAAGTCCGTCCTTTTCATGTTTTTGGAATAGTTTCAGAAGAAATGGTATGAGCTCCTTTTTGTACCTCTGCTAGAATTCAGCCATAAATCCATCTGGTTCTGGGCTTTTTTGGTTGGTAGGCTATTTATTATTGCCTCAATTTCAGAACTTGTTATTGGTCTATTCAGGAATTCAACTTCTACCTGGTTCAGTCTTGGGAGGGTGTATGTGTCCAGGAATTTATTGGTCTTCTAAATTTTCTAGTTTATTTGCTTAGAAGTGTTTACAGTATTCTCTGATGGTTGGTTGTATTTCTGTGGGGTCAGTGGTAATATCCCCTTTATCATTTTTTATTGTGTCCATTTGATGTTTCTCTCTTTTTTTCTTTATTAGTCTTGCTAGTGGTTTATCTATTTTATTTATTTTATTTTTTTCAAAAAACCAGCTCCTGGATTCACTGATTTTTTTGAGTTTTTCATGTCTCTATCTCCTTCAGATCCACTCTGATCTTGGTTATTTCTTGTCTTCTGCTAGCTTTGGGCTTGTTTGCTCCTGTTTCTCTAGTTCTTTTTGTTGTGATGTTAAGGTGTTGATTTGAGATCTTTCTAGCTTTTTGATGTGGGCATTTTAGTCCTATAAATTTCCCTCTTAACATGCTTTAGCTGTGTCCCAGAGATTCTGGTACATTGTCTCTTTGTTCTCATTGGTTTCAAAGAACTTCTTGCTTTCTGCCTTAATTTCATTATTTACCCAGGAGTCATTCAGGAGCAGGTTGTTCAATTTCCATGTCGTTGTGTGGTTTTGAGTGAGTTTCTTAATTTTGAGTTCTAATTTGATTGTGCTGTGGTTGGAGAGACTGTTTGCTGTGATTTCAGTTATTTTGCATTTGCTGAGGAGTGTTTTACTTCCAATTATGTAATTGATTTTAGAGTAAGTATCATGTGGCACTGAGAAGAATGTATATATTCTATTGCTTTTGCATTGAAAGTTCTGTAGATATCTATCAGGTCCACTTGATCCAAAGTTGAGTTCAAGTCCTGAATATTCTTGTTGATTTTCTGTCTTGATCTGTCTAATACTGACAGTGGGGTGTTAAAGTCTCCAACTATTATTGTGTGGGCGTCTACATCTCTTTTAAGTCTCTAATAAGTTGTTTTATAAATCCAGGTGCTCCTATATTGAGTGCACATATATTTAGGATAGTTAGCTTTTCCTGTTGAATTGATTCCTTTACCATTATGTAATGTCCTCATTATCTTCTTTGATCTTTGTTGGTTTAAGGCCTGTTTTGTCAGAAACTAGGATTGCAACCCCTGCTTTTTTCTGCTTTCCATTTGCTTGGTAAATTTTCCTCCATCCCTTTATTTTGAGCCTATATGTGTCTTCACGGTGAGATTTGTCTCTTGAATACAGCACACTGATGGATCTTGATTGACTCTATCCAGCTCGCCATTGTGTGTCTTTAAATTGGGGCATTCAGGCCATTTACACTTAAGGTTAATATTGTTATGTTTGAATTTGATCCTGTCAAATGATGTCAGCTGGTTATTTTGCAGACCTGTTGACATAGTTGCTTCTTAGTGTCATTGGTCTTTGTAGTTCCATGTGTTTTTGCAGTGGCTAGTAATAGTTTTTCCTTTCCATATTTAGTGCTTCCTTCAGGGGCTCTTGCAAGACAAGCCTAGTGGTGACAAATTCCCTCAGCATTTGCTTGTCTGAAAAAGATTTTATTTCTCCTTTGCTTATGAAGCTTAGTTTGGCTGGATACTAAATTCTCAATTTAAAATTCTTTTCTTTAAGAATGTTGAACATTGACCCCCAATCTCTTATGGCTTGCAGTGTTTCTGCTGAGATGTTTGCTATTAGTCAAATGGCCTTCCCTTTGTAGGTGACCTGACCTTTTTCTCTGGCTGCCCTTAACATTTTTTCCTTCATTTTGACCTTGGAGAATCTGATGAGTATGTATCTTGGGATTGATCTTCTCATGGGCTATCTTACTGCAGTTCTCTAGATTTTCTGAATTCAAATGTTGGCTTGTCTTGTTGAGTTGGGGAAGTTCTCCTGGATGATATCCTGAATTATGTTCTCCAACTTGGTTCCATTCTCCCCATCGCTTTCAGGTACCCCAATTAGTTGTAGGTTTGGTCTTTTTACATAATTCCATAGTTAGGTTTTGTTCATTCCTTTTCTTTCTTTTTTCTCTAACCTTATCTTGTTTCAGCAAGATAGGTTTCAAGCTCTGAAATTCTTCCCTCTGCCTGGTCTATGTGGTTAGTGATACTTGTGGTTGCATTTTGACATTCTCGTGTTGTCCATCAGGTCTTTTATGTTCCTCTCTAAACTGGTTGCTCTGTTTAACGGTTCCTTATGATTTATCATGGTTCTTAGCTTGTTTGCATTGGGTTAGAACACACTCCTTTATCTCAGCGAAGTTCACTATTACCTGCCTCCTGAAGCCTATTTCTGTACATTCATCCATCTCAGCCTCCACCCAGCTGCTTGTCCTTGCTGGAGAGGTGTTGTGATCATGTGGGGGAGAAGAGGCCCTCTGGCTTTTTGAGTTTTTAGAGATTTTTGTTCTTTCTCATCTTCATGAGTTTATCTGCCTTCAATCTTTGAGGGTCCTGACCTTTGTACAGGGTATTTATGGTGACTTTTTTGTTGATGCTATTGTTGTTGCTTTCTGTTTGTTTGTTTTTCTTTTAACAGTCAGGGCCCTCTTCCACAGGGCAGCTGTGTTTTGCTGGGGGTCCACTCCAGACCCTTTTGCCTGGATTCCTCCCACACCTGGAGGTGTCATCAGTGGAGGCTGCAGAACAGTAAAGATAGCTGCCTGCTCCTTCCCTCTGGGATCTCTGTCCCAGAGGGGCACTGACCTGATGCCAGCAAGAACTCTCCTATATAAGGTGTCTGGCAATTTCTGTTGGGAGTGGTCTCATCCAGTCAGGAGGGTTGGGATCTGGGACCCACTTAACGAAGCATTCTGGCTGCCCCTTGGCAGAGTCAGTGTGCTGCACTGAGGGGAATCCCACTCATCTGGACTGCCTGAATTCCTCAGAACAAGCAGGCGGATAAGGCTGATCCAAAGAGACTGTGGCTGTCCCTCCCCTCAGGCGTTCAGTCCCGGGGGATCAGAGTTCTGTCCCTAAACCCCTGGCTGGAGTTGCTAAAATTCCTTTAGGGAGGCTCCTCCCCCTCAGTGAGGAGCACTGGGTCAGGGTCTGGCCTAAAGAGGCAGTCTGGCCACAATCTGCCACAGCTGCTGTGCTGCACTGTGGGGAATTCCTTCTGGGTCCAAACTGTCTAGTCTCCCTGGCACCAGCAGGGAAAACATGGCAGTCTGGAGCTGCAGTGATGGCTGCCACCCCTCCCCCCGGGAGCTCAGTCATCTTAGGCAGCAGGCAGCTGCAGTGATAATGGCCACCCCTCTCTCTGAGAACTAGGTAGTCTTAGGTAGTCTCCAGCCAAGTGGCTGCTGAGAATCTGTACAGCTCTGTGCTTGGAACCCAAGGAACTCGTGGCGTGGGCTCATGAGAGGGATCTCTTGATCTGTAGGTTGTACAGATCTGTGGAAAAAGCAATGGTTTCCCAGGCAGGGTAGAAGGATCACTCACCGCCTCCCTTGGATGGGGTTGGGCACTCCCGTTACCCTGTGTGGTTCTCAGGTGGGCCATGGCATTGCCCCACTTTTCCTCACTCTCTGTGGGTCATGTCAACTGTCTAGTCAGTCTCATTGAGAGAACCTGGGTATCTCAGTGCTGGTGCAGGATTCACTTGCAGTTTTCATTCTTCTCAGTGGGAAACTTCAACTGCAGCTGTTTCTAGTCAGCTATCATGACCCCTCCCTCCCACGGATAAATTTAACAAAACAAGTGCAAGGACTTTACACTGGAAGATTTCCTTATGCTAAAACAAATCAAAGAGCTGAATAAATGCAAAGACATCCTATGTTAAATGATAATATTGTAAAGAATACCCCAAAAATTGACCTACAAATTAAATGGAGTCCCTTCAAATTTCAACTATAGTTTCTATGGTTTTTGTAGAAATTGACAAGCTTTCTCAAAATCCACATATATATGCAAAGCAAAGAAAAACCACAAACACAATCCTTAAAGTAATAACAAAATTCAGCGGGGCACGGTGGCTCACACCTGTAATCCCAGCACTTTGGGAGGAGGAGGCGGGCAGATCACCTGAGGTCAGGAGTTCGAGACCAGCCTGACCAACATGGAGAAACCCCTTCTCTACTAAAAATACAAAATTATCTGGGCATGGTGGCACATGCCTGTAATCCCAGCTACTTGGGAGGCTGAGGCAGGAGAATCGCTTCAACCTGCGAGGCAGAGGTTGTGGTGAGTTGAGATAGCGCCATTGCATTCCAGCCTGCGCAACAAGAGTGCAACTCTGCCTCAAAAAAACAAAAAAACAAAACAAAAAAAGAATAACAAAATTCTAAAACTCAATAAAACTAATTTTTATTTACTACAAAGTAACAATAATCAAGCCTGTGGTGGTAGCACAGGGATAGATTCATATAGAACAATGAAATAGGTAGTTTCATTACTAAACATGCATTTATGATAATGTCATTTGAACAAATGTGCCAAGAAATTTCTGAGGAAAGAAAAGTCTTTTCAACAAACTATACTGGAAAGTTGGATATTGGCCTGCAAAATAATGACACTGGACTCCTAACTCAAATCACACATCAAAAAACAAATAACATGCCAACCAACCAACAAACAAAAGTTAAAAAGATCATACACTTAAATGTAATCGCTGAAACTAAAAAATTCTTAGGAGGAATATTAAGGTTTTGCAACCTTGCATTAGGCAATAGTATTTTAGATTTTACACCAAAGGACAATCAAAAAGAGAAAACTATACTTCACCAAATTTAAAATGTTTTATTCTTCAAAAGCCATGAAAATATAAAAATGGAAGTCACTGAATGAGAGAAATCACCCTAGCTGACACTTCAATATGGGATTTTTAGTCTCCAGAATTGAGTACATTTTTGTTTCTAAAGCCAGTTAGCAAGTGGTAATCTGGTAGTGTGGTATGGAAGCCCCAGCAAACTGATAGTCTATTAGAACAAACATAGGATGTCCCCTACAGTATGGCTGAGATGACCACAGAATTGAATCACGTCAATCTTCACCAGCACAGAAAGGCTGCACCATTGTGGGAAACAGCCTTCCTTATGGAATATTATGACAGGTGAGGGCACAGGTTCTGACCTGGCAGGGTTATGATGATATGTTTTATAAGATTAAAAGTTACAGACAAATGTTAGAATAGCCCAAACCCCTCCCTTTTCTGTATAAAGCACCCAATTTAGAGTAATGGTTAAGATTGGAGGTCTGGAAGAGTAGTGGAGCTGCCTGCTACATGGAATACTTGGGGCAAGTTGTGAAAACAAAAAAAACAGCAACAACATGCAAAGATACTCATGGCCTATTGTAAAGTAAAAACAATGCAAAAGTGTTTTCTTTGATATTTCTAGAAGTATGTGAACAGGGACTTTGCACCTAGTCAAGTTGCCACTGGGGACTAATGGAGGCCAGGTTCCTTAGGGAATGAAACTATCAGCCACTAAATTGGCAAAAATATAGGACAGGGCCCAGGGGAGTTTCTATACTCAGGTTTGGGCCCTGGGCCCACTCTGGTCATCTCAGGTCCTTGTCTGTGATGATCCTTCTTGTGCTCACTCTCAAGCTTGCCCAGCAGTGACCATGGTTTGTGATGTGGCGCAACTGTCTGTTGTCCAAGGAGGTAGAATTGGACCTGTTAAACAGCTCTTCACTTATCTCCTCCATGGAATTCTGCAAATAGAGTACCCAGCAAATTGACTGAGAGGTGTTAGTGGCCTGCCTGGCGCTGTTCCCACAAGGAGATACTCTGATTAAAGTTCTGCATTCTAGATTAGGCACAGAAGAGCATCTCCATGAACCTCCAGCCAGGGCAAAAACCACATGACAACTTGAGGTCTCAGAATCAAATCTGAGTAAACAAGCTTAATCCCCAACACTCACCTTCCCATCCTGCCAGCCATGACCTGGGGTATGAACACAGTAGAGTTCCAGCACCTAACAACCTGCTCCTTCCCAGGAAGAGCCTCACCTTACCTTCTGCTCCCCACCCCTACACACATATATGGTGATGAGGAGAGGGTATGAGGTTGTCCAGATGGGATCTCAAGTGAGGATTGGCCTGGAAGTGGCTACCCTGTGGTTACTTTGGGGTACCTCTTGCCAAATGTCCTGAGGCATGGAGGTTGGGGATTGAGAGCTGAGCCAATGAGCCAAATTCTGCATCTTTAGAAAAGGCTCTCACTGAAGCAAGAGCTTTGAAAAGTTGGGATACAGCAGAACATCTTGCTCTCTTGACAGTCTCTGGCTAAGCTTGATAGGAGGCTGCCTTCAGAAATGTGAGTGCCTGGTTACCAAAGTTTTAAGTTCTGTTGGGGTCTTTCACCAAGGAAGTGAGGTCACTTCTTCAAGGTTTCATTATTCTTTTACTAAGACCTACCCATAGGCTTCTCTGGGATGCTGACTGCTCATCTTCCTTCCCCATGTTATTTTATTACCTGCACACATTTATGCAAACACAGACCCCTCTCACCCAGCCTCTGAGAAGACTCAGTGAAGCCAGGACCACAGGTTAAGAAAAGCTAGGTCAGAACCTCTTTTCAATAAATTTACCAGTTATGTCATCCTAGATATGTCATTGTGCTTCTGGGGGACTCCACAGTCTCCCAACCTGCACAATAGAGATCATACTAGTTACCTAGTTCTAAGATGACTCATCAGGAGTTACCTAATTCTAAGGTAACTCATCAGGGCTATGTGAAATAATACAATGATTGTGAGTTGGTATCACATGTAGCTAATGTATAAACACAGAGATGGGAGAATTACATGGGGTGGGACAACTGAAACATGCCTGGGTTTTATCAGTTGCATGTTGGGAAAGTTGCTTCCCCTCCTGGTCTCATTTCCCAAGATCCACCATAAGGGAGTTGAAATTAAATAAAATTTCAATAATGTCATCCTGAGGCAATAAACTTTCCAATATCTTCTCATTCTATTTAGAATCAGGTCCATCTGTCTCACCTTGGTCTCTGTGGTGAACCGCCTCCAGGATGGTTCACGAAGATCCCCATTTCCCAGTATACACACCGTGTGTAACCAGTAAGTGGTTAGTGACTCACCTCTAGGCAAAATAATACAACTAAAGATATGGAATGTCACTTCCAATATTTAATTACTAAAATATTTTCATTTACCTCTTACTTTCTCTCTCTCTGGTACCCTTATTTCCTTCCTTCCTTCCCCCACCCTGCTGTGGCATATACTTTGCTCTGGAGAAGCAAGCTCCAATGATTTGAGCTTCTCTACTTACAGGCTTGTGTGACAAAGAATGGAGGGAATACCTCGACCAACAGAAAGGAACCCAGGCCTGACTCCAAACTGAATGATGCCACAACTAACCAGTATGAGTTTTGGAAGCCCATCCTTCCCCAGTTAAGTAATAGTTGAGACCACAGCTCATGAGAAACCCTGAGGCACACACCCTAACTAGATTTTCTGGGGAGTTGGTGTGAAAGACTCAGGAAGTATATTGTAGGCAAATGAGTCTTTGGGACAATCAACGAATGACCCAAAGCTTCCTCTGTCTTAGCATTGAGAATATGACTAAAACTTCATTGTGTCAAAAAAACTATTACATCTAAACAAAAACAGTGAAGCATGCCATTTGACATTGAATTGTATCAACATGACATATTAGCCTACCTCCTCTTTTTAATAAATCTTTAGAGAGGACAGAAAAATGTGAATAACATACCAAAATAATTTAGTAAATGAAGAATGGTATGAACAAATAGAAATTTGATAAAGCAGAGTGGTTAGTACTTAGTAGCCCCTACAATGTGTTAGGAATTATTCTAAGCCAATTACACATGGCCTTAATACCTGAAACATGTAACACAGAAATTCATGAAAAATGACAAACTGACCCATTTACAATCAATCATATTAGGTAACATTAAGACCATCATAGAAATAAAATGTTTTGGTATACAGTAACTAAATGAACATAAACATGCTAAATAACTTTATTAAAGTTTGACTAATTAGGTAGAGACAAATGGGTAGCATTTTTCACCAGTAAAGATAAGATACATATTATATTCCAGTACCAGAGGTGAAAAAAATAAATGGCAAAGTGTAGACCTAACAATGTCATGAATTTTATGATAGCAGAAATTCAAGAGGTCACTATTTTCTAGGCAACTAAAATGACTCTGGAAATGATAAATTGTAACCAACAAGTACTACCTAGCTATACACAAACGTCCCTTGTCTGTTTGAATTAATTTATAGAATAAGTAGAAATCCAAATGTATTCTTTTGTAAATTCAGGAACATGCTAAAAAGGAAGCAGAGTGATTAAAGCCAAAAGACCTGAATTCAGGTAAATAATTTTATCAATATTAACTTAATGTTATAGAAAAACAGTAATTCTGGCTGTATCTAGATCAGTTTCTGTTCACTGGCATGAAGTATATATTTTCAGAAATGTGCAAAAACCAAATTTTTAAGTATTAAAAAAACCTACTGTTTACAAATTACTATTACCACATGTTCTGAATGAAGAAAAGGGATATCTCATAAGATTCTGCTGTATGCTACACAATGTCTATTGAAATATTTTACTCATGTACACTGGATATTTGTGCTTTTAGGAAAAATGCTATATATTATTACATATTTTAATATAGACAACTAAAAAATCCTCAAGAAGTTACAAGAACCTTTAAGTTGCTGAATGGAGTTAAAGGAAAGTATAAGAACTTCACAGAAGCAGAAGTAAATCGAGAGAATGACCCAGAGTAGTCAAACTAAGAAAAAAATGCTTCCTTCAGATACTCACTGATCACAAGGATGTCAAATCTATGTGTGTTTTTCATCATGTTCCCAGGGAAAACGAAAGAAACACTGGAAATAATATGACTATAGACACCCCAAATATGGTATCTCCCAAAAGAGAGAACCAAAGGAAAAACGGAGTGACATAATAAGGAAGAAATGTCTGAAGAAAAAATATGCAACAGCTTTGCACATTGGAATTATATTTAAAATGTTTAAATGAATACAATGAAAAGTAGAAAATCAATGTTTATTTTTGTGGAAAGAACAAGAAACTAAAGTTTAAAAGCCACATTTGAACGACAGCACAATAGAATATGAATAATACAAAATTAAGTTACCAGACAATGTATAGGTTCACCACTAAATTAAACAGAGATAAGAGGACCAGTGAACTAGAATACTGAGCAGAATGAATACAGCAAAATACAGTAGAAATAAAATATCATAAAATTTTAATTTTAATTAAAGTCTAGAATGAGGAGCAAAACATGCCTAATTGTTTCACTAGAACAATAAGTATGAATTGGCCACAGCAAATAAGGCCAGTCAGATCCAAGGAATGGGTAAACAGAATCTTTCCCTCCATGGGAGTAGCTAAAAGCACACATTGCAAAGGGCATGGATAGAGAGAGGAATGAATTGTTCCCATTATTGCAATCAGTATCATTATGCTTTGTCTTGCATAACTGTTCCAAGTCAAGTAACTAGTCTATTAAGAGGCTGGGATGGGACTCAGGGTCAACTCTGCCTGACTCCAAAGCCCATGAACGCCATGGGTCCTTGAGGTTCTGGAGAGTGCCACTTCTGTGACAGAAGTAGGATTCCTTAGACATTCTCATCCATCTACTACTCTTCACTATTAGGAATAATCTCCTTTGGACAACGCTTCTGAAGCAACTTGGAAGGTCTTCAAATAATTTGAGAAAGTGACTGAGGGCTGAGTTTAGGAAATCAAGGCCCAACATTATTCATTTCTTTTTTTTTTGAGACGGAGTTTTTGCTCTTGTTGCCCAGGTTGGAGTGCTATGGCGCCATCTCAGCTCACCACAACCTCCGCCTCCTGGGTTCAAGCAATTCTCCTTCTTCAGCCTCCCAAATAGCTGGGATTACAGGCATACGCCACCACACTCGGCTAATTTTGTATTTTTAGTAGAGACAGGGTTTCTCCATGTTGGTCAGGCTGGTCTCGAACTCCCGACCTCAGGTGATCCGCCCACGTTGGCCTCGCAAAGTGCTGGGATTACAGGTGTGAGCCACTGCCCCCGGCCTAGTCATTTCTTATCATCAGAAAAATTGGAAAACACATAAGAACACACTCCACGTGTTTGCAAATTCTCACGTTTGCAAATTCATTTTAGTATTTTCAGGTTACTTATGCTTTCAGCACAGATTAAATCAAATTACTGTGCCTGAAACAACCTCTTACTCTAAAAGCAAGTGACATAAAAAATAGATCTGTAGAGAGACATTTCCTCCTGCTGCAATTTCCAAGACTCCAAATGCAGGAGTGGTCATAGGTTAAATACTTGCAGCACACATGGAAATCACACACAGCTAATGCATCCCTCACCCTGAAACAGTGGGTCTCACCCCTGGCTCCACATTACAGTCACATGCGGAGGCCCTACAATTCCCAAAACCTAAATTGCAACAGACCAATAAAATCAAAATCCCTGGAGTAGGGCCCAGACGTCAGTATTGTTTAAAGTTCTCCAAGTGATTACAGAGTTTAGCCAAGTCCCCAAAGTACTGCTTCAAGCCAAAATTTTTTGGTGTACTAGTTGCAAATTGTCTCTTGAATGAATGTAAAATGTTTACTCCTGAGTTGCAGCCTTTCAGTCATACCTGTATTATCTACTCACCTTTGCAGGAACTGACCTTTGCTACTCCTTTTGTTCCTGATCAACATGCTCCACATGTACTGAGTGCATACTATGCCCAGGGTCCTGTGCTAGGTGTCCTGGCTTTCAGAGCATCACTGTGGGGAAAAGACTTTGCTGGGAAAAAGTTTCATCTCAAAAAATCAAAAGCATGCCACTTAGCAAATGAAGGCAAAAATGGAAAGACCCAAGAGGTGCCCATGAGATTAGGACGTTGATACTTTAGAATATTCAAACCCATCTGCTAATGCCATGAGATTGTGTTCCACTTTACAACAAAAGAAAATGCTGCTAACATTCTGAGATAGTGAGTTAGGATTCTGGTGCAAATATGTAATATTTAATTTTTTATTGATATACCACATTACATACAGAAACATTCATGTAAAGCTGTTTGGATTATAACAGATAATTTACATAACTGAGGAATAGAACCAGCTTTACTCCTACCCAGAAAATAAATTTCTCCCTCCCTCCCTGTCCAAAGGTAAACAAGATCCTGAGGTAACAGTGTAAATGAATATTGTACATTTATACAAATGCTATTAAAGACATAAAAATAAAATATATAGACCTGCCCCCAGCTTCAACTACTAATCATGTACCACTTCTGCTTCATCTATACTTCAACCCTTTACCAACCCAACTCACTTAATTTTTTTAAGATTTTTTTTGTGAAGATGTACATACATTGCAAGGCATAAACTTTAACTGTACATTTCAGACAAATAAGTAGACCCGTATAAACTTCACCCCTTCAAAGCAATATTTTCATCCTCAGAAATTCACTTGTCTTTTGTCCCAGGTAATTTTTTTTCTCAAGCAGAGATTATCTCTGCATTGATTTCTTTCACCATAGGATTGTTTTGCCTGAAATAATAAAATATATAAATACATAAAGTACAATTTTGTGTCCAACTTTTCTCTCATTGAGCAGGTTTATGAATTTTATCCAGGATATATGCTTGGTTTTTTGTATTCCTGAGCTGTATTTTGTTCTAAAAGCTATACAATTAGTTCATTTTCTTATTGATGGACATTTTGGTTGTTTCCTGTTTTGGCTATTATGACTAAAAGATAAATAAATATTCTTGTGCAAATATATATTTTATATTATGATTCCTTTATTAGCATTGACATTACACTTCTTTGCATGTTTTAGTGGTTACTGCAGGGAATACAATACGAATCTTTAACATATCCACCAAATCTACTTTTAGAGTTAATACTATGCTGTCTTAAATATAAAACATGAAAAGTTTGCTGCAGAACAGTTCCATTTATCTTCTTATTCCATGTCTTATAAATTTTACGACTACAAATTATAAATCCTACAATACAGTGTTATAATTTGTTTCAAACAGTCACAAGTCTAAGAAATTAAGAAAAAAGGTATTAATATTAGATGGCAGATACTTAAAATATGCAAATACACTTTTCTTTTCTTTTTTTTTTGAGATGGAGTTCTGCTCTTGTTGCTCAGGCTGGAATGCCATGGCACGACCTTGATTCACGGCAACCTCTGCCTACCAGGTTCAAGCAATTCTCCTGCCTCAGCCTCCCGAGTAGCTGGGATTACAGGTGCCAGCCACCACGCCCAGCTAATTTTTGTATTTTTATTAGAGAGGGGGTTTCACCATGTTGGCCAGACTGGTCTTGAACTCCTGACCTCAGGTGACCCACCAGCCTCGGCCTCCCAAAGTGCTGGGATTACAGGCATGAACCACCACGGCTGGCCCAAATACACTCTTTAGTGTTTAAGTTTTTCCTGAAATTTTTGAATTCCTCAGGCACTCTTCCCTACAGTAATTATTACTGTGATGTTCTAGTGTTGATTTATTTTGCACTATCCAACTACATTGATTTGCATTTTGAATACTGTAAGATTTCCTTCCTTTTTTCCTTATTATATCTAATCTCTTTTATGTCAGCAGAGATGTGTGAATATTGCTTTATTCTCTGGGCCATAATACAAAGCTGTCATTATTTATTGCTCATATTGTTGCAGCTTGGACCATTGGGAGGTCTTTCAGGTTGGCTCCCTTTGAAAAGTCCCCATCAATTTTATTAAGCACTTTTTTCTTTGTGGCTTTACAAGATACTGTAGCTCAACTTGTATTTTTCAACTTCAGCCCTAGAATTATCAATTTTTACATGTAGCCTTGGTTCCTTTTAATGAATGGTGTTTAGAAACCAAGATTGTATACCTAGGTGGGCTCATTGATTACAGTTGCACACCACCACAGCCAGCTAATTTTTGTATTTTCAGTAGAGATGAGGTATCGCCATGTTGGCCAGGGTGGTCTCAAACTCCTGACCTCAAATCCTCCCACCTCAGCCTCCCAAAGTGCTGGGATTACAAGTGTGAGCCACCGTGCCTGGCCAGATGACAGATAATTTGTAACACAATGAGATTCATTTGTCACTGTCTGCATTACATCTGAATTTCCCCAACACCCTGGTTAATTTTTTAAAATTTGCATGGAGTAAAATTTACTCTTTGTGGTGTACAGTTTATTGGGTTTTGACAACTGTGTAGTCACATATCTATTTGCACAGTACCACACTAAACTGTTTGATCATCCTGCAAATTTTTTCTTGTTGCCCCTTTGTAATCAATGCCTGTCCTCCTCCCATTCTTTGGCAACCACTAATCATTTTCCATCCCTCTAATCTTTTATGCAATGTCATAAAATAGAATCATATAATATATAGCCTTGTTGATCTGACAGCCTTAGAGAAATGTATTTAAGATTCATACATGTAGCAGTGGAGATCGACAGTTTGTTCTTTTTGTTAACAACAAAAATTTTTTTGTATAGACATATCACAGTTTATTATCCATTGACTTACTGAGGGACATAAGATTTATTTCTAGCTTTTTGCAAATATGACTATAGTGGCAACAAATATCCACAAACAGGTTTTAATCACTAGTTTTCAGTTTTGCATAATAAATGCCTAGGGTTGGGACATCCGGTTCAAATAATAAGTATATGACTAATCTTATAAAAAATGGTTAAACTATTTTTCAAAGCTACTATGTCATTTCACATTCCTAATTTGAGTAGCTCCAAATCTTAACCAGCACTTGGTATTCACATTTAAAACAATTTTTTTTTTTTTACCATTCTCATAGGTGTGGATATTTCACTGTGGCTTGGTTTCCTTTTTTAAAGAATTCTGCTGAATACAGAATCTTGTGTTGATACTAGGTTTTCCTATCTGAACTTAAAAAATGTAATTCCATTGTCATTTGCAACTATTACTTTTTATGATATATTATACTGCACTGAAATTATTTCTCTTTTTATATAATTTGTTGCTTTGTCCTGGCTGTTTTCAAGATTTTTTATTTATCTTTGGCACTGCTTTTACTTCAACTAAATGGTCAGAATTTTGTATTGTAACTAAATAGATCACTATAGAGTTACTAATGTCTTCAGATTAATTTCGAAGCACCATTAAATTTTTTTTTTTGAGATGGAGTCTCACTCTGTCACTCAGGCTGGAGTGCAGTGGCATGATTTTGGCTCACTGCAACTTCTGCCTCCCAAGTTCAAGCAATTCTCCTGCCTCAGCCTCCTGAGTAGCTGGGATTGCAGATGTGCGCCACCATGCCCAGCTAATTTTTGTATTTTTAGTAGAGATGGGGTTTCACCATGTTGGTTAGGCTGGTCTCAAACTCCCAACCTCAGGTTATCCACCCGCCTCGGCCCCCCAAAATGCTGGGATTACTGGCGTGAGCCACCATGCCTGGCCAGCACCATTAAATTTTATGAAAACATTCTTAAAATCCATGATAACATATAACAATATTTTATAAGCTTTCAAATAAGAAAATCATATAATTATTCTTACAGGAATCATAGGCAAGAAAAAAGGATTTGTATAGGATAGGGTCTGAACCCAGAAGACATTAGATTTATGAGAGAAAAATTCAGTGTACAACAGAGAAACTAATTTTGCTTTGAGAATTTGTGAGGTTTCTAGCATGGTAGTAAATCAACAGTTCTCAAATTTCCTGTTGTGATCCATGATTTTCTTTTCCATTTGAAGATAGGTAAACACATGCATTTTTTCCTGTATAGTTCTCTTACACCTTTTTCCTTCTATGTTGATACATCTGTATATTCCATTCAATGTAAGCTAAAGCCAAGAAAAATCTCTAAGTGTTCACACTGAAAAAGGGCATGTGCAAAGAAAAACACTGAATAAAATTTTATAAGCAATGATTCAGGATTGTAAAAGTATGGATTTTAAGTATACTCCCATATAATCTTTATTATAACTGTTATAGTACATCAGTAGCTACAAAAAGCAGGAAAGAATATAATATAGTAACTATGAAAATGTTATCAATATTATTGGAAATTGAAGTCCTCTGGAAAATTGATATGAAATGTATTTAGAATCTTTCAGATATGAGTTTTCACTTTTATATCTGTGAGGCATTTTTATTTTTAACACATCAAATAATATTCAAAGTTACTACTTCATTGTATTATGCTGGTATTTCAAATAACTGACCAGTTTTTTTCTACTTAAGGAACAATTGATGTAATAAATAAACTCAGAATATTCTTCTTTTATTTTAGTATAGAATAATAATGCCCTAAATATGTACTATATGCTTACATCCATTACTGTTTTATGATTCAAACACAAAGAGCATCTTTTAGATTTTCTTCATGTATTCTCCATTTACCATTAAACTTCCATGAAATTAAATTGATATTAATAATATTCATTTACTATAGAACAACCTCTCATAGCTCTGATGTAGAAAAAATAGACTATATGTTTTTATATAAACACTAGGCATTAAGGTATAACAACTAATTTGAGAATTGAATTATTGTTTGCTTTATACAAATCTCAAATGTTTTCAATACAAATAACGTGCTCACTGAATAATTACTTGTCCACACATCAATGTTTTTGCTCATTTGAAACACACAACAAAATAAATAACTGCTTTGGCTTTAGAGTAATCCTCCTTAATAAATACTGCTATTTAATGTAAAGTCTGGGGAACTGTGCTTTATTCCTTTTTTGTGTAAGTCCTGACACATTCAGACTTGAGTTTTGATTAAATACTTCCTCCCATTTATTCAGTCTGTAAAGTCTGTTTCCCTATAAACTCTATGGTGATTTTTAAGTTCTAAATTTTGGATAAAACTCTTTCCACATTTACCACAACTATAGAGATTCTCTAGTATGAATTCTCTTACGTTGAGAAAGGGTCGAGCATCGATTAAATAACTTGCCACATTCTTTACATTTGTAGGGTTTCTCTCCAGTATGAATTATTCAATGTCGAGTAAGGCATGAACTATAAATAAAGGCTTTGCCACATTCTTTGCATTTATAGGGTTTTTCTCCAGTATGAATTCTCTGGTGGACAAAAAGACTTGAGGAACAGGAAAAAGATTTACCACATGATTTACATTTGTAAAGTTTTTCTCTAGTATGAATTCTCTGATGTTTAGTTAGGTATGACCTACAGTTAAAGGCTTTGCTGCATTCCTTACGTTTGTAGGGTTTCTCTCCGGTATGACTACTTCGATGTCGAGTAAGGCGTGAATTACGATAAAAGGCTTTGCCACATTCTTTGCATTTATAGGGTTTTTCTCCAGTATGAATTCTCTGGTGGACAATAAGACTTGAGGAATGAGAAAAAGATTTGCTATGTGATTTACATTTGTAAAGTTTTTCTCCGGTATGAATTCTCCGATGTTTAGTTAGGTATGACCTACAGTTAAAGGCTTTGCTGCATTCCTTACATTTGTAGGGTTTCTCTCCAGCATGAATTCTCTCGTGCTGAGTAAGGGCTGAAGACATTTTAAATGATTTACCACATTCTTTACATTTGTAAGGTTTCTCTCCAGTATGAATTCTCTGATGCACAAGAAGATTTGAAGAATAAGTAAAACATTTGCTACCCACTTTACATTTGTAAAGTTTTTCTCCAGTGTGAATTCTCTGATGTCTAGTAAAATATGAACTAGAATTGAAGGCTTTGCCACATTCTTTACATTTGTATGGTTTCTCTCCAGTATGAATTATTTGATGTTGAGTAAGGTGTGAACGATGGTTAAAGGCTTTTTCATATTCTTTACATTTGTAAGGTTTCTCTTCATTATGGATTATTTTATGTTTTCTTAGACTTGACAATTTACTAAGGATTTTCTCACCGTTATTACATCTGTGTGACTTTTCTCCAATATGGATTCTCTGAGGCTGAGTATGTTTTGATGACTGGATAAAAGTTTCTACACAATTGTTACATTTGGCAGCCTTCTCTTGACTATGGATACTCTGATGGACATGGTTGGTGCATTTATGTGAGACTTTCTCACATTTTTTACATTTGTAATGTTTCTGTAGAAAATGAGTTTTCTGATGTCTTCTGGGGCTTATGCCTTGTCTTAATGTTGTATCAGATTTATTGTACTGATTTTTCTCTGCAACACAAATATACTGCTAATTATTTAGGGTATAGTCCTGCCTAAAGGCTGTCAAAATTTTATCATATGTGTGATGTTTTCCCAAATTATCTATTCCCTGACATTGATTAATCAATGATGAATGAATGAAGACCTTTCTATATTGATCACAAGCAGAACGAGGTGTTATTTGTTGGTGAAACAAACTTTTAACAAAGGACCCATCAAATTGATCATATTTAGAAATCACCTCTTCATTTTTAAATCTCTCCTTTTCAGAAATATTTGACTGAACATTTACTCCAGTTCTATGTTTTAATTGGCTTATATGATTATTTGAAACATGGACTAAGTCACTATTCAGATTTTCCAAATTTCCTTTCAAAGAAAAGGTATGTTTCAAAATTGATGTCGATATTTAGTTACAGAAACACATGGATTAGAAAAAGTAACTGACATAGATTGAGTTTTTTCATGTTTTTGACCTCTTGTAGCAGTGATGTTTTTGTTATAGGTAGTTGTGCTACATTTTGTATGTCCATCACAACATCCGTTGTGACTGTCACACTTACCCTCACTTTCCCACTCTTTCCTTAAGTGTAAATTCTGAGAGCCATAGCTCCCATATCCATCCAATATCACTTTTTGGAATGATGCTTCTATGTGCTTCTTTCTCAAGAGGACTGGAGTATCATGAGAAAACATATCTGAAAGATACCAAAAGTTTTAAAAATTCCAATTACTAAATTCAGGTGAAAATACTTTATAAATCTAATATAAAAAATTATACCAAGTTGAGAACACCATGATAGTTGAATCAAAAACTTGAGGTCCCTTTTTTTCTCAATTGATATGTGAACTTAAATATAATAGCATGACTAAAGCCAGTTGAGTTTGCAGTGCTTAGGTGAACACAAAGCCAAGAATGGTTGCATTTAGAAGGAAGGAAGTTTGTTGTATTTGTGCACCACAGCACAGCACAGTTACACAGAAATTTTTCACATTCTGTTTTGCCCTCAGCAAAGAAAAAAAAAGGAGTAAAACATATGTCCAAAGTTCTGGGTTATTCTGGGGCTAAAGACTGTTCATTGCTTCCTTTAATATGTGGTGCTGAAGAAAATGGTGATATAGTTGAAATGACATGTCAGGTCAACTGAGAAGAAAGATGAATGCTTACTACCACAACAGAAAGACAGTAGTGCCTTTGACACTCACCAAAGGGAGAGATTAAAGGCTCCTAAGAGAAAAAAAGGCAAACCTTTTTAATAGGAAAATACACACAGTAGTCCAGAGAAGACACATCCTGACAACAGTTTGAAGAATTTCCCAGAATGACTAGAGTACCTGATGGGTATCAGTTTTCGCCTGTACAAATTCATTCCATAAAAGATGAAATAGGTAGCTGTTTCTTACTTGATCAAAATATCAACAAAATCACAAGACATCAAAGTAACCAAAAAACACGGCTCAATCAAAGGACCAAAATGAAAGTGAATCTAAAGAAGTAGAAATCTATTAACTAACATATTAATATCAAAGTGAAGCTAGAGAAGTAGAAATCTATTAACTAATGTTGAGACCAGCTCTGTTGTGGAGACCCTAACCAGCAGCGCTAGAGGAATTAAACACACACACACAGAAATACAGAGTGTGGAGTGGGAAATCAGGGGACTCACAGCCTTCAGAGCTGAGAGCCCCAATCAGAGTTTGACCCACATATTTATTGACAGCAAGCCAGTGATAACCATTGTTTCTATAGATTATAGATTAACTAAAAGTATTCCTTACGGGAAACAAAGGTATGGGCTCTGGCTAGTTATCTGCAGCAGGAACATGTCCTTAAGGCACAGATTGCTCATGCTATTGTTTGTGGCTTAGGGACACCTTAAGTGGTCTTCTGCCCTGGATGGGCCAGGTGTTCCTTGCCCTCATTCCGGTAAACCCACAACCTTTAGTGTGGGTGTCATGGCCACCATGAACATGTCACAGTGCTGCAGAGATTTTGTTTATGGCCAGTTTTGGGGCCTATTTATGGCCAGATTTGGGGGCCGGTTCCCAAAAAACTAATTTTAAATTAATTTAAAATATCTATCTTTGTCTTACAGACAAGTTCTTACACTGTCATCAGGCCAGAGTGCAATCATAGCTCAGTGGAACCTTGAATTCCTGGCTTAAAGCAGTCACCCTCCCTGGCTTTCCCAAGTGGCTATGACTACAGGAATGCACCATCACATCTGAATAATTTTTTTAATTCTTTGTACAGACAGGGTCTTTCTAGGTCACCTAGGCTGGTCAAGAATTCCTGGCCTCAAGGAATCCTACAGCCTCAGACTCTCAAATTGCTGGGATAACATCAGCAACTACACCTGGCATTCTCTGTCTTCTTTAAGAAATGAGGACATTAAGCCAACAACCATACACAAGGACAAGGATATATTACATAATGATAAAGGGTTCAATTCAACAAGAATATTTTAATATGGTAAACACCTATGCACCAAACTTTGGAGCACCAAGATTCATAAAACAAGTACTTCTAGTCCTGAGAAAAGAATTAGCCACATAATAACAGTGGCATACTTCAACTCCCCATGGGCATCATTAGATCATTGAGGCAGACAATAAATAAAGAAATTTTGGACATCAATTCCACTTGACCAACTGGACCTAATAGGCATCTACAGAATAGACCAACTGGGCCTAATAGACATCTACAGAACACTCCATCCATCAACGATAAAACACATACATCTTTCATATGCACACAGGACACACTTGATGATTGAACCTATATGCTCAGCCAGAAAGCAAGTCTCAATAAATTAAAAAAAAATCAAAATCATACCAACCATACTCTTGGACCAAAATAGAATAAGAACAGAAAACAATACCAAGAAGATCTCTCAAAACCACAGAAATGCATAGAAATTAAACAACTGGCTCCTCAACAACTTTTGAGTAAACAATGAAATCAAGGCAGAAATCAAAAAGTTCTTTGATATAAGTGAAAACAGAGAAAACACATACTAAAATCTTTGGTATGTGTTAATGTGGCAGCTAAAGCCACATTAAAAGAAGTTTATAACATGAAATGCCTACTTTAAGAAGTTAGATCTCAAATTAATGATGTAACATCACATGTAAAGAAAATAGAATAAGAAAAATGAGCTAAGCACAAAGCTAGCAGAGGAAAAGAAATAACTAAGAACAGATAACTGAATTAAATTGAGACCCCAAATTCCATACAAAGCATCAGCAAAACCAAAAGTTGGTTCTTTGAAAGGGTAAACAAGATCAATAGACCACTAGCTAGGTTAACAAAGAAAAACAGAAGATAAGCACAATCAGAAGCAACAAAGGGGACATTACAATCGACCCCACAGGTATACAAAAGATTCTCAGAGACTTATGAGGACTTCTATGCATCTAGAGGAAATGAATAAATTCCTAGAAACATACAATCTCCAAAGAGTGAATAGGGAAGAAACTGAAACCCTGAACAAACCAGTATCAAGTTCTGATATTGAATCAGTAATAAAAAATCTACCAACCAAAAAAAGGCCCTGGACAAGATGGATTCACAACTGAAATACACCAGAAGTACAAGGAAGAACTATTATCAATTCTACTCAAACTATTCCAAAAAATAAGGAGGAGGGACTCCTCCCTTCTCATTCTATGAGGCCAACATCACTCTGTTACCAAAATCTGGCAAAGACACAATGAACAAAGAAAACTACAGGACAATATATCTGATGAACATAGACAGGAAAATCCTCAACAAAATACTAGCAAACCAAATAGAGCAGCACAGCCAAAGTTAATTTACCACAATTAACTAGGCTTTATTCCTGGAATGCAAGGTTGTTCTAACATATATAAATCAATAAATGTGATTCATCACATAGAATTAAAATTTAAAAGCTGGGCACAGTGGCTCACGCTTGTAATCCCAGCACTTTGGAAGGCTGAGGTGGGCGGATCACCTGAGGCCAGGAGTTCAAGACAAGCTTGGCCAACATGGCGAAACCCTGTCTCTACTAAAAATACAAAAATTAGCTGGGTGTGGTGGTGTGTGCCTGTAGTCATAGGTACTCAGGAGGCTGAGCCATGAGAATCACTTGAACCTGGGAGGTGGAGGTTGCAGTGAGCACTCCAGCCTTGGGGATAGAGTGGGACTCTGTCTCCAAAAAAGAGAAAAAAAGAAAAAAATCACCATTTCAATAGATGTAAGATAAGCTTTTGATAAAACTTAACATCCCTTAATGATAAATAAAACCCTCAACAAACTAAGCATTGAAGAAACATACCTCAAAATAATGAGAGCCATCTATGAGAAACTCACAGCCAACATACTGACCAGGCAAAAGCTGGAGGCATTCCCTTTAAAAACAAGAAGAAGACAAGAATGCCCACTCTTACCACTTCTATTCAACATAGTAATGGAAGTACTATCCAGAAAAATCAGTCAAGAGAATGAAATAAAAGGCATCCAAAGAGGAAAAAAAGAAAGTAACATCATCTCTGCTGATATGATTCTACACCTGGAAAGACTGTGCCAAAAGGCTCCTAAAACTGATAAGGAACTCCAGTAAAGTTTCAAGATAGAAAATCAAAGTATAAAAATCAGTAGCATATCTATACACCAATAACATTCAAGCTGTGAGTGAAATCAAGAACATAATTCCATTTAAAATAGCCACACACACAAAGAAAAAACCAAATATGTAGGAATAGATCTACCCAACGAGGTTAAAGATCTCTACAAGGGGAACTATAAAACACTGTTGAAAAAATTATAGACAACACGAACAATTGGAAAAATATTCCATGCTCATAGAAGAATCAACATCATTATCTAGAGATTCCATAGTATTCCTATCAAACTACCAATGTCATTTTTCACAGAATTAGAAAAAAACTATTCTAAAATTCATGTGGAACTAAGTAAGAGTCCAAATAGCCAAAGCAATCCTAAACAAAAAGAACAAAGCCAAAGGCTTCACATTATCCAACTTCAAACTATACTATAAGCCTATAGTCACCAAAACAGCATAATACTGGCACAAAAACAGACACACAGGAGCAGCACCAAGATGGCTAACTAGAAACAGCAGGGTTTGGAGGCTCCCATCGAAAAGAACCATAATAAGTGTGTGAATCCTTCACCGGCAACCAAGGTATCCAGGTTCTCCCATTAGAATTGACTAGGAGGCTGGCATGATCCATGGAGAGGAAGTAATAACAGTGGGGTGCAGCAGCCCACCTGAGAGCCACATGGGGAAGGAAAGCTCCCTCCTGCCAGCCAAAGCATGTGGTGAGTGAGGATGCTACCCAGCCAGGAAAAGCATGCTTTTTCCATGGAACTATGCCACCCACTGATTGCAAGATCCCATTTGTGAACCCACGCCACTGTGGCTTAGCATCCCAACCCTGGGGCCACGCAGATTCTCAACAGCCTCTCAGCTGGAATCTGCTTAAGCCTGCCAAGCACCTGGGGGGAGGGGCAACCAGCACAAGAGCTGTGGCTGCCTGCTGTCTAAGCCATTTGAGCCCCTTGGTGGAGGGGCAGCAGCCAGCACTGGGACTCACAACTGCCTAACATGCTAAGCTCAATGGGTGGGGGAAGAGCAGCATCTACCTCTATAGCTCCCAGCTGCACTTTTCCCCTTCTGGAGTCAGTGAGGGGCTGGTTGGCTTGGTCCCAAGATGTGCCCCCCACAGCCCAACACACTGGCTGTGGCAGACTGCCACCAGAGTGCCTCTTCAGGCCAGACCCTGACCCATCCTTCCTGATTGTGCCAGGCTTCCCTGCAGGAACTCCAATAACTCCAGCCAGAGGCTCAGGGACAGAACCTGGATCTCCCTGGGCCTGAGCCCCTAGGGGCAGGGGTAACAGCAGTCTCTGGGGACCAGCAGACTTAGCCTTTCCTACTGGTAGTTCTGAGGAATCCAGGCAGCCCAGACAAGTGGGCTTCCCCCCAGCAAAGCACACCCCCTCCACCAAGGGACAAAGTACTTCATTAAATGGTTCCTGTTCCATGTGCCACCCAACTGGGTGAGAACCTCCAACAGGGGTTGTCAGACACCCTATACAGGAGCAATCCTATGGCATCAGGTTAGTGCCCCTCGAGTTCAGAGATCCCAGAAGAAGGAGCAGGCATCCATCTTTGCTGTTCTCCAGCTTTCCTGAGTGACATCTCCAGGCACAGGAGTAAACCACATGAATAGTCTCAGGCCTCTGAGCTCAAGCCTGCATGTATACATCTAAATGGCCTGAAGCAACTGAAGAACCACAAAAGAAGTGAAAATAGTCAGTTCCTGCCTTAACTGATGACATTCCACCATTGTGATTTGTTCCTGCCCCACCTTAACCTTAACTGATCAATTAACCTTGTGACATTCCTTCTCCTAGACAATGAGTCTCAGAACTTCCCCACCAAGCACCTTGTAACCCCTGCCCCTGCCCGCAAGAGAATAACCCCCTTTAACTGTAATTTTCCACTACCTACCCAAATCCTGTAAAACTGCCCCACTCCTATCTCCCTTTGCTGACTCCTTTTTCGGACTCAGTCTGCCTGCACCCAGGTGATTAAAAAGCTTTATTACTCACACAAAGCCTGTTTGGTGGTCTCTTCACACAGACGCACATGACAAATAGGGCCTGAAGTGAACCTCCAGCAAACTGCAGCAGCCCTATAGAAGTGGGACCTGACCATTGAAAGAAAAACAAACAGAAAGCAACAACAACAGCATCAACAACAACAAAAAGTCCCCAGAAAATCCCCATCCAAGGATCAGCAGCCTTAAAGATTGAAACTAGACAAACTCACCAAGATGAGAAAGAATCAACAACAAAAAAGCTGAAAACCTAACAAGCCAGAGTGCCTCTTCTTCAAATGATTGCAACATCTCTTTATCAAGGGTGCAGAACTGGATGGAGGATGAGACAGAAGAATTGACAGAAGTAGGCTTCAGAAGATGGGTAATAAAAAACTACGCTGAGCTAAAGGAGCATGTTCTAACCCAATGCAAAAAAGCTAAGAACCTTGATAAAAGGATAGAGGAGCTGCTACTAGAATAAACAGTTTAGAGAGGAACATAAATGACCTGATGAAGCTGAAAAACACAGCATGAGAACTTCATGAAGCATACACAAGTATCAATAGCCAAACCAACCAAGCAGAGGAAGGGATATCAGTGTTGAAAGACCACCTTGCTGAAATAAGGCATGCAGACCAGACTACAGAAAAAATTATAAAAAGGAATGAGCAAAGCCTCCAAGAAATATGTGACTTCACAAAAAGACTGAACCTACGACTGATTGGAGTACCTGTAGGAGATGGGGAGAATGGAAACAAACTGGAAAACACACTTCAGGATATTATCCAGGAGAACTTCCCCAACCTAGAAGACAAGCCAATATGCAAATTGAGGAAATACAGATTCTAAGATGCTCCAAGAGAACATCAACCCCAAGACACATAATCATCAGATTCTCCAAGGTCGAAATGAAGGAAACAATGTTAAGGGCAGCCAGAGAGAAAGGCCAGGTGACCTACAAAGGGAAATCTATCAGACTAACAGCAGACCTTTCAGCCGAAACTCTATAAGACAGAAGAGATTGGGGGCCAATAGTCAACATTCTTAAAGAAAAGAATTTTCAACCCAGAATTCCATATTCCGGCCAAACTAAGCTTTTATAGCAAAGGAGGAATAAAGTCCTATCCAGACAAGCAAATGCTGAGGGATTTCATTACCACCATGCATGCCCTCCAAGAGCTACCGAAAGAAGCACTAAATATGGAAAGGGAAAACTGGTACCAGCCACTGCAAAAACACACCAAAATGTAAAGACCAATGACACTACGAAGAAACTACATCAACTAGTACGCAAAACAGCCAAATAGCATCATGATGGCAGGATCAAATTCACACAAGACAATATTAACCTTAAATATAAATGGGCTAAATATGTCAATTAAAAGACATAGAATGGCAAATTGGATAAAGAGTCAAGACCCATTGGTATGCTGTATTCAGGAGACCCATCTCATATGCAAAGACACATATAGGCTCAAAATAAAAAGGAAAATTTACCAAGCAAATGGAAGAAAAGAAAAAGCAGAGGTTGCAATCCTAGTCCCTGACAAAATAGACTTTACACCAACAAATATCAAAAAAGGCAAAGAAGGTAAAGGGAACAATTCAACAAGAAGAACGAACTATTCTAAATATATATGTACCCAATACAGGAGCATACAACTTCATAAAATAAGTTCTTAGAGACTTACAAAGAGACTTAGACTCCCACACGATAATAGTGGGAGACTTTAACACTTCACTGTCAATATTAGACAGATCAATGAGACAGAAAATTAACAAGGATGTTCAGGACTTGAACTCAGCTCTGGATCAAGTGGACCTAAGAGATATCTACAGAACCCTCCACCCCAAATCAACAGAATATACATTTTTCTCAGTGCCACATGGCACTTATTCTAAAATTGAACACATAATTGGAAGCATAACACTCCTCAGCAAATGAAAAAGAACTGAAATCATAACAAACAGTCTCTCAGACCACAGGGAAATCAAATTCGAACTCAGGATTTAAAAACTCACTCAAAACCACGCAATTACATGGAAATTAAAGAGCCTGCTCCTGAATGACTCTTGGGTAAATAATGAAATAGGCCGTGTGTGGTGGCTCATGCCTGTAATCCCAGCACTTTGGGAGGCCGAGGCCGGCGGATCACAAGGTCAGGAGATTGAGACCATCCTGGTTAACATGGTGAAACCCCATCTCTACTAAAAATACAAAAAATTAGCCAGGTGTGTTGGCGGGCACCTGTAGCCCAGCTACTTGGGAGGCTGAGGCAGGAGAATGGCATGAACCCAGGAGGTGGAGCTTGCAGTGAGCCAAGATTGCGCCACTGCACTCCAGCCTGGGTGACAAAACAAGACTCTGTCTCAAAAAAAAAAAAAAAAAAAAGAAATAAAGGCAGAAATCAAAAAGTTCTTTGAAACCAATGAGAACAAAGAGACGACATACCAGAATATCTGGGACACAGGTAAAGCAGTGTTAAGAGGGAAATTTATAGCACTAAATGTCCACATCAGAAAGTTAGAAAGATCTCAAATCAACACCCTAACATTACAATTAAAAGAGCTAGAGAGGCAAGAGCGAACTAATGCAAAAGTTAGCAGAAGACAAGAAATAATGAAGATCAGAGCAGACTTGAAGGAGATAGAGATATGAAAAAATCTCCAAAAGATAAATGAATCCAGGAGCTGGTTTTTTGAAAAAGTTAACAAAATAGACTGAACTCTAGCTAGACTAATAAAGAAGAAAAGAGAGAAGAATCAAATAGACACAATAAAAAATGGTAAAGGAGATATCACCACTGACCCAAAGAAATACAGACTACCACCAGAGAATACTGTAAACACCTCTACACAAATAAACTAGAAAATCCAGAAGAAATTGATAAATTCCTGGACACATACACCCTCCCAAGACTAAATCGGAAGAAGTAGAATCCCTGAATAGACCAATAACAAGTTCTGACATTGAGGTGGTAATTAATAGCCTACCAGCCAAAAAAGCCCAGGACTAGACGGATTCACAGGTGAATTCTACCAGAAGTACAATGAGGAGTTGGTACCATTCCTTCTGAAACTATTCCAAACAACTGAAAAGGAGGGACTCCTCCCTAACTCATTTTATGAAGCCAGGATCATCCTGATACCAAAACCAGGAAAAGAGACAACAAAAAATGAAAACTTCAAGCTAATATCCCTGATGAACATAGATACGAAAACCTTCAATAAAATACTGGCAAACCAAATCCAGCAGCACATCAAAAAACTTATCCAATGTGATCAAGTTGGCTTCATCCCTGGGATGTGAAGCTGTTTCAACATATGCAAATCAATAAACGTAATCCATCACATAAACAGAACCAAAGACAAAAACCATGCAATTATCTCAACAGATGCAGAAAAGGCCGTTGAAAAATTCAACGTCCCTTCATGTTAAAAACTCTCAATAAACTAGGTGTTGATGGAACATATCTCAAAATAAAAAGAGCTATTTATGACAAACCCATAGCCAATATCATATTAAATGGGCAAAGGCTGGAAGTATTCCCTTTGAAAACCAGTACAAGACAAAGATGCCCTGTCTCACCAATCCTGCTCAACATAGTATTAGAAGTTCTGGCCAGGGCAATCAGGCAAGAGAAAGAAAGAAAGGGTATTCACATAGGAAGAAAGGAAGTAAAATTATCTCTGTTTGCAGATGACATAATTTTATATTTAGAAAACCCAGTCATCTCAGCCCCAAACTCCTTAAACTGATAAACAACTTCAGCAAAGTCTCAGGATACAAAATCAATGTGCAAAAATCACAAGCATTCCTTTACACCAACAATAGACAAGCAGAGAGTCAAATCATGAATGAACTCCCATTCACAATTGCTACAAAGAGAATAAAATACCTAGGAATACAGCTAACAGGGGATGTGAAGGACCTCTTGAAGGAGATCTACAAACCACTGCTCAAGGAAATAAGAGGGGACACAAGCAAATGGAAAAACATTCCCTTCTCATGGATAGGAAGAATCAACATTGTGAAAATGGCCATACTGCCCAAAGTAATTTATAGATTAAATGATATTCCCATCAAACTACCATTGGCATTCTTAACAGAATTAGAAAAAACTACTTTAAATTTCATATGGAATCAAAGAAGACCCCATATAGCCAAGACAATCCTAAGCAAAAAGAACAAAGCTGGAGGCATCACACTACCTGACTTCAAACTATACTGAAAGGCTCAAGTAACCAAAACAGCATGATACTGGTACCAAAACAGATATATAGACCAATGGAACAGAACAGAGACCTGAGGAATAACATCACACATCTACAACCATCTGATTTTTGACAAACCTGACAACAAGCAATGGGGAAAGGATTCCCTACTCAATAAATGGTGCTGGGAAAACTGGCTAGCCATATGCAGAAAACAGAAACTGGACCTCTTCCTTACACCTTATACAAAAATTAACTCAAGATGGATTAAAGACTTAAATGTAAAACCCCAAACCATAAAAACCCTAAGAAGAAAATCTAGGCAATACTATTGAGGATATTGGCATGGGCAAAGACTTCATGACTAAAACACCAGAAGCAATTGCAACAAAAACCAAAATTGACAATTGGGATCTAATTAAACTAAAGGGCTGCTTCACAGCCAAAGAAACTATTATTGGAGTGAATAGACAACCTACAGACTGGGAGAAAAATTTTACAATCTACCCATCAGACAAAGGTCTAATATCCAGAATTTACAAGAGACTTAAACAAATTTACAAGGAAAAAACCAAACAACCCCATCAAAAAGTGAGCAAAGGATACGAGCAGACACTTCTTAAAAGAAGACATTTACACAGTGAACAAACATACGAAAAAAGGCTCAACATCACTGATCATCAGATAAATGCAAATCAAAACCATAATGAGACACCATCTCACACCAGTCAGAATGGCGATCATTAAAAAGTCAAGAAACAACAGATGCTGGTGAGGCTGTGAAGAAATAGGAACGTTTTTACACTGTTGGTGGTAATGTAAATTAGTTCAACCATTGTGGAAGACAGTGCAGCGATTCTCAAGGATCGAGAACCAGAAATACCATTTGACCCAGCAATCCCATTACTGGGTATATACCCAAAGGAATATAAATCTTTCTAATATAAAGACATATGCACACATATGTTTATTGCAGCATTATTTACAATAGCAAAGACATGAAACCAACCCAAATACCCACCAATGATAGACTAGGTAAAGAAAATGTGGTACATATATACCATGGAATACTATGCAGCCATAAAAAGGAATGAAATAATGTCCTTTGCAGGGACAGGGATGAAGCTGGAAGCCATCATCCTCAGCAAACTAACACAGGAACAGAAAACTAAACATCACATGTTCTCACTCATAAGTGGGAGTTGAACAATGAGAACACATGGACACAGGGAGGAGAACACCACACACCAGGGCCTGTTGGGGGTTTCGGGGGTAAGGGGAGGGAACATAGAAGATGGGTCAATAGGTTCAGCCAACCACCATGGTACACATATACCTATGTAACAAACCTGCACGTTTTGCAAATGTTTCCCCCCCACCTTCTTTTTTTTAGAGGAAATAAAGAAAAACAAAAATTAAAAACAAACAAACAAACACATAGACCAATGGAACAGAATAGAGTACCCAGAAATAAATAGAGGCACACATTTACAATCATCTGATCTTCCACAAGGTCAACAAAAATAAGCAATAGTGAAAGGACTCCCTATTTAATAATTAGATGTGGGATGACTGACTAACCATATGCAGAAGAATGAACATAGACTCCTACATTTCAGCATATATAAAAATTAACTCAACATGATTAAAGATTTAAATTCAGATCCTCAAAAAATAAAAAATACTAGAAGAAAACCTGGCAAATACCATTCTAGTCATTGACTTTGGCAAAGAATTTATGGCTAAGTTTTCAAAAGCAATTGTAATAAAAACAAAAATTGACAAATGGGACCTAATTTAAGAGTTTCTGCACAGCAAAAGAAACTGTGAACAGAATCAACAACCTACAGAATGGGAGAAGATATTCACAAACTATGTAACTGACAAAGGCCTAATTCCAGAATCCATATGAAATTTAAATTAACAAGAAAAAAAAACCCATGAAAAAGTGGGCAAAGAGCAAGAGCAGACACTTCTCAAAAGAAGACATACAAACAGCCAACAAGCATATGAAAAAATGTTACACATCACTACCCATCAGAGAAATGCAAATCAAAACCACACTTAGATACCATTTACACCACTCAGAATAGTGATTGTTGAAAAGTCAAAAAACAGATGCTGGCAAGTGCTGCACAGAAAAGAGAATACTTATACACTGCTGATTGAAATGTAAATTAGCTCAGTTACTGTGGAAAACAGTTTGGAGATTTCTGAAAGAACTTGGAACTACCATTTGACCTAGCAATCCTATTAGTTAGTATATACCTAAAGGAAAATGAATTGTTCTACCAAAAAGTCACATGTACTCATATGTTCATTGCAGCACTATTCACAATAGCAAAAACATGGAATCAACCTAGGTGCCCATCAATGGTGGACTGGTTAAAGAAAATGTGGTACATATATACCATGGAATACTATGCAGCCACAAGAAAGAATAAAATCATGTCCTTTGCAGCAACATGGATGCAGCTATTGTCCTAAGTAAATTAACACAGGAACAGAAAATCAAAACCATGTACTTATAACTGGGAACTAAATATTGGGTACATATGGACATAAAGATGGGAAAAAGAGACAATGGGGACTTATACAGAGGGGGAGTAAAGGAAGGAGGCAAGGGCTGAAAAACTACCTATTAGGCACTATGCTCATTATCTGGGTGATGGGATTATTCATACCCCAAACCAGTGTCATGCAATATACCCATATAATAAACCAGCACATGTATACATTGAATCTAAAATAAAAGTCAAAAGTATATAAAAAAAAATAGAAAAGAAAAAGGAAAAAAAATGGGGTCTTACTCTGTCACTCAGACTGGAGTACACTGGTACAATTACAGCTCAATGTAGCCTAGCCTCAAATTCCTGGGGTAAAGCAATCCTCCTGACACAGCCTCCTGAGTCACTGGGACTACAGGCACATGCCACAACAACTAATTAAAAAAAATCTTAGACACAGGGTCTTGCAATATTGCCTAGGCTGGCCTCAAGTGATCCTCCTGCCTTAGCTTCCAAAGTAGCTGGGATTACACGCACATGTCACTGTGCCTAGTAAAATATCTATT
The DNA here is from genome assembly GCF_000001405.40 of Homo sapiens. Lineage (NCBI taxonomy): Eukaryota > Metazoa > Chordata > Mammalia > Primates > Hominidae > Homo > Homo sapiens. Next base: position 31,616,715 of record NC_000016.10, read on the forward strand.
TTAAAGATGCTCAACCAATTACAGGAGAACACAGACAAATAAAAGAAGATAAAAATACATGAAGAAAATGAGCTTATGAACTGTAAAAACACAAAGTGTGGAGCTGAAAAATAACTGAATTTAAGGATTCACTAGAGGGTTCAACAGCAGACTTGATGTAGGAGAAAAAGACCCAACAAGCTTGGTAATAAGTTATTTGAAAGTTTATGGTCAGGACAGTAAAAAGAAAAAAAGAAAACAACAGAGTGTCTAAGGGACTAATTGGGTACTATCAAGTAGGCCAATATGCTCATAATAGGAATTCTAGAATGCAAAGAGAGAGAAAAGAGTAGAAAATTTATTTGAAGAAATGATGGCTGAGAATTTTCCAAATTTGAGGGAGAAAATGGCCTAAAATTTAATGAAACTCTACCAACTCTAACTAGTAGCAACACAAAGAGACCCACAACAAGACACATTCTAATCAGAGATTCAAAAGTTACAAACAAAGGGAATTTAGAAGCCAAAAAACAACAAAAAAACCCCCAGTGACTTGATATACAAGGCCCACTCCTATAGGATGACCAGCAGATGGTCTCAGCAAAAAATCTCACAGGTCAGAAAGTTGAAGAATGATATATTCAAAGTGCTGAATAATGACAACTACCAATCAAGAAAATGTTATCTTCCAAAACTATCCTTTAAAAATTTGGAAATAAAGAATATTCAAAATCAACAAAAGCCAAATGAATTCATACCCACTAGATCTGTTCTAAAAGAAGTGCTAAAGAGAAACAGTTCTTCATATTGAAAAATAAAATGATGGTAAATAGTAACACAAAATTAATAGAAATATAAAGTTTTCTGGTAACAGTAATTATATACACAATAAAATATTCTGTATTATGACGACAGTGCAGAGAATACTTTTAATTCTGCTATAGATTTGAAGTCAAACACTTAAAAATAACCACAAATCTGTGCTAATGGATTCACAGTATAAAGTGATATAATTTGTGATATCAATAAAATACAATGGAGGGCTCCTAAAGAGGCAGGATTTTTGTATGCAATTAAGGTTAGCAGCTTGAGGTAAATTGTTATAACTTTAAGATGTTTTACATAATATCTATGGTAACCACAAAGCAAATACCTATAACAGATACACAGAGAGAAGTGGGAAAGGAATTAAAACATGTCACTACAAAAATCAACAAAACACTAAGGAAGATAGCAAGAGAGGAAAACAGGACCAAAATAGATACAAGACCTAAAACAAAAAAGTGAACAAAATGCAATAGTGAGTCATTCTCTTTCAGTAATTACTTTCTACATAAATGAATAAATTCGAAAGACAACTTGGCTGAATAAATTCAAGAAAAAAGATCCAACTCCATGCTTTCCATGGAAGGCCAAATTTAGATCTAAGAACACACATAAGCTGAACATGAAAGAATGGAAAAAAATAATGAGAAAAGTAAAATACTGTCATATTAGTTAAAATACATGTTACATCAAAACATATCACAAGAGATAAGAAAGAGCACTATATAATTATAAAAGGGTTCATTGTCCAGGAAGCTATAATAAATATTAACATATATGCACATAACATCACACCTCTCAAATACATGCAGCAACTGGGAAACTTTTACAGAATTGAAGCAATAAGTAGCCAGCAGTACAATAGTAGTAGGAGACTTCCATACTCCACTTTCAGTAATGGAAAGAATAAAAGAGACAGAAGATGAATAAGGAAACAGAGGACTTGAACAACACTATAGACCATTAGACCTAACAGTCATATACATAACTGACCATTCAACAGCAGAATACATAATATCCATAACCATACATGACACATTATCACAGATAGACAACCTGTTAAGCTGCAAAACAGTCTTACCAAATTTAACCAGATGAAAATCACACAAAGCATCACTTCTTACTACAACAGAATAAAACTAGAAGAACAGAAAGAAAAATGGCATGTCCACGAATATGTGAAAATTAAATAAATTCTCAAACACACTCTTGTTCAAGAATTTGAAGACAATATTGTTAAGATGTCAATACTACCCATTGAATCTACAGATTCAATGCACTCTCCATCAAAATATTAATGGAACTTTTCACACAAGTATTAAAATAGTCTAAAATGTCTGTGGTATCTCAAGAGACCACAGATGGATAAAAGTCTTCCACAGATGGATAAACAATCTTGGGAAAGAAAAACAAAGAGGCATCATACTTTCTGATTTCAAAACATACTATAAAGCTATTGTACTCAAAACAGTGTGCTACTGACGTAAAGGTAAATAAAAGATGAAACAGATTGGAGAGTCCAGAAATAAACACTCATGTAGACAGTAAACTTATTTTCAATGAGGGTTCCAAGAATTCACAATGAGAAAAGGACAGTCTCTTCAACAAACAGGCTTGGGAATATTGGAAATCCACAGGGAAAAAATAAAGTTACCTTACCTTGCGCATTTACAAATGTGAACTCAAAATGGACTGACTTATATTTTGTAGCTACTGTAACTTGCATTTTTTATTTTCTTTTTCAGATGGTTTTCTATCAGCACACAGAGATGCTATTGATATTTATATGTTGACTTTGTATCCTGCAACTTTACAGAACTTGTTTATTAGTTCTGACAGGTTTTTGGTGTCATGCTTTATGTTTTTTTAATACACAAGGTCATTTTGTCTGTAAACAAGGATGATTTCATTTTTCCATTCCAATTTGAATGCCTTTCACTTCTTTCTCTTGACTTACTGCTCTGGCTAGGACTTCTAGTACTATGTTGAATAGGAGTGGTGAAACTGGGTACCTTATCATGTTACAGATCTCAGAGAAATAGCTTTCATCTTTTCCCTGTTTGGTAAATTAACACTAGTTTGTCATATTTACCTTGTTGAGATACATACCTTCTATACATAATTTGCTTAGAGTTTTCACTATAAAGAATGTTGACTTCTGTCAAATACTTTTTCTGTGTATACAAATAACTATAAAAAATTAAGATACCCAGCTATAAACTTAAATAAAAAGGTGAAAGATCTCTACACTGAAAATCATAAAACATGGATAAAAAATGAAATACATGTGAATAAATGAAAATATATTGTGTTTATATATTGGAAGAATATTATTAAAATGGGCATGCTACCCAAAGTGACCTATAGATTTAATGCAATTTCTATCAGAATACCAATGACATTCTTCACAAAAAATAGAAAAAACCCCCACAAAAACTAAATGTACATGGAACCACAAAATACCCTGAATAGCCAAAGCAATCCTGAGCAAAAGGAACAAGGCTGAAGGCATCACACCACCTGACTTCAAAATTTACTACAAAGCTATAGTATCCCAAAGAGCATTGTACTGGCATTAAAACAAACACATAGACCAACATGCCCAATGAGTCCATAAATAAATTCATGCACCTAAAGCTGACTGATTTTCAACAAAGATGCCGAGAACACACTTTGGCGAAAGGACAATCTCTTTAATAAATGGTGCAGGAAAAAACTGAATATCCATATGCAGAAGAGTAAGACTAGACCCCTAACCCTCATCCTATACAAAAACCAACTCAAAATGGATTATAGACTTAAATGTAATGCCCTAAACTATGAAACTATTAGATGAAAGCAGGGCAAATACTTTACAACATCGGACTTGGAAAGACTTCAAAGCCAAGGCAACCTAAGCAAAAATAGGCAAATGAGATTACATCAACCTAAAACATTTTTGCATATGAAATGAAATAACAGAGTGAAGAGACAACATAGACAACGGGAGAAAATATTCGCAAACTATATATATGACAAGAGGTTAATGTCAAGTACATAAGAAATTTGAAATCTCAAAATAAGACAAACATTAATCCAATTTTAAAATGTGCCAAAGACCTTAATAGACATTAGTGAAAAGAAGACATACGAATGGCCAACAGGTACATAAAAAGATGCTCATCATAATTAATCATCAAGGGAGTGCAAATCCAAACCACAATGAGATGCCATCACACTCTATTTAAAATGACTATAATCAAAAAGACAAAATTATAACTAAAACAAGTATTGGTGAGGATGTGAAGGAAAGAGAACACATGTACACTGTCGATGGGATTGTAAAGTAGTATGGCCACTATAGAAGAGTATGGAAGTTCCTGAAAAATTAAAAATACAGCTGTCATATGATTTAGCAATTCCACTATTGGGTATATATCCAAAAGAAAGGAAGTCAATGTGTCAAAAACATAGCTGCATTCCCATGTTTACGGCAGCACTCTTTATAACAGCCAAGATATGAAATCAATCCAAATGTACACCGAGATAAATGGATAAAGAAAATGTGGTATACATGCACAATGAAATACTATTCAGCCATTCAAAAAGAATAAAATCCTGTCCTTTGCAATAACATGGATGAACCGTGAGATATCATGTTAAGTGAATAGGCCATATACAGAAGGATAAACCCTTCGTGATCTTACTCAAATGAGTAATGTAAAAAAAAAAAAGAAAGAGAGAAGAAAAGGGCTGGGCGCGGTGGCTCATGCCTCTAATCCCAGCACTTTGGGAGGCCATGGTGGGCAGATCACTTTAGGTCAAGAGTTCAAGACTAGCCTGGCCAACATGGTGAAACCCCGTCTCTACTAAAAATACAAAAAATTAGCTGGGCATGGTGGTGCGTGCCTGTAATCCCAGCTACTTGGGAGGCTGAGGCAGGAGAATAGCTTGAGCCCAGGAGCAGAGGTTGCCATGAGCTGAGATCACGCCACTGCACTCCAGCCTGGGTGACAGAGCTAGACTCTGCCTAAAAAAAAAAAAGGAAAAAAAGTTGATAATAAGCAGAGAATATAACAGTTGTTACCAGAGACTGAAGGGGCAGAAAGAGAAAGAGGTTGGTTAACATGCATAAAGTTACAATTACATAGGAGAAATAAGTTCTAGTGTTCTCTTACACAGCAGGATAACAATGGTTAATAGGAGGGTATTGCATATTACAAAATAGCTGGAAGAGACTAGTCACAGTGTTACATCCTTGTAATCTCTGCATTTTGGGAGGCTGAAGCAGGAGGACTACTTGAGGTCAGGAGTTCAAGGTCAGCCTGGACAATGTAGTGAGACCCTATATGCAAAAATTTTAACAAATTACCCAGGCATGGTGGCACATGCCTGTAGTCCTAGCTACTTGGGGAGCTGAGGCCAGAGGATCACTTGAGCCCAGGAGTTTGAAGTTACAGTGAACTACAATTGTGCCACTGCACTTCAGTCTGGGTGATAGAGTGAGATCCTGTCTCTACAAACAATAAAAATTAAAATAAAACAGCTAGAACAGAGACTTTTGAATGTTCTCACTACAAAGAATTATCAAATACATGAGGTAATGCACTAAGCATCCTGATATGATCATTATACAACACACACATATATATAAAATTATACCCAATAAATATGTACAATTAACATTGTATCAATTTAAAAAGCAAACTAAAAGTTAAACATAAAACCTATAAATGTAAAACTCCTAGAAGAATACATAAGGGGAAAGCTTGGTCATGAAAATTGGTCTTGGCAATGAATTTTTTGACATAATATCAAAGGATGAGGCAACAAAAAGCAAGAACATACACATGGTACTACATCCGTGTATCCAAAATATTCCAAACATATTCAAAACAGAACGTGGAATAGATGTTTGCACACCCATGTACCCTGCAGCATTACTCCCAAAAGACAATACCTGGAAGCAATCAAAATGTCCCTTTATGGATGAGCAGATTAAACAAATGTGGCACACATACACAACAGAACATTACTGAGCCTTAAAAATCAGAGACATTTTGACAAATATTATAATAAGGACAAACCCTGAGGATATTGTTAGGTGAAATAAGATAGTCAAAAAGAAAGAGACACTGTTTGATTACACTTACATAAAGTATCTACAGTAGCCAAACTCATAGAAACATTAGGCAGAATGGTGCTCTTCAGGAGCTGGAGAGAAGCGTGGAAAGGACAATTTGTTGTTTAATGGGTATTCACTTTGACTTCTGTAAAATAAAAATGATCTACAAACCTCTTGTAAAACAATATGACTATACTTAACACTAATAAACTGTACACTTAAAAATGTTTGAGATGACAATTATATGTTTTCACCATTAAAAATTTGGCTACCTAAAAGAGATAGTTATAAAATGTTTCAAAAATCACCTTCAAAGAACAAAAGTGTTCCTCTCACATAATTATATAGATCCAAACAATAGATTGTGAATTTAAGATTATTTCCTAAACTACTTATCTAGAAAGAATAAAGCAATCATTAACAGCTAAGAAAAAAAATACAAGATAAATCATGAACAAAGTAGAGGCAATATTTATACAGATGAATAGCACGTAGTATTTTATAAGCAACAGGCATATAGCTAATTCATATATAAATTAAACATTATATTGTCTTAAAGTGTACAGAGTTGAAAATCATCATCCAACTCATAATATCAAGGTTGAAAAACAAAAATGCAATTAACTGATCTAAGGAAACCTATCTGAAAAAAAAGAAACACAATCATATGGAATCAATAACAAGAATAAGAGAAATTTTAGTACATAAAATAATAAATACAACATAGATATTCTATTAAAAAATAATCCTTTAGATATTTGCAGTTATCAACTGTGTGCACCCATGAAGAACAGGCATTTTGAATCATTGCCATTCAATGAATGGCAGTAAAATGTCACAGAAAATGCATTATAATCACTAATAATTAGCTCTAATGAGAAAAGTTTAATGAATAAATATTTAAAAGACACTAGGAAAACTTCTTTATCATGTTATCAATATATTGGTGCTATTCTTACACAAAATATAATGGCTATAATAAAGTCTTTGAAGCTAAGAAAAGCTTTATATTTCCAAATCAAGGAACAACATAAATGTTGCAAAATACGGTGAGAATTGCTAAAATATAAAGTCAGTATTTGGAATTAAATTATACATCATTTAAATACAAAATGGTTATAAATCTTAATAATTCTTTTTTGCTTGCAGTAAACTTAAACTTATAATCAAACATATTAATAAATACATGGTGCCCACTAGTAATCTAATTTACATCTTATACAATGTGCACATTCGAGCATTTTGTTTCAGAACTTTTCATTCCAAATATCACAAATTTGATATATTTTCAAAAGTGAAACATATAGGATTGGAAACATAAGCAAGATGACAGAATAGGAGGCCCCCATGCATATTTCTCACAACATAATGTGGCAGCCATGCCTTTATGGGAGCTTTGCGATCCAGGTCAGAATTTCTGATGCCCGGCTGAAGCCCAAGATCAAGGAGGACAATTTGAGGACAAGTCCTTAACTGAAGGGTAGGCTTGTTGATTATGGTTCTGGACACAAAACAAAAAAATTGCCATATCCCACCGTAGATTTAACTATAGCTCATTTGGCCTTGGTCCTGCTGCTCGAAAAATCTGCCAAGAATCCAGGAGGATTCCTTCCCACTTGAGATTCAGGTGACAGGCCTGAAGACCGTGATCCTGTCTGTGGCCCCTGAATAAGGCAAAATCCATCTCCATCACTTCTCAGTCATGGTCTGGAAAAAGTTCTGTCCACACAGGGACCCTCAGGGAAAAACATCCATCTGTGCCCCTGGGTGTAGAACTGCCAACACTGACTGGAATGGGAATCCTGAAGTGGCACTGAAACTTTGCTTCAGTTTCATGCAGCCACAGGTCAGGAGTTTTGCTCAACCTGGGACCTGCCTGAAAGCACACACATCTGTGCCCCTGGAGCTAGACTTGCTGACATTAGTCTCACTGTGAATCTTAAAGTAGCCCTGTAAGTTTGGCTCTACTTTCTGTCAGCCAGGGTCTGGGAGCAGTTCTGCTCAATGAGAAACCTGGAAGGAGACAAGCCATGGGCCCAGGGCCCATATCCTGCAGCACCCCTGTGAATCAGTTCCAGACCCTCTCAGCTGTGACCAGGGGTCCCATAAAACCCACTGCAGACCCAGTAGCAGTCATGTGACACAGCTCCAACACACTCAAGTGCAATCTTAGTCAAAATCTCATCAGCTCAGGGATCCGAAAGAATAAAGTATTTACTTCCCAAAACTAGTCTATAATGATTGGAAGAGATGTTTGCTCCTTCACATTCAGGGAAATAAACATAAGGCTACACAGATTATAAAGAATCAGGCAAACCACCACCACCACCACCAAAGGAAACTAAAAAGCCATAGTAATCATCTCCAAAGAAATGGAGATCTGAAAGTTGGCTGACAAATAATTCAAAATAATCATCTTAAAGAATTTCACTGGGAGGCCGAGGCAGGTGGATCATGAGGTCAGGAGATGGAGACCATCCTGACTAACACGGTGAAACCCCGCCTCTACTAAAAAATACAAAAAATTAGCCGGGCATGGTGGGTGGGCACCTGTAGTCTCAGCTACTCGGGAGGCTGAGGCAGGAGAATGGCGTGAACCCGGGAGGCGGAGCTTGCAGTGAGCTGAGATCACGCCACTGCACTCCCGCCTGGGCAACAGAGCGAGACTCCATCTCAAACAAACAAACAAAAAAAGAATTTCAGTGAGATTCAAAAGAACACAGATAGATAACTAAAAAGTTTCATAATACTATATTTGAACAAAATGAGACTTTTAATAGAGAAATAGAAACCATTAAAAAGAACCAAACAGAAATCTTGGCACTAAAGTGAACAATGGAAGAACTGAAAAAATGTAACAGTTTTAACAAGAGACTCAATCATGAAAAAAAAAAAAAATCAGCAAACTCAAAGACAGGTCATTTGAAAGTAATCAATTAGAAAAAAAATGAAAGCAAGAAGGGAGCATATAGGCTATATATCATAAAGTGAACAAATATACATATTTTAGGATTTTCAGAGGAAGAAAGAAACAGGAAAAAAAGATTATTTAAAGATATAATGTCTTAAAATTCCCCAAATCTGGAAAAGGATATGAACAACCAGTTTCATAAAGCTCAAAATAACTACAGCAAGAAGAACCTAATGAAGATATCCCTGGGACATATTATAATTAAATTGTCAAAATTCAAAGACAAAGCAAGAATCATGAAAGCAGCATGAGATAAGAGATTCTTCACATACAAGGGAAACTTTATAATGTTATCAGTAGATTTTTTAGCAGAAACCTTACAGGCCAAATGGGAGTTATACCATATATTCAAAGTGCTGAAAGAAGGAAGATTAAAAAAAAAAGACAACTAAGAAGGCTATATACAACAAAGCATCTTCTAGAAATAAAAGACAGATGAAGACATTTCAAGGCCCCCCCACCAAAAAAAAAGTTAAGGGAATTCATCACCACTAGACCTGTCTAGAAATGCTAAAGGACTAGAGGGAATTACTCAAGTTGAAATGATGAAATGCAAACTAAATATGAAAACATTAAAACTACAAATATTACTGGAAATGGTACATAGTGAAATTCAGAATACTCGAATACTGTAACGGTGGTACATAAATCACTTTTAATTCTAGTATAAGAACTATAAAACAGAAGTATTTTTTAAAAGTATAGCTGATAATTTGTTAATGAATACACAATATAAAAAGTTTTAAAGTGTGACATAGATAATGTAAAATGTGTGAAGGGGAGGAAAGCTGTACAGTTTTTCTATGTATAAAAGTTGAATTATTATCATCTTAAACTAGACTGTTATATAATGTTTATGTAAGTCTTATAACCACTGGGGAAAAAAAACTGTAGTAGATACATACAATAAAAAGAGAAAGTAATCAAAGTATATAAAAACAACAAAAACAAGACAAAAAATTAATAAAACCATAGGGAAGACAGCATAAGAGGAAAAAAGAAACAAATGAAGTATAAAACAGAAAACAAAATTATAATGGTTACCTATCAATAATTACATATAAAGTGGTTAAATTATCCAATAAACAGACACTGATATAGACTGAATGTCACTTTCAAAATTTAGGTTAAAATTTAATAGCCATTGTGATAGAATTAAGAAGTGGGACTTTTAATAAGTGATTAGGCCATGAGAGCTCTGCCTGCATGAATGTATTAATGTCCTTATCACAGCAGTGGGTTAATTATCACAAGTGTGCATTTGTTATAAAAGGGAGCTCTCTCCCCGTCATGCCTTTGGCTATGTTATTATGCAGCATAAAGGTCTTCACCAGATGCCAGTGTCATGCTCTCTGCTTTCCTTGCCTCCAGAATCATAAGCTAAATTAACTTGTATTCCTTATAAATCACCCATTTCCTTACAAAATACCCTGTCATATTCTGATATAGCAGCACAAAACAAATTTAAAACAGAGAGTGGCTGAATGAATTTTTGAAAATCCAGTGACAGGTTGCTTACAAGAGACTCACTTTTGATTTAAGGACAAACCTAGGCTAAAAGTGAAAGAACTGGAAAGGATATTCCATACAAATGGTAAACAAAAGAGTGCAGGCAGGGGTAGTTATACTTACCTTAAATAAAACGGGCTGTCTGACAAAATCTGTCACAAGAGACAAAGGAGTTAACTATATAATAATAGAGAGGTTAATTTGTCCAGAGGTTAGAACAATTAAATAGATATACGCACCCAACACTGGAATACCTAAATATATAAAGCAAACATTAACAGAACTGGAAAGAGAAATATACAGAAATACAATAAAAGAGAACATTAGTACCCTACTTAAAATGGATAGATCATTCAAGCACAAAATTAAGAAAACAGTGCACTCATATAATACTATAGACTAATTATACATATAACATCCCATCCAACAATATGAGAATACACAGTCTTCTAAGAATACATGAAATATTCTCCAGGATAGATGACATGTTAAACCAAAAGTAAAAAACAGTAAGTCTTTTCAAATTTATAAAGATTAAAATTATATCAAGTTTTTTTTCTGATTGCACTGATATAAAACTGAAAATCAATAGCAGGAAGAAAACTGGAAACTCACAAATATGTGAATATTAAACAATACACTCCTGAAAAATCAATGGGTTAAAGAAGAAATCAAAAGACAAATCAAAACATATCCTGAGACAAATGAAATTGGAAACACAAACCAAAACTTCTGGGATGCAACCAAAACAGTTCTAATACAGAAGTTTATAATAATAAAGTCCTACATTAAGAAGAAAAAGATGTTGAATAAAAAATCTAACTCTAATCCTCTAGAAACTTGAACAAGAAGAACAAAATAATCCCAATGTTAGCATAATTATGGAAATAGTAAGAATTAGAACAAAAAGAGACTAAATAGAAAGACAATAGAAAAGATCAAAGAAACTGAGTTGAATTTTTTAAAGAAAACAAAATTGAGAAACTTTTGGCCAGATTAAGCAAAGGAACAAAAAGAGAGAGGACTCAAAAAATTATAAATGGGCTGGGCGCACTTGCTCATGCTTGTAATCCCAGCGCTTTGGGAGGCCATGGTAGGTAAATCACCTGAGCTCAGGAGTGGGAGACCAGCCTGGGCAACATGGTGAAACCCCTCTCTCTAAAAAATACAAAAATTAGCTGAGCACGGTGGTGTGCACCTGTAGTTCCAACTACTTGGGAGGTGGGAGAATCACCTGAGCCTGGGAGGTTGAGGCTGCAGTGAGTCATGATCACGCCACTGCACTTTGGCCTGGACATCGGAGTGAGACCTTGTTTCAAATAAATAAATAAATGAAAGAAAGAAAGAAAGATGAGTCATTGCAACTGACAACACACAAATACAAAGAATAATAACAGACTACTATGAACAATTATATGACAACAAATTGGATAACTTAGAAATAGATTCTTAGAAATGAATGACTCACCAAGATTAAATCACAAAAAACAGAAATACTGAACAGACCAATAATAAGAAAGGAGATTGAAGCAGTAATAAAAAATCCAATGAGAAAAAGCCCATGACCAAATGACTTCATGGGTGAATTGCATCACACATTTAAAGATGAATTAATGTCCATCCTTCTCAAATTCTTCCAAAAAATTGAAGGGAAAAAACACTGCCCCTTAGTTTGCATGTAATGAAAAGTGGGTATATAAGTACATGACTGCAGAACTGCTCCTCTCAGCACACTGCCTACAGGGGAGCCTCGCTCCACAGGAGCACTCATAGAGCTGCAACACTGCCAGCTCAATAAAGCTGTTTTCTTCTACCACTATCTTGCACTTGAATTCTTCCTGAGTGAAGCCGTGAACCTTCCCAGGATAAGCCCCAATTTGGCGGCTCACAAGCCCTGCAACAAGAGCAATTAGGTAAGAAAAAGAAATCAAAGGCACTCACATTGGCAATGAAGAATTAAAATTCTATCTGCTTGCAGATTAGGTGATTTTATATATAGAAAACCCTGAAGAGTATACACAAAGAGTTAGAGCTAATAAACTCATTCAGTAAAGCTGAGGTCACAAAATTAACATACAAAAATTAGTTGCATTTCTATATACTAACAATAAATGATCTGAGAAAAAAAGTTAAGCAAACAATCCAATTTATAATAGCATCAAAAAGTATAAAATTCTTATGATTCCATTTAACAAAGGAGGTGAAAGATCTGCTGAGTAAAATCTATAAGACATTGATGGGCCAGGCACAGTGGCTCACGTCTGTAATCCCAGCACTTTGGGAGGCCGAGGCAGGCAGATCACGAGGTCAGGAGATCAAGACCATCCTGGCTAACACGGTGAAACCCTGTCTCTACTAAAAATACAAAAAATTAGCTGGGCGTGGTGGCGGGTGCCTGTAGTCCCAGCTACTCGGGAGGCTGAGGCAGAAGAATGGCTTGAACCTGGGAGGCAGAAGTTGCAGTGAGCCAAGATTGCACCACTGCAGTCCAGCCTGGGTGACAGAGCAAGACTCCATTTCAAAAAAAAAAAAAAAAGACATAGACAAATGTCATTGAAAAAGACACAAATAAATGTAAAGATATCCCTTGTTCATGGACTGGAAAAATTAATACTGATGAAATGTCCACACTACACAAAGTGATCTACAGATACAATGTAATCCCTGTTAAAATTCCAATATCAGTTTTCACAGAAATAAAAATGAATTCTAAAATTTATTTTATTTTTTTTTAATTTTTTAATTTTTAATTTTTTTATTTTTTAAATTTTTTAAATTATACTTTAAGTTTTAGGGTACATGTGCACAATGTGCAGGTTAGTTATGTATGTATACATGTGCCATGCTGGTGTGCTGCACCCATTAACTTGTCATGTAGCATTAGGTATATCTCCTAATGCTATCCCTCCCCCCCCTACCCCCACCCCACAACAGTTCCCAGAGTGTGATGTTCCCCTTCCTGTGTCCATGTGTTCTCATCATTCAATTCCCACCTATGAGTGAGAATATGCGGTGTTTGGTTTTTTGTTCTTGCGATAGTTTACTGAGAATGATGATTTCCAATTTCATCCATGTCCCTACAAAGGACATGAACTCATCCTTTTTTATGGCTGCATAGTATTCCATGGTGTATATGTGCCACATTTTCTTAATCCAGTCTATCATTGTTGGACATTTGGGTTGGTTCCAAGTCTTTGCTATTGTGAATACTGCCACAATAAACATATGTGTGCATGTGTCTTTATAGCAGCATGATTTATAGTCCTTTGGGTATATACCCAGTAATGGGATGGCTGGGTCAAATGGTATTTCTAGTTCTAGATCCCTGAGGAATCGCCACACTGACTTCCCCAAGGGTTGAACTAGTTTACAGTCCCACCAACAGTGTAAAAGTGTTCCTATTTCTCCACATCCTCTCCAGCACCTGTTGTTTCCTGACTTTTTAATGATTGCCATTCTAACTGGTGTGAGATGGTATCTCATTGTGGTTTTGATTTGCATTTCTCTGATGGCCAGTGATGGTGAACATTTTTTCATGTGCTTTTGGCTGCATAAATGCCTTCTTTTGAGAAGTGTCTGTTCATGTCCTTTGCCCATTTTTTGATGGGTTTGTTTTTTTCTTGTAAATTTGTTTGAGTTCATTGTAGATTCTGGATATTAGCCCTTTGTCAGATGAGCAGGTTGCAAAAATTTTCTCCCATTTTGTAGGTTGCCTGTTCACTCTGCTGGTAGTTTCTTTTGCTGTGCAGAAGCTCTTTAGTTTAATTAGATCCCATTTGTCAATTTTGGCTTTTGTTGCCATTGCTTTTGGTGTTTTAGACATGAAGTCCTTGCCCATGCCTATGTCCTGAATGGTAATGCCTAGGTTTTCTTCTAGGGTTTTTATGGTTTTAGGTCTAACATTTAAGTCTTTAATCCATCTTGAATTAATTTTTGTATAAGGTGTAAGGAAAGGGATCCAGTTTCAGCTTTCTACATATGGCTAGCCAGTTTTCCCAGCAACATTTATTGAATAGGGAATCCTTTCCCCATTGCTTGTTTTTGTCAGGTTTGTCAAAGATCAGATAGTTGTAGATATGTGGCATTATTTCTGAGGGCTCTGTTCTGTTCCATTGATCTATATCTCTGTTTTGGTACCAGTACCATGCTGTTTTGGTTACTGTAGGCTTGTAGTAAGTATAGTTTGAAGTCAGATAGCTTGATGCCTCCAGCTTTGTTCTTTTGGTTTAGGATTGACTTGGTGATGCGGGCTCTTTTTTGGTTCCATATGAACTTTAAAGTAGTTTTTTCCAATTCTGTGAAGAAAGTCATTGGCAGCTTGATGGGGATGGCATTGAATCTATAAATTACCTTAGGCAGTATGGCCATTTTCACGATATTGATTCTTCCTACCCATGAGCATGGAATGTTCTTCCATTTGTTTGTATCCTCTTTTATTTCATTGAGCAGTGGTTTGTAGTTCTCCTTGAAGAGGTCCTTCACATCCCTTGTAAGTTGGATTCCTAGGTATTTTATTCTCTTCGAAGCAATTGTGAATGGGAGTTCACTCATGATTTGGCTCTCTGTCTGTTATTGGTGTATAAGAATGCTTGTGATTTTTGTACATTGATTTTGTATCCTGAGACTTTGCTGAAGTTGCTTATCAGCTTAAGGAGATTTTGGGCTGAGACAATGGGGTTTTCTAAATATACAATCATGTCGTCTGCAAACAGGGACAATTTGACTTCCTCTTTTCCTAATTGAATACCCTTTATTTCCTTCTCCTGCCTAATTGCCCTGGCCAGAACTTCCAACACTATGTTGAATAGGAGTGGTGAGAGAGGGCATCCCTGTCTTGTGCCAGTTTTCAAAGGGAATGTTTTCAGTTTTTGCCCATTCAGCATGATATTGGCTGTGGGTTTGTCATAGATAGCTCTTATTATTTTGAGATACATCCCATCAATACCTAATTTATTGAGAGTTTTTAGCATGAAGGGTTGTTGAATTTTGTCAAAGGCCTTTTCTGCATCTATTGAGATAATCATGTGGTTTTTGTCTTTGGTTCTGTTTATATGCTGGATTACATTTATTGATTTGCATATATTGAACCAGCCTTGCATCCCAGGGATGAAGCCCACTTGATCATGGTGGATAAGCTTTTTGATGTACTGCTGGATTCGTTTTGCCAGTATTTTACTGAGGATTTTTGCATCAATGTTCATAAAGGATATTGGTCTAAAATTCTCTTTTTTGGTTGTGTCTCTGCCCGGCTTTGGTATCAGGATGATGCTGGCTTCATAAAATGAGTTAGGGAGGATTCCCTCTTTTTCTATTGATTGGAATAGTTTCAGAAGCAATGGTACCAGTTCCCCCTTGTACCTCTGGTAGAATTTGGCTGTGAATCCATCTGGTCCTGGACTCTTGTTGGTTGGTAAGCTATTGATTATTGCCACAATTTCAGAGCCTGTTATTGGTCTATTCAGAGAGTCAACTTCTTCCTGGTTTAGTCTTGGGAGGGTGTATGTGTCCAGGAATTTATCCATTTCTTCTAGATTTTCTAGTTTATTTGCGTAGAGGTGTTTGTAGTATTCTCTGATGGTAGTTTGTGTTTCTGTGGGATTGGTGGTGATATCCCCTTTATCATTTTTTATTGCATCTATTTGATTCTTCTCTCTTTTCTTCTTTATTAGTCTTGCTAATGGTCTATCAATTTTGTTGATCTTTCCAAAAATCCAGCTCTTGGATTCATTAATTTTTTGAAGGGTTTTCTGTGTCTCTATTTCCTTCAGTTCTGCTCTGATTTTAGTTATTTCTTGCCTTCTGCTAGCTTTCGAATGTGTTTGCTCTTGCTTTTCTAGTTCTTTTAATTGTGATGTTAGGGTGTCAATTTTGGATCTTTCCTGCTTTCTCTTGTGGGCATTTAATGCTATAAATTTCCCTCTACACAGTGCTTTGAATGCGTCCCAGAGATTCTGGTATGTTGTGTCTTTGTTCTCGTTGGTTTCAAAGAACATCTTTATTTCTGCCTTCATTTCGTTATGTATCCAGTAGTCATTCAGGAGTAGATTGTTCGGTTTCCATGTAGTTGAGCGGTTTTGAGAGAGTTTCTTAATCCTGAGTTCTAGTTTGATTGCACTGTGGTCTGAGAGACAGTTTGTTATAATTTCCAATCTTTTACATTTGCTGAGGAGAGCTTTACTTCCAATTATGTGGTCAATTTTGGAATAGGTGTGGTGTGGTGCTGAAAAAAATGTATATTATGCTGATTTCGGGTGGAGTGTTCTGTAGACATCTATTAGGTCTGCTTGGTGCAGAGCTGAGTTCACTTCCTGGGTATCCTTATTAACTTTCTGTCTTGTTGATCTGTCTAATGTTGACAGTGGGGTGTTAAAGTCTCCCATTATTATTGTGTGGGAGTCTAAGTCTCTTTGTAGGTCACTAAGCACTTGCTTTATGAATCTGGGTGCTCCTGTATTGGGTGCATATATATTTAGGATAGTTAGCTCTTCTTGTTGAATTGATCCCTTTACCATTATGTAATGGCCTTCTTTGTCTGTTTTGATCTTTGTTGGTTTAAAGTCTGTTTTATCAGAGACTAGGATTGCAACCCCTGCCTTTTTTTGTTTTCCATTTGCTTGGTAGATCTTCCTTCATCCTTTTATTTTGAGCCTATGTGTGTCTCTGCACATGAGATGGGTTTCCTGAATACAGCACACTGATGGGTCTTGACTCCTTATCCAATTTGCCAGTCTGTGTCTTTTAATTGGAGCATTTAGTCCATTTACATTTAAAGTTAATATTGTTATGTGTGAATTTGATCCTGTCATTATGATGTTAGCTGGTTATTTTGCTCGTTAGTTGATGCAGTTTTTTCCTAGCCTCGATGGTCTTTACATTTTGGCATGATTTTGCAGTGGCTGGTACCAGTTGTTCCTTTCCATGTTTAGTGCTTCCTTCAGGAGCTCTTTTAGGGCAGGCCTGGTGGTGACAAAATCTCTCAGCATTTGCTTGTCTGTAAAGGATTTTATTTCTCCTTCACTTATGAAGCTTAGTTTGGCTGGATATGAAATTCTGGGTTGAAAATTCTTTTCTTTAAGAATGTTGAATATTGGCCCCCACTCTCTTCTGGCTTGTAGAGTTTCTGCCGAGAGATCCGCTGTTAGTCTGATGGGCTTCCCTTTGTGGGTAACCCGACCTTTCTCTCTGGCTGCCCTTAACATATTTTCCTTCATTTCAACTTTGGTGAATCTGACAATTATGTGTCTTGGAGTTGCTTTTCTCGAGGAGTATCTTTGTGGCATTCTCTGTATTTCCTGAATCTGAATGTTGGCCTGCCTTGCTAGATTGGGGAAGTTCTCCTGGATAATATCCTACAGAGTGTTTTCCAACTTGCTTCCATTCTCCCTGTCACTTTCAGGTACACCAATCAGATGTAGATTTGGTCTTTTCACATAGTCCCATATTTCTTGGAGGCTTTGTTCATTTCTTTTTATTCTTTTTTCTCTAAACTTCCCTTCTCTCTTCATTTCATTCATTTCATCTTCCATCACTGATACCCTTTCTTCCAGTTGATCACATTGGCTCCTGAGGCTTCTGCATTCTTCACGTAGTTCTCGAGCCTTGGCTTTCAGCTCCATCAGCTCCTTTAAGCACTTCTCTGTATTGGTTATTCTAGTTATACATTTGTCTAAATTTTTTTCAAAGTTTTCAACTTCTTTGCCTTTGGTTTGAATTTCCTCCTGTAGCTCGGAGTAGTCTGATGGTCTGAAGACTTCTTCTCTCAACTCATCAAAATCATTCTCCATCCAGCTTTGTTCCGTTGCTGGTGAGGAGCTGCGTTCCTTTGGAGGAGGAGAGGTGCTCTGCTTTTTAGAGTTTCCAGTTTTGCTGCTCTGTTTTTTCCCCATCTTTGTGGTTTTATCTACTTTTGGTCTTTGATCATGGTGATGTACAGATGGGTTTTTGGTGTGGATGTCCTTTCTGTTTGTTAGTTTTCCTTCTAACAGACAGGACCCTCAGCTGCAGGTCTGTTGGAGTTTGCTAGAGGTCCACTCCAGACCCTGTTTGCTTGGGTACCAGCAGCGGTGCCTGAAGAACAGCGGATTTTCGTGAACCGCGAATGCTGCTGTCTGATCGTTCCTCTGGAAGTTTTGTCTCAGAGGAGTACCCGGCCGTGTGAGGTGTCAGTCTGCCCCTACTGGGGGGTGCCTCCCAGTTAGGCTGCTCGGGGGTCAGGGGTCAGGGACCCACTTGAGGAGGCAGTCTGCCCGTTCTCAGATCTCCAGCTGCGTGCTGGGAGAACCACTGCTCTCTTCAAAGCTGTCAGACAGGGACATTTAAGTCTGCAGAGGTTACTGCTGTCTTTTTGTTTGTCTGTGTTCTGCCCCCAGAGGTGGAGCCTACAGAGGCAGGCAGGCATCCTTGAGCTATGGGGGGCTCCACCCAGTTCGAGCTTCCTGGCTGCTTTGTTTACCTAAGCAAGCCTGGGCAATGGTGGGCACCACTCCCCCAGCCTCGCTGCCACCTTGCAGTTTGATCTCAGACTGCTATGCTAGCAATCAGCGAGACTCAGTGGGCGTAGGACCCTCTGAGCCAGGTGTGGGATATAATCTCCTGGTGCGCCGTTTTTTAAGCCCATCGGAAAAGCGCAGTATTGGGGTGGGAGTGACCTGATTTTCCAGGTGCTGTCTGTCACCCCTTTCTTTGACTAGGAAAGGGAACTCCCTGACCCCTTGCGCTTCCTGAGTGAGGCAATGCCTCGCCCTGCTTTGGCTCCCGCACGGTACGCTGCACTCACTGTCTTGCGCCCACTGTCTGGCACTCCCTAGTGAGATGAACCCAGTACCTCAGATGGAAATGCAGAAATCACCTGTCTTCTGTGTTGCTCACGCTGGGAGCTGTAGACCGGAGCTGTTCCTATTCAGCCATCTTGGCTCCAGAACCAATATGTTTTCTTTTTTTGTTTTTGTTTTTTTTTTCTGAGATGGAGTCTCGCTCTGTTGCCCAGGCTGGAGTGCAATGGCATAATCTCGGCTCAGTGCAACCTCTACCTCCTGGGTTCAAGTATTTCTCCTGCCTCAGCCTCCTGAGTAGCTGGGATTACAGGCACGCACCACCATGCCTGGCTAATTTTTGTATTTTTAGTAGAAATGGGGTTTCACCATGTTGGTCAGGCTGGTCTCAAATTCCTGACCTTGTGATCCACCCGTCTTGACCTCCCAAAGTGTTGGGATTACAGGCATGAGCCACCACACCCAACCCATAATATTTAATATTTATTGATATTATAACATGCATACAGAATTGCATGCATGCACAAAGCATTTATGTAAAGGTCCATGTATAATTAGAAAGTAAATACCAACCGGGCACGTTGACTCATGCCTGTCATCCCAGCACTTTGGGAGGCTGAGGCAGGTGGATCATCTGACTTCTGGAGTTTGAGACCAGCCTGGACAATATGGTGAAACCCTGTCTTTACTAAAAGTACAAAATTAGCTGGGCGCATGCCTGTAGTCCCAGCTACTCAGGAGGCTGAGACAGGAGAATCACGTGATCCCAGGAGGCGGAAGTTGCAGTGAGCTGAGCTTGCACCACTGCACTCCAGCCTGGGCGATAGAGTGAGACTCCGTTTCAAAGAAAAAGAAAGAAGAAAAGAAAGAAAGAAGAAATGGAAAGGAAGGAAGAATGGAAGGAAGAAAGAGGGAGGGAAGAGACAAATCTTCCTGACAGAGGAATTTCAACAATTAAGTTGAAATATAGTTTAGTGTTTGTGTAGAGATTTTGATTCTTGCAATACCCCGTATCTTTCCCAAAGTTACTTGGGTCAGGACTTTTCATCTCCAACCCCGGTGAAATAGTCAGTATGTCATACATTTGGAATATAGCTTAATTCATCTGTCATTGTCTATATTCTATCTGAATTTCTTCAGCAACTTGGTCTATTAAAAAAAATTTGTTTTGGGATGGAGTTTTGCTCTGTTGCCCAGGCTGGAGTGCAATGGCACAATCTCAGCTCAGTGCAACCTCCACCTCCGGGGTTCAAGCAATTCTCCTGCTTCAGCCTCCCAAGTAGCTTACAGGGATTACAGGTGCCCGCCACCATGCCCAGCTAATTTTTGTATTTCAGAGATGGAGTTTCACCATGTTGTCCAGGCTGGTCTTGAACTCCTGACCTCAGGTGTACCACCCACCTCGGCCTCTCAAAGTGCTGGGATTACAGGCATGAGCCACTGCACCCGGCCTGATTTTTTAAAAATTTTATACAGAAAAATTTGTTCTTTGTGGTGTACAGTTCAACAGGTTTTAACAATGGTCTAGAGTCATCTTTCACCACTGGAGTACCACACAGAACTTTTTTTCACCCACCAAATTTCTTTTATGCTGTCCCTTTCAGTAAACAACTTTCCCCATCCCTTCCTTTCGCCACTACTGCTCATTTTCCATCTCTATAATTTTGCTCTTTCTTACAATGCTCTATAAATAGATTTACATAATTTACAGTTGTCTCTCAGTATATATGGTGGATTTTTTCAAATCCCTGCAAATATGAAAATCTGTAGATGCTCAATGCCTTATATAAAATGGTACACTATTTTTATATAACCTATGCACATGAACTTTAAGTCATATCTAGGCTACTTATAATACCTAATGCAATGTAAATGCTATGTCAGTAGTTGTTATACTGATATTGTTTAGGGGATTCTAACAAGAAAAATAACTCTATAGATTTAGTATGGATGCAAGCATCATAGGCCTAATTATATTTTTGATCCTTGGTTGGTTGAATCCAAGAATACAAACTTCATGGATACAGAGGGCTGAATATACAGCTTTTTGGATCTGAGTTCCTTCACTTCAAAAATTGAATTGTTCATCAGTGACATTGGCTGAATTTTTCTTTTTCGGTTGTGTCTCTGCCAGGTTTTGGTATCAGGATGTTGCTGGCAATAGAATGAGTTAGGGAGGAGTTCCTCCTTTTTAATTTTTTTTAGAATAATTTCAATAGTAATAGTACAAGCCCTTCTTTCTATGTCTGTGGAACTCAGCTGTGAATCTGTCTGGTCCTGAACTTTTTCTGGTTGGTAGGCTTTTTATTACTGATTCAATTTCAGAAGCCATTATTGATCTGTTCAGGGTTTCAATTTCTCCCTGGTTCAATCTTAAGAGGTTGTATGTTTCCAGGCATTTATTTGTTTCTTCTAGGTTTTCTAGTTTGTGTGCACAGAGTTGTTCATGGTAGCCTCTGAGAGTTTTTGTATTTCTGTGGAGTCAGGGGTACAGTCCTCTTTGTAATTTCTGATTGTGTTTATTTGGATCTTCTCTTTTTTTCATTAGTCTAGCTAGTGGGCTATCAATCTTATTTATTCTTTCAAATAACCAACTTCTGGTTTCATTGCTCTTTTGTACAGTTTTTCATGTCTCAATTTCATTTGGTTCAGCTCTGATTTTGGTTATTTCCTGTCTTGTTAGTT